>NC_000002.12:95477216-95804283 GCF_000001405.40 Homo sapiens
CTGGGTAACTCCATATGAGGGAACTCTTGGTGACATTCAAAAAACTCACACTTCCACTTTCAAAATCAAGAAACACACCAACCCGGCCCAGAGGTTTCTCTATGTAGTGAGGAAACACTGGGGAGGTGGTCAAGAGATTGAAATGATTATCCACCTTCAGACACAAAAGAAGAAATATGTCCTCAGAGTTAACCATTGTGCTATTCTTCCTTATCCAGGAGTTGTTACAGACTCCCAGAGCCCAGTCACAAGAGTTGTCCACATCCAGCTCCCAGTAGTGTTTCCCAAAGGAGAAGACCCTGGCTCCCCATGCAGCAAAATAGTCAGATCTGTCAGAATTCAAAGGTCCACGTCTAAACATCCAACTTCTCACATCCTCAAAGAGCCTGATATTGTGATTGGTTACTTCAAAATGGAAGGAAATTTCCACTGTAGAAAAAAGAGAATGTTCCAGTGAAAATCAGTTTGTAAATTCTTATGTTCAGATAAGAAAGAGATTCTCACTAGAAAACACAGGTCAAGATTAGAAAGAAACTTCTGTCTGGAAAAATGTTGGAATCAAAGGGTGTTAGGAGATCTGCACAAGTAAATGGCTAAACTAGGATGATCACAATTTCCATAAACTCAAAAAGTATAAAGGGGAGGAAGGTCATGTCTATGTCTCGTTAGCGACCTTTCATAACAACTGAAAAACTGGAAGCTCCTCCACTGCAGCCAAGTCCATAGCCATAAAATTAACCTTCATTGTCTCGTCTCTGTCAGGGCAGAGCAGGAGGCTTTGGACAGGAGATGAGGTGGGGAGCTATTCTTAGTCCCAAATAAAAAAGTTATCACTTTCCAGAAATATTATGATCTGCCACTTAACCTAGCAAATTCATACTTAAAGAGAAAACCTGAATCTGCCTTCTGAAAAGTGCTGATTCCTTGCAAAAATTATCTGACTTTCATGCCAGATTCAGGCACAGACTTCTTTTATTCTGCTGGATTTGTCATGATCTATCCTGGAGTTCTATCTAAGACCTCATCAACCACCAAATCATGTTCCTATTGTTGACAGATTCTCAGTTTTTGCATTGTTATATAAGTTACTCATGTATGCTTTAGTTGATTAAAAACATGATTAAAATTATAAATGCTATGAAACATCACCTAAAAATGTATTTTTTTTAAAAAAACGCTGTCACTCAAATCAGTCGTTAACTGCACTGAATTTGAAATTGAAATGTCCTGAATTCAGTTCTGTATACTTCATGTAATAATTGTATACATGAAATTGTATCAGAGAATGGTTCCTAAAGTCCTAAAGAGCCCTTCTGCATGTTTTATTTTTCTAAGAAATTTGTTATATGGCTGATTCCTATTACATTTCACCAGCTTTTATTTCGTTTTGTCTGTTTGATGATAGTGAAACTATAAATATAAATACCTATTCACAGGCTATTCTCTTCTTCTAGATGAAAGATCATTACACTGGGAAAGCTGCCCATAGAAAACCATAATTGAAGGCATTGCATGTGGATCCCACCAACAGGGCCACACTCACCTCGGAAGCGGTTGAGCCTGTACACCAGTCCAGTGATGGGTCCTGCAGTGAGCTCTGGATTCACAGGCTGGGGCATGTGCAGCAGCACGGACTCACTCCTGCAAGGAAGTAGGTTGAGTTGGTTAACTTTCTGATGTCTGTGTTTAAGAAACAGATTCCAACAGAAAATGCTTCATTCAAACCCACTTCTGATACCGTAATGTACCTCCACAACGCTAGGATGGGTTTGTGGCTCTTAGGGAATCTTTCTAACTATTCACTCCATTTCTAACCTACTGCCCCTGAAAGATAAATGCCTCTCTCCCTATCTGCCACCAAATAGTTTATCTCTAATTATGATTCTGAATCGCAAAAAGAGGCAACTGTATTCTAGCAACCTCTGCATTGCACTCTTCAAAACATAAACCCCTGAGTCACTTGGGAAAGTAAGAAAAGATTAATGTCTGATAAAAGGCATAGATGACATTCATCATACCACATAAACACATGACTACACACACATACACACACAATCACACTGACACATTATGGTGTTAGTAAATTATGTTTTCACTTTGTTGGAAACAGCTTGATGTTTTTCATAGCATGCCTTGTGCTCCAGTTTGCACTGACGGCCAAAAACATACCTTGCCACGATGTCTCCCAAATCCTGTAGAGAGAGAGAGAAAAAAAAAATGACTTCTTTAGAAAGTTGTTATTCTTGTTGGGTGAGGTGGTTCACACCTGTAATCCCAGCACTTTGGGAGGCCAAGGTGGGTGGAACACCTGAGGTCAGGAGTTCCAGACTAGCCTGGACAACATGGCAAATCCCCGTCTCTACTAAAAATACACACACACACACAAATAGTGGGGTGTGGTGGTTCATGCCTTTAGTCCCAGCTACTAGGGAGGCTGAGGCAGGAGAATTGCTTGAACCAAGGAGGCAGAAGTTGCAGTGAGCTGAGATTGGGCCATTGGACTTCAGTCTGGGTGACAGAAGAAGACTCTGTCTCAAAATAAACACACAAAAAAGTTGCTATTCTGCCTATCTGGTCTTTAGGTTTTCAAAACTTTAGAATTACCGTATACTATTACTGCCACTCTTTTAAAATGTATTCTCATCTCTAACAATTATACCAGTAAGACCTATTGACAATATGGATTTCTGATAAATTAAGGACCCTAAATTTGAGTGAGAGAGAAAGGTGTGAGTAGTGACTGCGCATTGCTGCAGCTGTCTACAATGTGGTCTTTTTCAGGGCTAGTCCCCAAAGTGTAATGTGGCTCAAATCAAGCATGAAATTTTTTCTTCCAGAGTTTTAATGAAATGTGCTGGAGGAGGAAGCTTGTGGTAGAAAATGTTGTATGGAAATCTAGTTGCACAATTCCATAAAGCTTTATTTCCATGATTAGCGTAGGAGTTATAGTTTATCTCTATAACCGGTGGGAATGACTCTCACCGTCAGTGCAGGAGATGAGGAAATAATGTCTTTGGTACCCAATGGAAGGCAAAGATGTAAAGGTCAGCTAACACAAAGTGTCTCAAGGGGCATCCTCCATTCTTACCTGGAGCAGCTCCACCTCTGGTTTATGACACATTTCCATTAGTTCCTGATACATTTCTTTCAAGTGTTTACTCTTTTGATCCATTTTGACCCAACTTCTCTGGAGTTGCTGAAAAATCTCTTGGTATTCCTTGTTCAGTCTCTCTAAATGTTGTTTTTCTTCCTTATGGAGAACCGGATGCAGCTTCCTATACTCATTCCTGATCATCTGTGCCCGTAAAACCACATCGCCCTGTAGGGATATGAATTTTGTAGGTTATATACCCAGGCCTACTTCCACCTCACAGAGCCCACAACTTCATCCTCCTCATTCCTTCTTTTATTTTCCATCCTTTACAAACAGGATGATGAGTTAAGCAAGACCTTCCTTCAAAATTTATGTAATTCATCAATTCCCAAACACCTGCAAAAAAGCCCTTTAGGTTTAAATGTTTAAATCAAATCGGAAATACAATTAGAAAACAACTAAAATTTATGATTGATTGTTACATTGTCATGGATAATACACATAATCTTTGTTATTCACTTAGGTTGTTGTTTCAAATCTCTGTACTTCACAGCCTGAACAATCACTCTTAGTAGAAATGTTTTTAGTATATTATAATCAGGATCAGAAGCCATCACACAAAAAGGATCTTAGTAAAAAATTTAACCCCCATCTCTCAAACCGACTACCTCTTTTCTGTCTCCTATCTTTCTTCTGTCAAATCCATAGACTCTGTATTGCACTGCCATTCTAAGAACATTAATCCCCATTCCATTGTGTTTCTCCTCTCAATAATGACATATTTATCCTCTCACTGCCCCAGTCATTTTTTATCCCTTCTCCTCAGCTTTTCCTCATGTTGCATTTTCTCCTACTCGGACTGGCATCATGTGGGTCCTTTGCTACCAGATTTCACCAGCACAGGCACATTTCTTAAATTACTGTTCCCACCCGATTTCTTCCCCCGGACAATACCATATTCACCAATAAATGCCTTTATTTCTCAATTATATACTATTTAATCAATATTTCATAATTCATTTTATACAGAAAACTGTCTGAAATACTTATTAATTTTAAGCACATACTTGCCCTTCAGAATTTATATTTATTTTTTACTTATCTGAAAAGCATTTACAGAAAACCTGAACAATCGTTATGTTGAACAGTCTGGTTGTTTTCCAGCCTATGAATAAACACATGACAAAATCTGGCATATGAGAATTTCAACTCAAGTTGCTAATATAAATGTTGTCAGCATGCCTGTCTCAAGCTGGTCAGGAGGACTCACGGTCTCATACTTACCCTCAAGAGGAAGGCTGTTCTTCTCTCCTCATATAGATTTCTCTGATTTTCTTGAATCTTTTTCCATAAAATCCTCATTTGCTTTAAGAGTTTCTCCTGCAAAAGAATTAAAGGTTGAACAGAAAGTCAAATACCAAAGATTCCACCATCTGAGTGGTATAAGCAGGCAAGGGATCTAATATATAAATACATTAGTGAGAGGAGAAAAAAACAAAATTTTTCATTGCTCATCCTTAATTGATATTTTTCAGTTTGAGGTTTCAGAATGTAGAACAGTTTAGGGAACTGAAGAGTGAAGATTTCCTGTAACCCAGCTAAATTAGTTCAGGGAAACATCCTGCTTCAGAACCCACTATGCTAGCCCCTGATTTTGTAGTGTGCTACTCCCATACTCATTTGTCCAGTAATATTAAATATATTTCCAAAATACCTTTCTTTGCACTGGTAGTTTTGGTAGCTTTTCAATGTCATTAGCATTGAACTGTAGAGTCAATAATAATGACATTTACTTAATCAGTCTCTTTTTGGGTGCAAGCTCCATGAAGGAAGGTAGAGTTGCACATTTTATTCAAAATGTCATCATTGGTACCTAGAACAGCACCTGGCACTCAGTAAAGAATGGAGTAATCACCGTGATTCTCATCATCCTTCTAATCTCTTTAACTCTGCCACCCTCCAGCTTTCAGGTGATCACAGAGCTATCTCTTACCCGGTCTTCCTCAGCTGCCTCTTCGATGGGATAGTGTTTGTGAGCCCCGTGCTCCTGAGAGTTGGAGCACAGCAAGCAGAGGAGACTCTTGTCCATGTCACAGAACATCTTCTTTGTTTGCCTATGGGTCCCACATATTTGTTTCTCAGAGCTCAGGAATTGCCAGAGACTGGCTTTTCTGGCAATGGTCACTAAATTCTTCAGAAGAATATTGGTTTTGAAGTCCATTTTCGGTGATGGTTCCCTGCATGCAGGGCAGTTTGCAGGACTTTGGGCTTCCTCCCACGAAAGGCAGAGACAGGGCCTACAGAAGCTGTGCCCACAGCAGATGGTGACAGGGTCTACCAGGTAGTTCAAACAGATGACACAGGTGAGTTCCTTCTGGAAGGCATGTGAGAAGTCTGAGTCCATTTTCCTAAGGAAAGAAAACCACAGGAATTTAATCTTCTACCCTGGAGAGACAAAGATCCAAGCAAAGTTTGAATCAGATCGTGATCGAATAATATCCTTTCTTTCTAAAGAAGTATAGGTTTTAATTTGCAATGACAGAAATAGGAAAAATAGAAAACTAAGGCACAAAGAGACATCAATCTCTATAAAAAGTGACTGTTCTCCAATCAACACATGACCAGCTTTCCAAACTCTACTTTCTTGCATGGAAGAATGTCGGATTTTTTGAGGTGTTAGTATCCACCAAATTGCTTGGGCTTCAAGGGTTTCATCAACCTGTAAACTCAAAGTTTGAGTCTTGAACGGTCTGAAAATCAGTAACAGTCTTCATTGCCAGTGATTGGTTTAGAGAAGGAAAGCTAACTAAGCTCTTCTACTCTCATTATTTTATTTAACTATAACAACCATCCATAATGACTTTTCCAGAAGGACATTGCTTGAAAATGTTAGAGCAGAACTCATACTTTGACCCAAATCAGAAAAAGCCAGCCTTTACTCTCCAAGGAAAAACAGTCAAATCAAGGTAAGTTACCTCTCCAAGGTAAAGCTAAGAATCATTGTTTTTCTAGGCTGCTATGTTAATTTAATCAACAAAAACTTTCTGGCATGTTTCCTGTTCCTGGACAGTCTGTTAATTTGGGGATATACTGGTTAATATTACAACATCTTTAAAAGACAGACAATTAATTCAATTTACAAAAAGATAATGATAATTGAAGCATTATCATTACTCTTTCACACAGTCAGGAAAAGAGTAAGTATCATGCAATAACAGGCACTAGAGGCCGGGCACGGTGGCTGACGCCTGTAATCCGAGCACTTTGGGAGGCCGAGGTGGCTGAGGCTGGCAGATCACGATGTCACGAGATCAAGACCATCCTGGCTAACATGGTGAATCCCTAACTCTACTAAAAAATACAAAAAATTAGCCGGGAGTGGTGGAGGACGCCTGTAGTCCCAGCTACTCTGGAGGCGGGGCCTGGAGAATGGCGTGAACCCGGGAGGCGGAGCTTGCAGTGAGCCGAGATAGTGCCACAGCACTCCAGTCTGGGTAACAGAGCAAGACTCTGTCTCCCCCCCAAAACAAAAACAAAAACAAAAACGAGGCACTAGACAGTTAAGTCAGCGTTTTAAATGTATGTTTTGCTAAAATACAAATAAAAATTAAAACCAAGCCAGGGAAGGTGACTCAAGCCTGTAATCCCAGCATTTTGGGAGGCCAAGTCAGGCAGGTATTTTGAGCTCAGGAACTCTAGACTGGTGACACGGTAAAATGTCTAGATCATCCTGTCTCTAAAAATACTTATATAAATTTAAAAAAAAAAAAAAAAAAAAGGCCGGGCGCGGTGGCTCAGGCCTGTAATCCCAACACTTTCAGAGGCCGAGGTGAACGGATCACAAGATCAAGAGATGGAGACCATCCTGGCCAACATAATGAAACCCCGTCTCTACTAAAAAAAATACAAAATTTAGATGGGCGTGGTGGCAGGCGGCTATATTTCCAGCTACTCTGGAGGCGGAGGCTGAAGAATCGTTTGAACCTGGAAGGCGGAGGTTGCAGTGAGCCAAGAGCGCCGCCGCACTCCAGCCTGGCAATAGAGCGTGATTCCATCTCAAAATAAATAAATAAACAAATAAATAAATAGCTGAACATGGTGGCCCATGTTTAATCCATAAACCTATGGATTATGTTTAAAATAATTTTAAAAAAGAAATGGAGCCTTTTTAAAACTCGGAAAATGAGATCATTCCATCTAAAAATAATCTAAGTTTGCAGATAAATTAAAGTCCCCAAATTTTGTTTTGGTTTGTAACCTAATAGTAGATCCTTCTCTGGAAATTGTGTACTTACCTCAGAAATATATCTATGTTCTCACCAAAGCTTGCTGTCGAATCAGATGGATTCAGCTCAGGGATGAGAGTCTCACAGTGCAGTGCTGGTAGCTTTCGGAAGTCCCCAAAGCCAGTTGCAAAGCTACTCTGTGGGCTCTGGAGAAGAATGAGCTTGGCTCCTGAAGTGTCGGTTTATAAATCTCTGAAGACCACACCCCTTTCTTCCAATTGATTGCATTTCACAGGGCGTAGGTGGGTGTTAACATAGATGATTAAGTTTCTTCAGAACAGAAGTTTTATCTTTATTTATTTATTTTTTTTGAAAGGAGTCTGGCTCTGTCGCTGGCTAGTTTTTTTCTTGCATTTTTAGTAGAGAGGGGGTTTGATATAATTGATATAATAGGAATTGCAAATAGAGAAGCCCACACAAGCTAACCAAATTAATTCTAGTTTATTGGATAAATGGCGTGATATGTATTCTAGTTCAAATTTGAAGGTTGGTATAAACCTTTTCAGACACTGGAGATGAGACATTTCACCAAGATTGGGTGTGAGGAAGAGGAAAGAAATAGAATAGTATATAAAATAGTATATAGAGTAAAAATATAGTAAAAGGAAAAATCAATCTGCATAATATAGTGTATGGCTAAATGTGTTTTAACATTTAGGTGAATCAGACATGGAAAAATCCTAAAAGGGAGATTAATAGAGTAGATAATTGACTCAGTAAGAACTGTGAATAAGCATCTCAGGAAGAGAAACTAGAAGTCTTTATATAGGTTTTGATTTAAAGAGGGAGAGAGAATAGGAACATTGAAAAAGATGGACAGAAAGAAATAACAAATATTCAAGACTCCTTGCAAGAGTGAGGCAGAAAGTTTATAGATTGCTTGATTACACCCAGCATATAATTATTTGAAGTTTTCTGTTGAGAGTGAGAGTATGTAATCCTTTTAACCAAATGTCTCCGCAGAACTATGTGTCATTAAGTAAGGTGATAATCAATATTCAATATCAAAAGATGCGTCTATTTCTCGATGAGGAGAAGCAACTTCATCTGCAGGCACTGGACAGAGAAGCAAAAGGGCTTTTCCAACAACTACAAGACAGTCAAGTGAGAATGACCCAACATTTAGAAAGGATGAAAGACATGTACAGAGAGCTGTGGGAGACGTGCCACATGCCTGACGTGGAGCTGCTCCAGGTGAGGAGGGAGGGTCCATCCCCAAAGAAAGGAAGACTTTGCTGGACAATGCTGCCAGGACATGCAAATGTCACCTGCATATGTCACTGCTCTCAGCTTAGTGACACATGCTGTCTGACTCCCACATTACATTTGTCCAGTTTTTCAGAAAAAAGCTACAAAAGAAGCTTATTAGAGGGGAATATTCCCTGTGGTCAGTGTTTGATAAAGGGGAATATAAAATTACATCCACTCAAAGATTCCAAAAAAGCTTGCTTGATCATGGTTAGGATAAGAATTACATTTCACCTATGTTATTACTATTTGGAAAAGTTCCTCCCTCTTAGAAGGAGGAGACACATATATGATATATATATTATATATATATATGTGGTACATATATATGTATACACACATATGCATATATATATACCCCCACACACACACATATCTATGGTGTTGAATAAATAATATCACCTAAGCCAGTGGTGTGCAATCTTTTGGCTTCCCTGGGCCTCATTAGAAAAAGCGTTGTCTTGGGCCACACATGAAATACACTAAGATTAACTATAGCTGATGAGCTTTGATAAAATGACAAACAAAAATCTCATCATGTTTCAAGAAAGGTTAGGAATTTGTGTTGGGCCACATTCAAAGCCGTCCTTGGCCGTATGTGGCCCACGGACCGTGGGTTGGGCAAGCTTGTTCTAAGGTATGAACTTCAAATACTACAAAAATTTTTTAGGCATGTTATTGGTTCTTTCCTGGAGCAGCTCCACATCTAGTTTATGGCACATTTTTATCAGCTCCTTATAGATTCTTCTTAGATTATTTTTTTTTTCTGAACCATTTTGTCTTTTTGCTTTTCTTAAGTTGCTGTAAAATCTTTCTGTCATCATCTGTAAGTTTCTCTAAATGTTGTTTTACTTCTCATGGGGAACTGAATGCAGCTTCCTCTACTCAGCTCTAGTCATCTCTGCCCGTAGCTACACATGGCACTCCGGGGACCTGGATTTCCTAGATGACATGTTTACTCTGAATTCATCCTCCTCCACTTATACCTCTTCTATTCACTTTGACTCGTTTTCTTTTCTTTATCTCTTTCATCCTTTCTTTATAATAAAGATCACGGTCTTACTATGTTGATGGCCAGGCTGGTTGGAAACTCCTGGTCTCAAGTGGTCTTCCCAAATTATTGGGATTACAGACATGAACCACTGAGCCTAGCCTGACTCATGTATTCTACCAATAAGCTAAGTACATAAACTCGTGTCTTCCCACTTGACAGAACCATGGAATAAATCATTCCTGTCTTCCTTTCATTTATTTGTATTGTTTCTTAATAATACTGACAGCCAAATTCATTCGTTCCTCAAACCACTTTCATTCATTATATGACTTCCTAAAACACCTGAAGAAAGGTTATTATTGATCGTTTCTTCAATATATATCCATTGATATCTGAAAGCCTACATGAGAGCCATTGGAATTTATGGTTGATTCACAAATAATTTTTTGCAGTGTTATGATCTCTGTGTTTTTAAATTAGTTTTTAGTACCAGGTCTTCCTACTCCATAGCTTGACCACTCTCTCTGAGCAGTAATCAATGCTGCATTGTACCCTCAGGATTGGAAGCCATGAGAAAAATCTTCCTCAAATCCTACCAAGATGATTTCCATTCAAGTGATAAGTGGATACATTTCTAGCATGTCTGTCTGAGGCTAACTCTGAGGGAAAAGGCCTAATACTTGCAATCCACTGGTTGGTTTTCCTGCTTTCCTCATTTAAATTTCTTTGGTTTTCTTGAATTTTTGCCCACAAACATCTCATTTGCTTCATAATCTTCTCCTGTAAAAGAACTATGAATGTGAACATCAGAGAAGCAAATCATTTTAGGTTTCAGACCCCCAGTGATAAAGAAATCAAGGGATGAGATATGAAAGAGATTTGGGAAGATCTCGGACTGTAGAACCACAACGTGTAACGCAGCAAGTTTAATAGGAAAATCATAGGCAGGGCTAATTTACAGATAATGTGGCACCTTGCATCAGAATTGGAATCTACTGACACCGTGCCCTGCTAATTCTAACGTGTTTTATTCTATTATTTCCAGTGTTGGTAAATAGGTTTCTTATAGAAAAGACTTTTTAACTTGTAGTTTGGATAGCCAGAAACTCTTCTGATATTGAGCTCTTTACAGTGCCTTGAACACTGCATCAAGTAGTCAAATTATTACAATGATTATTAACTTCATCACTCCCTCAGTGAAATGTAAGCTCCAGGAAGGAAAGCACACTCAGATTATATTTATTATTTTATCATTGATACCTAGGCACTACACGACATCCAGTACAGAGCAGATTAATCATCATGCTCTTCATCTTCCCCTAATCTCTTTACCTGTGCCATCCTCCAGCTTTCAAAGTGCTCTCAGAGCCATCACTTACCCAGTGTTCCTTAGCTGCCCCTCACAGTGTGTGTGAACCCCATGCTCCTGAGAGTTCCAGCACAGCAAATGAATCAGGCTCTTTTTCCACCTCTCCAAATATCTTCTTTGTCTCCCTGTGGATCCCACGCATTTGTTCATTAGGGCTCAGGAATTGCCAGAGACTGGCTTTTCTGGCAACGGACACTAGATTCTTCAGAAGAATATTGGTTTTGAAGTCCTCCTGCTGTGACAGTTCCCAGCATGTGGGCAGCAGGTAGGAATTTTGGTTTCTTCCTAGGAAAGGCAGAGACAGGGCCTACAGAAGCTGGGGCTGCAGCCTGTGGCAATGGGGTCTACACATTAGTTCAGACAGAAGAGGCAGATGGATTCTTTCTTTCTGGAAGGCTTGTGTGATGTCTGAGACCAATTTCCTGAAGGAAGGAAATTAGGAAAGGTATGATTCAAACTTCTTCATCTTATGCCCTGAGAAACAAAGACCAAAGCAAAATTTGACTCAGGTTGTGACTCAATGATACACTTCTGTCTAGAGTAGAATAGGCTTTATTTTGCATAAGACAAAAATAGAACCTGAGGCACAAAGAGAGCTCTCAGATCTGTAGGTAAAATTGTCAGATGCATGCATAACTCACAGGGCACTACATCCTACCCTTTTCTTTTGTATAGAAAAATGAACCTCAGAGAGGCCAGAAATGGTGGCTCACACCTATAATCCCAGCACTTTGGGATGCCAAGGCTGGTAGATCAGGTTGGAGACCAGCCCGGCCAATATGGGGAAACCCCATCTCTACTAAAAATATAAAAACCAGCCAGGAGTAGTGGCACATGCCTGTAATCCCAGTCACTCAGGGGACTGGGCAGAAGAATCGCTTGAACCCTGAGGTTGCAGTCAACTGAGATTGAGCCACTGCTCTTCAGCCTGGGCAATAAAACAATACCTGTTACAAAAAGAAAGAAAAAGAAGGAAGGAAGGAAGGAGAAAAGAAAAGAAAGAAAAGGAGAAAAGAAACCTCCATTTTGTTGAGTTTTGACTTTACTCCAAAAAGCTTGAGGTTTAAGAGTATGAAATTGGGACCAATTTACACCATAGATGATGGGTCCTGAATATTCTGAAAACCATTCTTAATGCTCATTGTGATTGGTTTAGGAAAGATCGATTTAGTACAAAAGAAAAAAGTGATTGGTTTAGGAAACTGTATTTCACTGAGATTTTACTCTCATTATTTCATTTTGATGTCATAATTTTCTCCTTTAAAGTATTTCGAAAATCCTCAATCACAAGCCACCACTGCAAAATAATTTCTAAATAAATAAGCAATATTTATTTACTGAACATTTGGTGAAATTTCATCAGATCAGATTTCACCCAAAATTTGATCAGATTTCACCCAAAAATGCTAAAGAGGCATTTAGTATACTCTAAAACACAATATTACCCTCAAATTATTCAACATATTACCTAAGTTGTATATTATAGAATATTTTGTCTTGTGCATATATTTATGTGCCACCTTCAGAATTGAAGGTAATACATTTATACACAACATATGGAATAAAATATTCTCCATAAAATTTAGGATATACAACAAGTATAAAATTGCAAGATATCTGAAAACTATTTTCTGAGTTCTTAGAATACATAGGAACAACTAATGAATACATAAATGATACAAGTAAAATTAATCTTCACTGTAGTTCACAAGTATGTAGGAAGACAGGATAACAAAATAAGAGTAAAAACATTTTTACTAATTAAGCAAATGACATCATTTCATAGAAACAAGCTCAGTTTGTTGAAAAATTCAACGTAGGGCAGTCTGTTTTGGACTGGAAAACTAGCAGGTACTCCTCCTCTGTTAGCTGTGCTCTCACCCTAGAAATATACTTATGGTCTCACTGATACTTGCTGTAGAAGTAATAATATAAAGTCTGATCAGGGATCAGGGCCTCGCCATATAGTGGCAGTAGCTTTCAGACATCTTCACAGCCAGTTGCAAAGCCACTCTGTGTGTCCCAGAGAAGAATGAGCTTGGCTCCTTGTACCTCTTTATATTGAATCTCTGAAAAATCACACTGATTTTGAAAAGGCTATGCATTTCTTGGAGTTTGGGATAGCCGTTAGGGTTCTTGATTAGGTTTCACCAGAAGAGAGGAAATGATTGATTCAACACCTTGGCTAATCTCCATAAACACACTTTAAACTTCCTCTCATGAAGAACCACTGAGTTTACAGCAAATGAACCCTCAAATACCAAATTTGTGGATAATTTTTGGGGTACTTTAATATGTTACTCATCAAAAGATGGGAAAGAGGATACCATCAATTTATGATTTTAATAAATGTCTTCAAAAGTCTGGAATATTTTTTCTCCTTTTTCTTTTTTTTTCTTGTGTTTTTGGAAATGTTTTGCCTGAAGTTGGCTTTAATTCTAATAGTCACTGAACTGGACTGGAAATGCACTTTGCTGTTGCTTTTAAGACTTGATCTCTGGTTTTAGTGTATTAATGTATTACTGTCAATTCATATATTATATATATATTTTCTGGCTCTGTAGCCCAGGCTGGAGTGTGGTGGTGGAATCACAGCTCACTGCAGCCTTAAACTGCTGGGCTCAAGTGATCGTTTTGCCTCATTATCTCAAAGAGCTGAAATTACCGATGTGAGCCACTGCACCCGGCCTATTAATTTATGTTTTTAATAAAAGCATAAGAATTATCCTTATTATAAATTAAGAAATAGAATATCTTTAAGAAAATATTTTTAAGGAAATATAATATCTTTAAGGAAAAATGAAATCTCCAGTAGCTATAGACTCCTATGAAAACCACCGTTACCAATAGCAATTTTGTGTATGTCTATATAACACATACATATGTAAATATATATAATATATACATGAATTTTTTCACATTCGGCAGTCATTGAAGAATAAAAATTGTAATGTATATTAATAAAAAGTGAAATAAGTAAAATTTGCTGTTTAGTGAAAACTTTGCTTAGCAACTTAAATGAAGCTGCAGAAAATGTGACTTGGATAATAGATGTAAAAAAATGTCATGAGGGCTTCACAGGTGGACAAATAGAGGTAAACTAGGAGAGTAGTAGTGACATATGGAGGATGAGAGTATCACATATGTCCTTTATAAACAGCATAATGTGTGATTGACTGTAGCACAAAGGGGAGCTAAGTAGAGAAGATGAGGAGAGTACATATTCAAGGATATAATGTTTGATAGTTTTTTCAGAGTAAACAAATACATTATTGAATTAAAGAAGCCAAACAATCCTCATTTTGGATTTGTAAAACATAAATTTACTTTGTTTTGAATGTGCAAAACAACATATTTTGGCTGATTTTTAGTATTTCTCTGTCTTTGGTGGCTGATTCATTATGATATTTTAAGTTTGAAACCACCACCAAAGATGAAGAATCTCTTAAAAGCAGCCAAAATAAACTGTTTCATTGTGAGGGAACACTTAATAGAATGACAACAGACTGCTCCACAATCATAAATCATAAATGTAAGTATAAGACGGTGGACTAATATTTGTAAAGTGTCAAAAAATGTAACTGCCAATATGGAGATGAATGTGAATTGGAAATATCTTTTATATAAGAGGATAAAATGACTCTTGTCATATAAGTATAATAAAAAAGGGACTTTATATCCTACTAAGGGCTTCTAGAACAGTACGCATAAGATCTACTTGAAAGATAATTCCAACACCTCTGCCACATTGAATCTGGCTTTATTTATTGCTTAGTCTCTTAACAGTGTTTCCTTTATGTATCTTTTCTGTTTCTATACATGTCTGGTAAGTTTTACCCAAAAAGTGAACTATGTAGAGTAGACTAATGTAGAAAGCATTAGAACACATGTAGAACCCACATGTATTCCCTTTTACTAGGCTGTATGTGTGTGTTTTGGGGGAGGAGGTTGAATCAATCTAGTCAGGAGTTGATTTGGTTTTGGGACTTTTTCCTCTTAGAGTTATTTCCAGGGCACCATAAGTTTCACGCTTATCTAGCATTACTTTGTGTTTCAGGTTGGACTGGTTCAGCAGCTTTTCTCAATATCTGCTGTATCCTCACATTTAAGTTTCCTTTCAAATTCTGTTCAGTCCCCCAGAAGACACTGCTTTGACCTGTTACTCAACAATTGTGAGCCTAGATGGGGGTGGGGATGAGGATGGAGAAGCATTCTCTGTCATTCTGATGAAGCTCAGTCATAGGTTGACACTGTTTCTGGGTCTGCATGGTTGGAATCCTTTTTGTTTTTTTGGTTTTTTTTGACGGAGTCTCACTCTGTTGCCCAGGCTGGAGTGCAGTGGCATGATCTTGGCTTACTGCAAACTCCACCTCCTGGATTCACACCATTCTCCTGCCTCAGCCTCCCAAGTTAGCTGGAACTACAGGCACCAGCCACCATGACCAGTTAATTTTTTAAAAAAATATTTTTAGCAGAGACTAAAGCCAAGATGGTCTCAATCTCCAGACCTGGTGATTCGCCCGCCTCAGCCTCCCAAAGTGCTGGGATTATAGGCGTCAGCCACCACGGCTGGCTAGAACCTTCTTAATGATCCTGTCCCACCTTCAGATGTAGGTCTAAATCCTCCACATATTTCTTTTCCTCTTTTATCTTTTCCCGTTTCCAAAGTTCAATTAGTTTTACCAATGTCCCAAGGGCAATGACATTCCTTATCTTTTCCTTTGTAATTTAAGATTGTGTTACACAGGAGAGATGAGGAGGTAAATACAGGTATTTAAATGTAATATTCTGTGAATCTCTTCACAGACTGTAAAAAAAATGTATGTGGCACATATACACCATGGAATACCATGCAGTCATAAAAAAGGATGAGTTCATGTTTTTTTGCACGTACGTGGATAAAGCTGGAAGCCCTCATTCTCAGCAAACTAACACAAGAACAGAAAATCAAACACTGCATGTTCTCACTCACAAGTGGGAGTTGAAAAATGAGAACACATGGATACAGGAAGGGGAGTATCACACAACGGGGCCTGTCAGGGGGTGGGGGGCCAGGGGAGGGATAGCATTAGGATAAATACCTAATTTAGATGACAGGTTGACAGGTGCAGCAAACTACCATGGCACAGGCATACCTATGTAAAAAACCTGCACATTCTGCACATGTACCCCAGAACTTAAAGTATAATAACAAAAAAGCATGGTTTATGTCTTAATGTTGATTGATATTAACTTATCATAAAAGAAATTATATATATACACATTAGAAAAATTAGGCATAAAATTGAATTTATCTATTTCAAACTTCTTTTCTTACACGTTAAAATATTAAAAAATACATATATAATTCTCTTCTTCATGAAAGAAACTCATAGTTTCTCTCCTTCATTGCAATGCTGCCTGGATCTTATCCTGGTTATTTTTACGTTTCCTAACCATTACCTTCCTAAAATATTATTCAACATTCTTACTTCTAATACTAATTAATGGAGTTTGCCATTTATATAAATAAAACACTGTAATATAACATTTGTGTGTTTCAATTCTTTTTCTTAAACTTCTTTCTTAAACTTGGGATTCATTAATTTGTTGCATTTTGGTGTTATTCTCTTTGTTTTATAGAATTATTTTGTATGATGAGATCACAATTTATTTAGCAATTCTACTGTTGATGAATATTTATTTTGTCTCCAATTTGGAGCTACTATGAAAATTGATGCAAAGATCAACATTATGTTTATCTCAAAACGTACATAGGCAATCAGTAGAATATATTTTAGAATTAGAGTGTCTAGCCAATAAAGAATGCTCATAGTCAGTTTGCCAAAAAGTATTTCAGCTTACACCCCTCCAGCCATGAATAACTTACATTGATTCTTTTTTTTTTTTATACTTTAAGTATTAGGGTACATGACAACGTGCAGGTTTGTTACATGCCATGTTGGTGTGCTGCACCCATTAACTAGTCATTTAACATTAGGTATATCTCCTAATGGTATCCCTCCCCACTTCCCCACCCCACAACAGGCCCCGGTGTGTGATGTTCCCCTTCCTGTGTCCTTGTGTTCTCATTTTTCAATTTCCACCTATGAGTGAGAACATGCAGTGTTTGGTTTTTTTTCCTTGTGATAGTTTGTTGACAATGATGGTTTCCAGCTTCATCCATGTCCCTACAAAGGACATGAACTCATCATTTTTTATGGCTGCATAGTATTCCATGGTGTATATGTGCCACATTCTCTTAATCCAGTCTATCATTGTTGGACATTTGGGTGGGTTCCAAGTCTTTGCTATTGTGAATAGTGCTGCAATAAACATACGTGTGCGTGTGTCTTTATAACAGCATGATTTATAATCCTTTGGGTATATACTCAGTAATGGGATGGCTGGGTCAAGTGATATTTCTAGTTCTAGATCCCTGAGGAATTGCCACACTGACTTCCACAATGGTTGAACTAGTTTACAGTCTCACCAACAGTGTAAAAGTGTTCCTATTTCTCCACATTCTCTCCAGCATCTGTTGTTTCCTGACTTTTTAATGATCGCCATTCTAACTGGTGTGAGATGGTATCTCCTTGTGCTTTTGATTTGCGTTTCTCTGATGGCCAGTGATGATCAGCATTTTTTCATGTGTCTCTTGGCTGCATGAAAGTCTTCTTTTGAGAAGCGTCTGTTCATATCCTTTGCCCACATGTTGACGGGGTTGTTTATTATGTGTATTTAAATTTTGCTAATTTTTATGAAGGCCTGTAGTTCAACTTGTGGATTAATTTTTATAATTCTGAGGACTAATAAAAGTAACCCTTTTTTCATATTTGGCCAGTTATTTATGCCTCCAATTTTATGAAGTGCCTGTTCAAATATTTTACCCAATTTTATATCGGGTTCATTTTCTTTTATTTATGACATTCATTAATCACATGTATTGCATTTTGTTTCATATAAGTTGGGATAAATATTTTTCTCCACTCTTGGTTTCCATTTTAATTCTTGGATGGTATATTTTGAAACACAGAAGTCATTATTTTTGATATAAACTAACTAAATTTTCCTTCTTAATTGTTACTTTTTTGTCCAGGTTAAGAAATCTTTCTCTATGAGAATATTTTATTATGTTCCCTTCACCTTCACAACATGAATCCATGTGGAAATGAACTCTGTATGGTTTGAGATAGGGGTCAGTATTCAGTCATTTCCATTTGAATATTTAATTGATCCAGCATTGTCCTGATCACCTTGTAAATTTCACTTTAGAACAGCACTCTTAATAATGCATGAGCATTTGTGTATAAGATGAGATTTACAAAGATAAGCACAGCATAGGAGGTCAAATAAGATTACCTCAAGGTATGGATTCAGAAATAAAACACATGGATAAGTATAGTATTGTTAGATGAAGAGAAAGAAAATATTTCCAAGTTACCACTGACTCTTTTTACTCCAAGTTTTTTCATGAAGCACAAGATCTCTATTTTCTTCCATTGATTTTAACTTCATTTAGACACCTCTGTCATCTCTGATTTCACTTTGTGACATTCAGAAATAATGAAAAACCAGAGGATATATTCTATGCCATCCATCATGGGTAATGATTTTCCAAAAATGATTAAACAAAGAACCAATACACATGGTTTTAGTTTTTTCACCATATTTAATAGAAACCGTATTAATGAGTTGTGATGACATTAGAAGGCAACTAAACACATTAAATATAACTTATTTGTCCTCTTTGATGAGGCACAAAAAAGAGGACTTCCTGGGATAAAGGGGTTTACACAGCATGTGGACACATTACCAATTTGTCTCTGGTCAGAGGTGACTACAGCGAAAGATAGGCCTGAGAAGAGGTGAGAAGGAGCAATTATGGATGGTGTATATAAGGGAAATTTGATCAGCATCAACAATGCTCATGGTTCTACCTTCACAATCCAGGAATAATCCTCCTCGGCTGCTAGGCCTTGGAACATATAGCACCACATGTGGGGTGTGGTAAAGAGCCTGCAGTGAACGTCCTCCTTAACACATCCAAGAAGAAAGAGTCCCTCCTCTCCATCTATCTTGTCATTCTGTCTCTTCTCTTTCCAATAATTGTTACAGACACCAAAAGCCCAATTCCAAGAGTCCCCCACATGAACCTCCCAATAATATTTGCCAGATGTGAAAGTCTGAGCGCTCTACTCAGGAAAACATTCAGATGTTGCCATGATGCGGGGACCATCTTGAGGGTCACATCCAACATTCATGCTTCTTAAGTCTCCATACAGGAAGATATGACTATTGGCTCTTTCAGGATGCAGAGTAATATCAACTGCAAATTTTTTTAAAAAAAGTATGGACACATGTAAATAATAAAAGTTAAAATTCTTGAGGGAAAAATTGTTCTACCAAGTATCTACTTTACCAAGGAATTTGAAGTTACAAGAACAGGATAATTTTGATTATAACATTTAATAAAGGACAAGGAAGATTAATATTCTCTACAGGAAAAACAAAACCCTAAAAACAGACATTGAAAATTTGGAAACTCAAAAATTGAGAGTCAAATATAAGACCAGCCTGTTTTAATCCAATTTCCAATGTAAAAGTGAGATATTATATGCCCTGACTGTCCTTTAGCTATCAAGGTCATTATTATTAAAATATTTCTTGTTCTTAAATACTAGTGATATAACTTTGGCAAGAATGGGAAGAGTTTCACTTACTCAAGCACTACTCTAGATAACTGGATAAAAGTCCATATGTCCAAATTATAAGTGATAACTTAAGGCAGATTTCTGCAAAACCTCATTAGCTCTTTAGGTGCCAGAAAATCTATCTCTTTTGTTCATTTCTGCATTGGCTTAGAATGCTTATTAAGACACAGTAGGCACTTGATAATTTGCAGAAAAAAGTATTGTAAGTAATATCCTTAAAGATATCACCTTTAAAGAAACAGGATGACTTATAATATGAATAATTAAGCTGATGATATCTCTCTCTGTCTTTCACAAACAGCCATTTGATTTCTTTCTTAGTGCTTAGAAGTGTGTTTAATATCGTTCGTTTTTGGCTGGGAGCGGTGGCTCACACCTGTAATCCCAGCACTTTGGGAGGCCCAGGCAGGCGGATCACGAGGTCAGGAGATCGAGACCATTCTGGCTAAGGTGGTGAAACCCCGTCTCTACTAAAAAAAAATACAAAAAAATTAGCCGGGCGCGGTGGTGGGCGCCTGTACTCCCAGCTACTCGGGAGGCTGAGGCAGGAGAATGGCGTGAACCCAGGAGGCGGAGCTTGCAGTGAGCCCATATCGCGCCACCGCACTCCAGCCTCGGTGACAGAGTGAGACTCCGTCTCAAAAAAAATATATATTGTTTGTTTTTACTTTTCCGTCAGGAAATCTGTACTCCTTTCAGAATATATATGTACTTTCATTTCGTCACTTCTCTTAGCAGTATTCATTTTATGTTTGAATCAATAAATAATCAATACAGATTGTTCAGCCATGAATTTAGGCCCCATCTTCAACTACGCTATGCTACTTTTTCTGCTACATCTCTAAGCACTGCCTCTCTCATGATATATGTGTAAATCACATATGTGAACTATATAGAATTCCAGTAGTATGATGGATCTTGTATATAGTTTCCAACACCCCCTCCCCAGTTTATCTGCCTGAAATTCTCAGGAATTTCTCATTAATTTTTTTTGTAGTGTAGTTTAATTTTATTTAGAAAATGAAAGATAATATAATTTTAAAACTTTTGACTTACATATACTGTTGATCCTTGAATAACCCTGGTTAGAACTATGTGAGTCACTTATAATTGGAGTTTCTTCTGCTTCTGCCACCCCTGAGACAACAACCCCTCCTCTTTCTCCTCCTTCTCAGCTTACTCATCATGAAGATGATGAAGGTGAAAACCTTATAATGATCCAGTTCCACTAATTATATTTACTATTACATTAATGAATAGTAAATTTATTTTCTTTTGATTTTCTTGATAACATTTTCTTTCCTTTAGCTATCTTTATTGTAAAAATACAGTATAACATATAAAATATGCATTAATCAACGGCTAACATTATCAGTAAGGCTTCTAGTCAACAGTAGGCTATTGATAGCTAAGTTTTGAGGAAGTCAAACATTACATGTTGATTTCTGACTTCGTGGGATCTCGGCACCCCAATCACCATTTTGTTCAAGGGTCAACTCTAAGTTTATTAAATTTTTTTATATCATTCAAATAATCTGAGAATTTCTTTGTGAACACTCAAAGGCTTTATCTTTCTGTGAAACCCTGTGTTTATCTCATGCAATAATTATTGCATTCCATAGTGATAGTATGTTTTCTCATAGCTATTAATATTTTATATCATTCCCCAGGAAATGAAAAATATTTTAGCTGAATATGTTGATATTAGGAAGAAATCCTAATAAAAAGTTTGCTTCCATGTTGAAATGATTAGATGGAACCCTTTCACTATTGTTCTGCTGCTCACAGTAGCATAACAATTTATACCTTGGTAGTGCCCATTGCTCTAGTTGGTACACTGAAGCATATGCTCCCCATGCTTTTCTGATAATATTGTGAATTATATTAACCTTTTTTGAAAGTGATAGTTATGTATTGCTAAAGTGTCAAACAGCTGTCACAAAGTTCTATACTTTATCAAAGTATTTTCATTTCTTGAATTATTTCTTAAGAAAAAGTCTCAATTTTGGAAAAGAAAGACTGCTTTGAAAAAAACTTGAGTTCTAAAATGATAATGGCAAGTATTTCAAAATAACCTATTCCTAAGAGAAATTACTAAATAAGTTGATATTCACCAATTTGAACATTTTATAATAATTAGAATTGATCATTAGACGCCTTGCGCAGTGACTCACGCCTATAATCCCAGCACTTTGGGAGGGCGAGGTGGGCAGATCACCTGTGGTCAGGAGTTTGAAACTGGCCTGGCAAACATGGCGAAACCCCGTCTCTACTAAAAATACAAAAAATAAATAAATAAATAAACAAAAATAAAAAACTAGCCAGGCGCAGTGGCAGACACCTGTAATCCCAGCTACTCGGGAGTCTGAGGTAGGAGAATGGCTTGAGACCTGGAGGCAGAGGTTGACAGGAGCTAAGATCCTGCCACTGCACTCTAGCCTGAGCAACATAGCGAGATTCCATCTCAAAAAAAAAAATTGATTATTAGAAATACAATATAAGAAGATATTTATAACAAAATAAGAAGCAAGCAGAAAGGATGTAAAATTGCAAATATAACTTGATTAATTTTATTTAACAAATATAGGAAAACTTAAAGGGAGTTAATTAATTAGCATAATAATTGTGTTATCTTCAGGGAAATATTGGGAGAATTGTTTCCTTATTGTTTACAATTCTTTCCAATTTTTTTATGTGGGTAAAAAGTCAACAGTGAATATGAAAATTTAAGCAGATTTCAAACATGGCGTATTCCATGAAGCTGATTTTCTATCTTTAAAAGAAAAATGATGTTTTCTTTCCCTGACAAAATGCCTCATCGTTTGAATTATGGTTTGTTAAGGACACACAGCTTTTTCTTCCTTGAGTATTTCTATATTTGGTTCATTTTCTCCAAATGATAGTAAAGATTTAGTCTGTGTCTCTATATGATGTTTACAATTCCTGAAACATGTGAGCAGTGCGTTGCACATAATAATAGTAATTTCTCACTAAGTCAATTAAGCTGAATGTTGAATTTCTCAACCAAAACTTTGAAATCTAAGGAAGAGACATGTCTTCATCCTGCTTTTCTTGTGTGACTTCTTTCCCCTGTATCAAAGAATACAGGGTGTTAACACAGGATACAGAGAAAGAGAAGTGTGTGTTTGTGTGTGTGTGTGTGTGTGCATTTACCTATGTGTAGCCACATCAATTTTTGTATTTGTAAGAATGCCTTGTGAATTTGATTCAGAAACCCATAGCATTTTATTGAAATTATGTTTCATTTGATTGTCTTAACTGTTTATGGGATAACAGACATTCTGGGTTTCATTTATCATACACTATTACAAAATCTGAGTTCTTGATGTTAAATTCATAAATATTGAATACAGCTGAAATCCGGATTATAGAGGTTTTCCTATTATAGGTTATTCCTGTTTTCATTTTGTCAACAGGGTGCAGTTGAAAGAACAATATGGACCTCCCATTTCAGTGTGAATATAGGCAAGTTATTTAACTCCTGACCCTTTGTTATCTTATCTGTGAAATGGGGCTACTACGCTGCCCAACTTGCAGAATTGCTCTGAAGATTAAAAATCACGTATTGTATAAACATTCGAAAGAGTAATTGGCACATAGGAAGCGATCAGCCAGTTCTAAATGCTAACTGCTAGTAAAACTAAATTTTAAAAAAGTAAGAAATAAAGTAATGAATGTAATAATTAATACTTTCTTAATGTAACAATTGTTTCTCATTAATTACATTGTGACAGAATTGGTATATTGAATTCGGTGACTCATTGTTCGTCTGCTCAGAGTTTGTTGATACACTCTCAATTAGACGGAATCATTCTTACTGCAATAGCAATCCCATCACTCCATTTGGAATGTAAGTTCTGTGAAAGCAGGGAGTGTTTGATGCGTAGTGGGCATCCAGATATTGTAGAAAGACTGAAATAAACACCATGTTTTGGTTTCCTAATAGGTTTAGCTTTAAAAGTAAGAATATTGTTAGTTATCACTTGGCAAATATTTATAATTTGCCAGGCATCTTACTGAACATTAGTAGATTATCTTATTTTAATGTTGATGTTACTTCTGTGAGTAGATTACTAGGATACCTAAGTTGAAGAAAGTCTTGCCTATATTTGTATATCTGGGTTTATCAGTTAATTATTATTCCAATGTAAATAAAAATCACTACCATTTTTCCCATTGGCACATGCAGCTGTTTCTGTGCTTTCATAAGCCTCAGCAGAATAGTATTTTATAAGATTTAAAAATATGGTAGCTATGTATGTTATTGTTTTTAATTTGCATATTATAGAAATTTAAAATATGCATTTCATGCTTGAAGAACACTGATTTGAATTGCACGGGTCTACTTAAGAACAATTTTTTTTTTTTTTTAGTTTTTGAGATGGAGTTTCACTCTTGTTGCCCAGGCTGGAGTGCAATGGCGCAATCTCGGCTCACTGCAACCTCAGCCTCTCGGGTTCAAGCGATTCTCCTGCCTCAGCCTCCCGAGTAGCTGGGATTACAGGCATGCACCACCACGCCCGGCTAATTTTTTTGTATTTTTAATAGCGATGGGGTTTCTCCATGTTGGTCAGGCTGGTCAAACTCTCAACCTCAGGTGATCCGCCCGCCTCGGCCTCCCAAAATGCTGGGATTACAGGAGTGAGCCACCGCGCCCGGTCCACAGTTTTTAAAAAAATACATATAGTCAGCCCTTTCTATCTGTAGATTTCACATCAGCAAGCAAAGTTGGATAGAAAATACAGTATTCACTGTAATCCCAGGTACTTAGGAAGGTGAGAAAGGAGGATTGCTTGAGCCCAGGAGTCTGAGGCTTTAGTGAGGTATGATCACGCCACTGCACTCCAGCCTGGTGAAAGAGCAAGACTCTATCTCTTAAGAAAATAAAATAAAATACTGTATTGAAGGACAGAAATCCACACATATGGGGGGCCAACTTTTTATTTTTAATGATGGTAAGCTTTATTTTGCCAAAATTTTTTTTTTGTTTTCAAACTTATATTTTCAAATATTAGTATTGCATACAGAAAATGATTTTGTTAAAAATATTACAAAGTAGGAAGGACATAAACCCAGAAAAAAGGCTTTTAAGTGAGTAAATTTATTTCTATGGAACAAATCTCAACAATTATTTTTCCTTTACCTTTGATACGTTAGAACTTACCAAAGAATGATACTCATTACATGAGCTTGAATCTGAGAACCTCAGATGTAGCTAATAAAGAACCAATGAATAATGTAAAGTAAGAGAATTATGAATGTTTTTCTAAAAAACAAAACAAAATAAAACAAAACTGTTACATTCCATTTGGACTCTTAGCCATGTTTTTCAGAAATATTTTCTGTTTTATATTATTGCCTACTTCACTGTCTTAACAAGATGAAGACCAGGACATCAAAGGGCATTAAGCATGTGGTGGGAGTTATATTATGGGCAGTTAACCCAAGGGAGGTCAGATGTGGCTTCAGATTCCACATACACAGCTACCTTTCCTCACTGAGGCAGAGCAAGGTAATCCAGAAAGTCTTATCAGACTCTGAGAATGCTGTACTTACATTATTTGGAAAAATCACTTGAAAAGATGAAATATTAAATAATTTATACTAAAATCTAGATTATTATTCTGATAGGTCAATTTGATTTGTTTAGTGGTTTGCTCACTTTCAGCTTGTTAATTCCACAGAAGAGGAGGGCCTACTTTTCATATATACGTGTCTTTTCTGCAGGACTTAAGTATGCACCAATTCTGATATCTATCAGGGTCCTGGAACCAATTCCCAGAGAAGACTGATTAAGTTCAGTTTTGTTCTGAAATTTTTATTTTGTGTGTAGAAATAACATTTTCATGAAGTTATAACTATGTTCATTTATCATTCCAATATTATTAAGAATTATGAATGATCAACTGATGTTTCTGTAATGAGCACTTATTGGTACTTAGGGTTACCAGATAGACGTTTTTATAGATAGGAAAATAAAAAATGACTCCCACTTATAATATCACTTTTTCTTCCTTTTGTACGGTGGAAAAATATCATAGTTGATTTCTTGCAAGCCAATAGAAAATTTCAAAATATATGTAGTAAATGATAAATATAATATTTTCTCATACAGTATAATATAGTTTTTGCATAGCTTTATTTTCAGTATCTTTTTGTTTCTTATTTTAAAAGAATATGTGTTTATTTTAGAAAATGTTAAGATCAAGAAAGCAACAACTGAAAATAAATATCTCCCTAATTCCATCAGAAAAATATAAAATCATGGTTATAGTCTTAGGTGTATAATTCTAGTCCCTTTCCTATTTTAAATATATTTTTGTTTATGTATACACAAAACCAAGTAAATCTCTCTATATATAATTTATATAATAAACATATATTTATTTATTCTTTTTCTCATGTTTTATATGTAGAGGTTTTTTTCTCTCCTAAATCTTGACTATTGCAATTTTTTTCTGCCAAACATGGACTATCCCCAGGTTGATCTTATATGTACTGCAGACGGAGTTAGGTCATTGGACAGCCAGAAATGGCTCTATCTTTCTGTCCAGGGATTATCAAAGCGTCAGGTTTGGGAGTAAGAGCATGTTTTAAACAGTTTGATTGGTTGACCAATGGCAGCATATTTTTAACTTACCCATCGCCCTCGCTTATGTTGTTGTTCTTAAGAGACAGCTTCTCACACTGTCTCCCACGCTGGAGTTCAGTGGTGCAATCTTAGCTCACTGCAGCCTCAAACTCCTGGGCTTGATCAATCTTTCCACCTCAGCCTCCAAAATCACTGGGACTACAGTCACATGCCACAATGCCCAACTAATATTTGTACTTTGATTTGTAGAGACAGAGTGTCCCTATGTTGCCCAGGATGGTCTACAACTCCAGGCCTCAAGCAATCCTCCTACCTCAGCTTCCCAAATTTATGGGATTACAGGCATGAGCCACCACTCCTGGCCTTATTTATCTCTTTACTTCCGTGTTTGTCCTTCTTTCCTAGGTCCTAGACAGATTTGTCTCAGCCTGTTCTATAAAACATTCTTCTGCCGTGGTCATGTGAAACATTACAAAATTGTTTTTGATGATTCTTCATGTTTTATGTTACATATTCTAACATGGTAGTGTGACTTTTTTAAAAAGGACAAAAAATTACAATAGAAGGTTGGCTAATCACAAACAAGACTTTGATGATCACAGTTGTGCTATAATTTATTGTAATGTATTAAAAAATCAACACTTACTTGTAATGTGCCTTGAGACAAATCATTTAGTCACTTGATTTCTCAGACCTCAGTTTCCTCCTCTGTGAAATACTAATATCAACTGTGCGTAGTTTATTTTAAAGAATTAGAAAAATTGTAAGTAAATACTTTAATACTGAGCATGATTGCTGTGGTTACTATACCGTTGTTACTATTGTAGCACTGAACCACTTACCACTTTAAGTTTTTTTGTTTGTTTGATGTTTGGTTGTTTTTGTTTGTTTGTTTTGTTTTCTTTTGTTTTGTTTTTGAGACAGAGTCTTCTTGCTCTGGAGCCCAGGCTGAAGTGCAGTGGCATGATCTTGGCTCACTGCAACCTCCGCCTGCCAGGTTCAAGCAATTCTCCTGCTTTAGCCTCCTGAGTAGCTGGGATTCCAGGAACATGCCACCGTGCCCGGCTAATTTTTTGTATTTTTAGTAGAGGCTGGGTTTCACCATGCTGTCCAGGCTAGTCCTGAACTCTTGACCTCATGATCCACCCGCCTCAACCTCCCAAACTGCTGGGCTTACAGGCTTGAGCCAACGCACCTGGCCAGAGGAGTCTTTAGAGATGATTGAATGTGGAGGTTCAGTTGACAAGTGGCTTGTTCTAATTGTTAAATTAGAAATATTCAATGTTAGAATTGCTGAGTGCTCTTATGTTTCTCCTCTATATCATTTGGGCAACTAGTAAACAGCCTACTGTTTTATCAACAGGCATGTCATCTATGCTTCGAGCAGCCACAGCAAGTATTCAGGGGAGTCATTTCCAGGAATTTCTAATGCTCTGTTTGAAATTAAAAGCAAGGTGGACCCTTGCAAGGCTAGGGGAGAAGTGAAGAGAAAGATTTCTGTTGCTGCCTTCACAGTGCAGGCAGCTTCAGAGGCTTTGAACCAAGTAGCCTATGAGGATTCTTTAGAGAACCTATATTGAATTGTGTGATATAACACTCAGAAAGAATCATGATGGGTATATTGATGAATTTTTAAATTAGTATATTAGAAATGAAGCTACATATTATATAAAGTTATGTGAGTGTTCATATATATGTTTGTGTATATGTTTTATTTTCTTGTCATGGATTAAAAATAAAACATTAAAATTTATAATTATACAAGGTTATTCTGAAGTGGAAGAATCAAACTCAGTATTAAATCCAAGGGGAATAGACAAATATTGTGAAACTCTCATCTGGCATTATCAGAGAATCAAGTCTAATGTGTTCATGACGCTTCACACATGGGAAAACATCAGTTTGTCATAGAGCACACTGCGGAATATGCACAACTGCTCCAAGCCAGAGGTCTCACGCCCTGCCTGGCCTCCCAAGGCTGAGAGGATCACTATCTCAGCACAGTAGTTGGGACACCGATTAAACTACACTTTTAGTAAATGTGATCACTCTATAGCATAAGAAATCATTATTTTTTATCAAAAATATCTTATTTATATAAAAGACTATAATGTAACACACGAGTATAGAGAAAAATTGTCATGAAATGAATATCTGTGAACCTACTAACCTTATTAAGAAAATAACATTTCCAATATCTTTTGGTTCTCCATGCACTAATGACAGTTGTGCTCATTCACTTTCTTGAATTTTGTGTTTATCTTTATTTGCTCTGTTATTCATTATAATTTTATCACACGTGGCTATATTATTTACATGTCTTACGTTTTGGCTTTAGGTAGTTTTGAACTTTTTATAAGTAAAATCATACCATGTATATTTTTATGGTACTTGATTTTTTTTCCACCGGTCTTTAAGGGTTTAGATAGTTAGATAAGTAGATAGATAGATAGATAGAGAGCATTTATTCAAATGAAAGTAAGATTCAGGGTCCATCAAGACAGAGAAAACATATAATAATGTGAATAGGGAAAGTTAATATAAAGAATGATTATTTATAACAGCATTTGAGCAATGAAATATTGTCTAGTAGAATCTAAGAAGTCTAAATAATACGTGATGAGCACATATAAGGAATTGCCATTGTTTCCAGGGTGAAGTTGAAGTTCCAATGAAGAGTCCCCTCACCCCTTGGCCTCACTGAATGTTAAGAAGTCGCTGTGCTTCCTAGAAATCTAGCCATTTTTATTAAATCAGTCTGGGAAGGCAGGTTGAAGAAAGACGTTTGCTTGCATTTTGTTTCTGTGAATTTAAGTGGCAGAAGATGGAATAGTACAATAAGATAAGGATCAGGAAATGGATCAGGACAAACAACTCAATTAGATAACAGTCCTTTTTAGCACCATAATCCATGTGACATTTCCTCAGTTCTCCCAAATATTTAGAGTCATTAAATATTTGTACAGTTTCCCATTCCCATTCCCACCTTTTTCCCTATCAGTTGTGAACACTCAAATAGAGTACTCTTTCTAAAAATTAGTTAAGAAACATAATTAACAGAAATGACTACATGGTACATACAGCAAACATTAAACTAACAGCCTGGAATACATATCTAAATGTCTTGGGTGATTTGAGCTACAAAACTTGTTGCCATTACCTGCAACCATGTTGTTTTATTAAGTTCTCTGAATGGGCCTACAAAGTCTCGGCGTACTAGAGAGTAGCTCTTAAATTTCCCAGGATTCCACTGCACACAGTGGAGGTCATGGTCAGCTATGCTTGGGATGAGCCATTAATGGCTACATAGCCTTTCCATTAACCCAGTCTCTGCCCCCAGTTTACTTGGGCCATGAACTTTCATGCCTCAAATTTCAATAATGAATTTTATAACATATAACTCCCTCACGACACTCCAAAGGAGGGAATTGTGTCATTTTTGTTGATGGTTGCCATTTGTTTGCTTACTTTTATCACTTTTTTTAAACATGAGGTCCACTCCCTGAGCTGAGAATAAATGGAAAGCTTACACAGGAATTGAAGAATTTGAAAACGTGGATAATTTGCTCCTTGACCTCTAGACAATTTACTTAACCTCTTTAAATGTCAACTGCTTTCTTGCAAAATGGGAGGTAAACTTGATAATCCCTAAAATTTAAAAATGTATAACATTATACAGAGAGGACAGTGGTAAACTCAGGACTGCTGCCCTTTCTATATGATGTAATATTACATAAGACAAACCTATAACGCGTCTAATGGACCACTGTTTACAGTTTGACACACCAATGCATTACCAATATTTCCTTTTAACTACATCTCATAAATTAATATGAAAAACCCTTATAGTCCTATTCCACGTAAGGTGAAGGAAAACTAGAAGCATGAAAAATGAATATTAATTTAATTAAACTTTTCTATAATGGCTCACTGTCTGTTCCAGACTCTGAAAACTCCCAGGTACCAGAAATCTGGAAAAAAAATAGAGCCAGCAAATAGGACCAAGAAGGACTCAGCTTTCATAATAAAATACTCAACATCCTTGCTGTTTTTAATAATGTGGAAAGTTGACAATGGTGGTGGTATTGCTGGTGGGTTTGTGTGTACCTGCATGTGGTGTATATAATTATATACATATAATTACTTTTAGAGCTCTTGCATCTTGAAAAACGCCCATCTGTTTGGTAACATTTTATGTTGTGGCACTTTCCTCACATTTGAAAATGGGAATTGTGATACAAAGACATGTATTTTTTTTTCCACACTAAGATTCAGAATGTTCTGGCACAGATATTTCTCATTCATGTTAGCTATCTACATTCATTAGCTGTTTAGATACCATCAATAGAATTCTTTAAAAAAAAAAAAAAAAGAAGTCGCTGTGCTGTTGTGCTTGAAAAACTTGCTTTAAATCCACACTTCAGAGCTCCCCAGAAACTTGCCTTCTGGGCCACTTGTAAAGCTGTTTATGAAGAAATGTCATGCTAGACGGGCTCCACTGCAAATATGGCAAAGGACAGTATCAGGAGGAGCTCACGGCTGCTGAGTTCTCCTGGCCACCATGAACTTCAGGAAGTGCGTGCTATAGCAGCAGCCTGAATTACAGAATCTGGTCATCGGTGTATCCCTGTATGCCCTCCGGGCCAGACACTGGAGGTGTCATTTCCAAAGCAGATTGGAAGCGCTTTTTTGGAATTTCTCTCCAGTGCTTTCTACTCACAAAAATTGACATCTTAACACGTGGCAAAGAAAAAATATTTAAAGGGTCCAGATCTATTTATGTAAACAACCAAGAGTGAGTTTGTAGTGGATAACCCAAAGTTGGATAAACGTTGCATAATAAAATATATATTTATTCATTTTCTGCTGTTGTACATTTGGAATGATTTTTGTATTTTGATTTTGTGAACACGTCTCCTAATGCAAATGTTCAATAGATTCTCTTTCCTGACAGTATCTTCTGATAGCTGGAATGTCTGGGTTATAAAATTTGTTGATCGTCAATTCTACTGGCAATGCCACAGTGTTTCAAAGTAATTTTACGTATTTATATTTCCACTGACAAGGTAATCATGTTATACAAAATAATAGAAATATGGATGATTATGGCAAGTTAAAGAACTACAAAGAACTCACCCTTACTAGAATCCAAGGCATTTGTGGGAAGAACGATTCATACATTGAGCACCAAATACATGAAGTACATTTTGGAAGACATCGAGACGAGTGTAACTACTTGTAGCTTATCAAAATCCCATAATAAGGTTAAGCAGCTAGGAATGTAGGCATATTTGCATTTCAGAAACATTCTGGCCTAGATAGAATACAAGGACATCAACCCAGCAAAAGAACAGAACTAACAGTTTTTTTTGTGTGTGAGACAGGGTCTCGCTCTGTCATCCAGGCCAGAGTCAGTGGCACAATCCCGGCTCAATGCAACCTCTGCCTCCTGGGCTCAGGCAATTGTCCAGCCTAAGACTCCCAAGTAGCTGAGATTACCGGCGTGCACCATTGTGCCTGTCTAATTTTTATATTTTTGTGGAGATGGAGTTTCACCATGTTGCCTAGGCTGGTCTTGAACTTCTCCGCCTGACCAGTCAAGCCACCTAGGCCTCCCAAAGTGCTGGGATTACAGGCATGAGCCACCATACCAGGTCCCAAAATCTTTTCTCATGACAACTGCTGTCACATAGACTTTACTATCAGAAAAGAAAAGACTACCTTCATCCTTTGGATTTCAGCTTAGGTGTCATTTCTTTTATGAAGACTTTTAGGATGACTGTCCTTTCGTTTGTATGAACTACTAGACCATGAGCTCTTTATGGACTTAGTCTTGTTTTTTTTTTTTTTTTACACTTTTTAAAAATTTTACTTAAATTTTCGGGATACACGTGCAGAACCTGCAGGTTTGTTACAATTTTGGCTCCAATCTCTACCAGTAAGGAGAGTCCATAGTAGACACTCATTTTGTGAGTAATCAGAGTAGCGCACATATGAGACCCTCTGAGACATTCTGTGTTTTGAAAAGAAGAGCTGCACTTCACACTAGGATTTCCACAATGCCTTAGTTATGGGGTGTGGCTGAGCATGCTCACAGGCTTTTTGTCATGTCATTAAGAGAGTTGGACAGTATGGTAGATGTAGGACAGTGTGCATATTATTATTCAAAAAAAAGGACCAAAACCTGCACAATACTTGAAAGCTTTTTCAACTTTCTGATCTATTCTGCCAGCATGCGAGAAGCATCCCCCCAAAATATTGTATGTAATTTGGTGCCTTAGGAACATACTTTGGCAACATATTTAATGTAACTGAAAGGAAAGCAGTTTTCAGAGACAGATGGCCTGGTTCCAAACCCTAGTTCTCCTACTTAATTAGAGTATGCCTATGGGCAACTTATTAAAGTTTCCTATTCTTACGTTTCTTGATCTTCAAATGAGTATAAAATATTATTTATCTCATGGGGTCGCTGTAAGGATTAAGTAAGCTGGAACATGTGAAGCACTTAGAACAGTTTTTAGCATAGAATTGGTAATCAATAAATGTCTGATTTTTCACTTGAATGACAGAGTATTTTTATATATATACATTTTTATTACACTTTAGGTTCTAGGGTACATGTGCACAATGTGCAGGCTTGTTACATATGTATACATGTGCCATGTTGGTGTGCTGCACCCATTAACTCGTCATTTACATTAGGTATATCTCCTAATGCTATCCCTCCCCACTCCTCCCACCCCACAACAGGCCCCGGTGTGTAATGTTCCCCATTCCTGTGTCCAAGTGTTCTCATTGTCAAAATGACAGAGTATTTTTTGGTTAGGTAAGGAAATATTGCTTTTTCTCTCTTACCTATCCTGCATGATAACACAGTTGTAGTAAAATAGATAATAACTTTTTCAGCTTCTAGCACTAAAATTTGCAACTATTTTTTATTCTTTTATATGCATCTCGTAAGTTGCTTATTGTTTATTTCTGTCTAATACAGGGCAGTCTACAAAATGTAGAATTGAATTTTGACTGATAAGTGACAATACTAGAAAGTCTTTCTTCTCTACACTTAGGTAGAAAATATGCAACATTTTAAGAAGTGTTTGAAGCAGTTTTCAAAGAACATTTCTGGAAAAGTCTGCATATATGTATCTATGATTATCTTTTCTTAACTTTATTGGATATATTTTTTGAAGCATAATGCTGATCAAATGACACTTCAGAAAACATACTAATTTGCAATGCCATGGACTGATTAAAAAGGCAGCCACTTCATCTTTTTCTGGGATGTGCTGTCTTTTATAATTTTTTAAATGTCTATTAATATGTAAATGGTGACTTTTATATAGATCTTTACTTTTTCAACTTCTAGCAAGGTTTGTTAATTTTAAGTTTATAGAAATGACCTAAATCGCCAAACATTAGATAATTTATGAATACAACTATGTGTAAACATTGGTGATTTATTAAATCATGGTAAATGACAACAAAATCTGTTAGTATGGCAACTGTGTTAAAAATAACTTTCATGCACTATTAAAGATAATTATGCACATAATTATTGTGTAAATAGCAGCCAGGTGCCATGGCTCATGCCTGCAATCCCAGTACTTTGGAAGGCCGAGATAGGCGGATCACCTGAGGTCAGGAGTTCGAGACCAGCCTGGCCAACTTGGTGAAACCTTATCTCTACTAAAAATACCAAAATTAGCTGGCCACAGTGGCAGACACCTGTAATCCCAGCTACTCGGGAGGCTGAGGCAGGAGAATCACTTGAACCTGGGAGGCAGAGGTTGCAGTGAGCCAAGATCATGCCATTGCACTCCAACCTGGGTGACAGAGCGAGACTGCATCTCAAAAAAAAGTAATAATACTAATTATTATTGTGTAAATAATTATTATATAATTTTAAAAATATGAATACATAACATTGTTATAGACAGTTATGTACATATATGTAAAGTATCAGTTTTAAAATTATTCAAAAAGGTGGATGAATAAAAACAGATTTTATTTTCATATAAAACAATCATTAGGAAATAGTCATAAAATAGTAAAAATAAGAAAAACAGGCTGATACAACTAATTCTATCAACCATTATATATACAATTATGTGAAACACAATTGAGTTCCTTGCTATACTTTTTTAAACAAGAGAGTTACACAGCACAGATGTGTTGGTAATCCCAGTTAATGTGTTATCTTTGAACATATTCAGATAAATAACGGCTAGGCACTTAAGCAATTATAATTTTAAAACAGAGTGAGAAACAAAATTTTAAAGTTAGCATGTGGCCCGGGGTGCAGTGGCTCACACTTGTAATCCCAGCACTTTGGGAGGCCAAGGTGGGCAGATCACCTGAAGTCAGAAGTTCGAGACCAGCCTGAGCAACATGGTGAAACCCCATCTCTACTAAAAATACAAAACTTAGCTGGGCTTAGTGGCGGGCGCCTGTAATCCCAACTACTTGGGGGGCTGAGGCAGGAGAATCGCTTGAACTTGAGAGGCAGAGGTTGCAGTGAGCTGAGACTGAGCCATTGCACTACAGCCTGGGCGACAGAGGGAGATACCGTCTCAAAAGAAATAAAAAAAAGTTAGCAAGTGATAATATTTAATGAAATAATTGTTATACTTAAACTATTTCTTTTTTTTTTTTTTTTGAGACAGAGTCTCGCTCTGTCTCCCAGGCTGGAGTGCAGTGGCGCTGTCTCAGCTCACTGTAACCTCTGCCTTCCAGGTTCAAGTGATTCTCATGCCTCAGCCTCCGAAGTAGCTGGGACTACAAGTGCCTGCCACCGAGCTCGGCTAATTTTTTTGTATTTTTAGTACAGACCGAGTTACACTATCTTGGCCAGGCTGGTCTTGAACTCCTGACCTCGTGATCCACCCACCTGGGCCTCCCACAGCACTGGGATTACAGGCTTGAGCCACCACGCCAGGCTAATTAAAATATTTCTTTGAATAACCTGTGTTAAGTCAACTTTCTTGCATCTCATTCCAAACTTGTCTGTTGAGCTTTGAGCCCTCAGGTGTGGTTTTCAATACTTTATAAACCTAATCAGCCAATTTACCCCTTTCCATGCAATCTAATCAATCTCAGGAAGTGAGTGTGGTCTTTCGTGGGCCCATACCCTTTAAAGGGATGCTTGTCCAGAGATTTCTGTCTCCTTCAGTGAGGACCCACTGGAATCGTGGCTGCTGGGCTTTGGAGCACCAGGAGTTACTTCTAATCTGGATATCTACAGAGCTTCTAGACTGAGACCATTCACAATAGCCTTGTGAGTATAAAATTTGCAGTAAACCCATCATGCTCACCTTTTCTCTTCAAAACACTTTAAATTTACCTGGCAGCATGCTTGGGTCTTTTCTAAGCAAACAAGTAACTGTCTTAGTGATTTTACAGAAAATCAATATAAAGTATGTTCAATTTGTAACATAGGGTTTGTGTTCCCTTGCTATTTGATTGTTTTTATGTGACTATATTCTGTATTATTAGATTTTTTAGATGTGAAAAGATATATTTCCATAGTTTCGTGAAATGATAGAACCCATAAAATACCTAAAATGTACACTAGAATGTGGGCCTGTAGTAATGGTTATAATGTACACCAAAGTAAATGTTAAAAATGTTGAATTACTTTGAAAATTCTTGTTGCAAACGTCTATTTGCTATCTCTTCAAAATTTGCAGTTTGTAGACTAGATTTGAAAGCTGTTGAAAATAGATTTAATCGGCTGGGCACAATGGCTCATGTTTGCAGCCTAGCACTTTGAGAGACCGAGGCAGGCAGATCGCTTGAGGTCTAGAGTTAGAAACCAGCCTGGCCAACATGGTGAAACCCCGTCTCTACTAAAAATACAAAAAAAATTATCCTGGCGTGGTGGCGGGTGCCTGTAATACCAACTATTCGGGAGGTTGCGGCAGGAGAATTGCTTGAACCTGGGAGGCTGAGGTTGCAGTAAGTTGAGATCACGCCACTGCACTCCAGCTTGGGTGACAGAGCGAGACCGCGTCTCAACAACAGAAAAAAAAATTAAAAATAATAGAACTTATTTACGTTTAATGTATTGAACAGAAGAGTTTGATATTAAAGTTAAAGGGACAAATTTAATGATTGATAATTTTAGGAGTTGACAGTCCACTCTGATTAATCAATCTTAGATAAAACCTACTTCATTTATAATTGTCTGAGCAAACTTTATAGGTGAGTTTGGAGGCAGGGAGTATAGAATAATAGCATAGATACTAAGTGTCTTTCATATATTATCATCATGGAATCATCAAAAGAGATAGAATGACAGAGACAGGACGAGATTCAGAATGTGCTTCTTCGTTAATCAGCTTATGTAAGTGACTCAGAAATCATCCCAGCTTTTACCCTCTGCCTAGGCTTTAAGCTTGTCTAAGTAACTGGGAATGATTGAGAGCATGACTTGTTTAACAAAATGTTTAATAAAATACCATGAGGTATTTTATTCTCATCTCATTTTCTTATTTGAATCACAGTTGGTTGTTCATATCCATAAATTTCATACCCATGGATTCAACTAATCTCAGATAAAAAATATTTACAGGAAGAAAAAAGCAGCTGTACTGAACATGTACTTTTGACAGAGTCTCACTCTATTACCCATGCTGGAGTGCAGTGGCGTGAGCTCGGCTCACTGCAACCTCTGCCTCCTGGGTTCAAGTGATTCTCCTGCTTCAGTCTCCCAGATAGCTGGGACTACAGGCACGTGCCACCATGCCTGGCTAATTTTTTTTTTAATTTTTAGTAGAAACAGGGTTTCACCGTGTTATTCAGGATGGTCTCGATCTCCTGACCTTGTGATCCGTCCGCCTTGGCCTCCCAAAGTGCTGGGATTACAGGCGTGAGTGACCGCGCCCTGCCAATCATGTACATATTTTTAACAAGCTTCTTGCTGTTCCTAAACAGTATGGCATTACAAGTATTTATACAGCATTTACATTGTATTAGGCATTCAAAGTAATCAAGACATAAAGTATTCAGGAGGATAGTTTTAGATTACATGCAAATCCCATACCATTTACTAATAAGAGACTTGAACATCTTAGAAGCTCAGTATCTAAGGGAGTCCTGGACCCAATCTTCAATGGCTATTGAGGGAAAACTTTATAAATCCAGCATGTTTGCATTTACTATGTCTCAGTTTGTACTGGAGCTAACTTATTAGACATATTGGACATAGCTCAAGTAGACAAGGAAAATTGTCCACCGGCTTTTTTTTCCTTTTCATTGGGGCAAATAAAAATAAGAGAAAGAAATTCTCACTTTTTTTTTTAAATTTTCTGAAACATGGATTCAGACACCCCGCAAGCCTTCCAGAATGAGCTCATGTGCTCTATTTGCATGAACTACTTCATAGACCCGGTCACCATTGACTGGACACAGCTTTTGCTGGCCCTGCCTCCGCCTCTGCTGGGAAGAAGGCAGAGCACCAATGCACTGCCCTGAGTGCAGAGAAATCTCAGAGAAGCCCGACTTCAACACCAATGTGGCACTCAAAAAGCTGGCTTTCCTAGCCAGACAGACCAGACCTCAGAATATCAACAGCTCAGACAATATCTGTGTGCTCCACGAGGAGACTAAGGAGCTCTTCTGTGAGGCTGATAAGAGATTGCTCTGTGGGCCCTGCTCTAAGTCACCAGAGCACATGGCTCACAGCCACAGCCCAATAGGATGGGCTGCTCAGGAATGCAGGGTACATGATGCCTCTAAGGCAGTTTGAATTGTGTAGAATCCCAAATAAGAATGATGAGGGCCTGTGATAATGATGGTGATGAGAATGCAGATGGTGGAAGTGGTGATTATTCCATGTCAATCATAACACATAAATGTGTCCTTTCAATGTTGCTGACTAATTTGACATTCTAATCATAGCTGTGTTGAGACTTCACTAAAGGAGGTTTGCACCAAGAACACTTTTCAAAGTCTGGTTATATAAAAGCCAGTTTCTCAGAAAATTGATGATATTATCTGAAGGGTCCCTTAAAACTCTCTATGTTTCTATCACTTTTCACATCCAAATTATTAGAACCAAATTTGTTTAACATGGAAAAATCTGACCACTCCACTCTAACTTAAATTTATGTTTCTTTCAATAACAGCCTTTTTTATTGATAAGGGGATGAAATCTACTATACTGTCTTCATTATTGCTAAGCTTCTTGCCTCTTTTGCAGGAGAAACTTATAAAGGAAATGGACTATTTATGGAAAATCAATCAAGAGACACAAAACAATCTAAATCAGGAAACTAGCAAATTTCATTCATTAGTGGTAAGAATGAAAATGTTTCCTTTGTTTTTATGCCAATAAACACAATGTTGGCTTACACTTTTTGGCTAAATTCAAACTACCAGTTAAAAGATAGTGATTTCATCCCAAGAAAATGTAGTGATTTCAATTGATATAATAGGAATTGCAAACAGAGAAGTCCACACAAGCTAGCCAAATTAATTCTAGTATATTGGATAAACGGCATGATATGTATTCTAGTTCAAATTTGAAGGTTGGTATAAACCTTATCAGACACTGCAGGTGAGACAACATTTCACTAAGATTGAGTGTGAGGAAGATGAAAGAAATAGAATAGTATATAGAGTAAAAATATAGTAAAAGTAAAAAACAACTGCATAATATGGTGTATGGCTAAATGTTTTTTAACATTTAGGCAAATCAGACATGAAAAATCCTAAAACAGAGATTAATAGAGGAAATAATTGACTCAATAAGAACTGTGAAGAAGCATCACAGTGAGAGAAACTAGAAGTCTTTATACAGGTTTTGATTTAAAAAGGGAGAGAGAATAGGAGCATTGAAAAAATAGGAAAAAATAGAAAAATATAGCAAATATTCAAGACTCTTTGAAAGAGTGAGGCACAAAGTTTATAAATTGCTTGATTACACCCAGCATATAATTATTTGAAGTTTTCTGTTGAGAGTGAGAACATGTAATCCTTTTAACCAAATGTCTCTGCAGGACTATGTGTCATTAAGGAAGGTGATAATCAATATTCAATATCAAAAGATGCGTCTATTTTTCGATAAGTAGGAGCAACTGCATCTGCAGGAACTGGAAAGAGAAGCAAAAGAGCTTTTCCAACAACTACAAGACAGTCAAGTGAGAATGACCCAACATTTAGAAAGGATGAAAGACATGTACAGAGAGCTGTGGGAGACGTGCCACATGCCTGACGTGGAGCTGCTCCAGGTGAGGAGGGAGGGTCCATCCCCAAAGAAAGGAAGCCTTTGCTGGACAATGCTGCCAGGACATGCAAATGTCACCTTCATATGTCACTGCTCTAAGCTAAGTGACACATGCTGTCTGACTTCCACCATTGCATTTGTCCAGTCACTTATTACTGCATACCTTGGTAGTCTCTGGGAAATTTTTGCCATTTTAGTAGATAACATATAACAAAGTTCTCTTCAATATAATTTGGAGTACTATCCACACAGAGAGATCATCTAAAATCATTAGAACTCTAGGCAAGGGGAAGGTTAGTAATACTCCATGTATATGCCCTAGTTCCTCTTCACTCTCTGATGTCCCATACAACAGTGATTTGCTGAAGACATTGAGAGTCTTCCCTGGCCTGGGCAAGGTTTGTAAAAGCTGCTCATCAATGTCCATGTACTCTGTTTCTCATATGGTTCTCTGCTTTGTTTTAATAGTTGTCATGTGTGGTCAGAACTTTCTTTGGAAATAAGATTAGGAAATTAATGACACTGGAAACCTAGATATCTTTGCTTTACTCCACCGTCTCTTGCTGAGCTCCTTTCTTCTTATGAAAACGATGAAGCTTTTCATTGTTAAGTTGAGGTTCTGTTATTAACATAGACATGAATGATTCCTTAGACGGGAATAAAAAGATATACATTATTAAAACACTAAAACAGAAAGAAACAAGAGTGTGAGAAAAGATGCAGAAGGAAAAGTCTCATAATTAAGAGTATCTTTTTTTTTTGCAGGATGTGGGAAATGTATCAGCAAGGTGAGTTTACATTAAAAAATGCTATTTCTGAAAAGTTTGTTCTCTTGCGAATGAAGGGGATGTACACATGTTGAGGTACTAACATCATTCTCAGTGGCTATTTCTGATTTTGTTTCAAAAGAGGGCCTGAGGTCTTCTTTTCTCTGGTCTGGAAAGTTTTCATCTTAAAATTTGTATGAATTCAAATATACGTAAAAACAATTTGCCATTCTGAAGTTTGTTCTCCCAATCCATCCATCCTGTCCAGCCCTACCCCACAGATCTTAATACAAAATTACTCTGAGGAATCATAGAGGTGTCTTCTACTCTAGAGGGGTGGGAGGTTAAAAAAAAAAAAGACAGAGGGAGGACAGAGATTCCCTAAGGATAGGCTGAGGAGGGAGGTTTTGTTCCTAAAAGCATCAATGACCCGGGCCTGCTCCATCACCATACACCCAGTACTAGGAAAGACCTCAGGAAAATGGTTGCCTCAGGACCCTCAGCAGCAGGGTTCTCAGGCTGGAATTAGACTCCTTTGTTTTGCACAAAAGATTAAAGCCTTTTGTCTCAGTGAACATTCTCTGTTAGACACTGACTAGCATTAGTGGCAACGGCCGGCTGAGGTCCCAAAGGTTTTTATCTGAGTTTTCTGCTCTCTGAAATATTTCCAGAATTTCTGCATACCCTCAGGGAGTGTGATGGGCAGAGGCAGCCCATGACTTTTAATGACTTCAGAAGTTGTATAATGTCTGAGAATAACATATCTGGACACACTGATTTTTACGCCAGTAAAATTTAGAAAAAGTAACATCCTTATGGCCCCTAGAGTGTGGAATAAAATGTACACCCAGTTAACCAAAACTGGCAGAATTCTGAGGAAACATCTTCTATGAAAATATGATATCTTTGTATGACTGTGTGACTAGCTCTGGGCCTGGAAATATCACTGAGGCCATTTTTTGCAGGAGTGATTTGGCACAGATGCAAAAGCCCCAGCCAGTGAACCCAGAGCTCATTTCATGGTGCATAACTGGAGTCCTAGACATGCTCAACAACTTCAGAGGTAAGAGCCAGCTGCTTGGCAGTCCAGCCTCCAATTATTTCCTTATTGGGTCCCTTGGCTCAGGATTTTCCCATTTAAGTTTTATTGTTTTTGACATGTAGGTAACCCATACTTTTCCAAAATATGTGCATCTTCTCTACCTGCGTAGTAATATTACAATGATCAAAACTCAATTTCCTGACTTACAGCTTGATGAAAATGTAAAGCAAGATACATAGTTTATCTGCAGAATAAGAAGACAAAGAATATTCATATCATGTAGTTATGAAGACACTAGTTCTCCTGGTGGCATCAGTATTTCGTGTTTATTCAATTTAATTCAATTTTGAAGGTTTAGATTTGGCATAATGGTTTTTAATTGTTTCTATACTATGTGCATTTACATGCATTCTACAAGTAATCTTTATTATTTACAAAATCAGAACATTTTGATCAACAAATAAAATGACTAAAATATCCATAATCAGGACAATTCTAATGCCATCAGATACATATCGTAACAACTGAAAGGTGAGGGATCTGTGAACATGGCTTAACCATGTTAGGCCCATTCTAGAGAGCAGGTCTAGGTAGCAGAGGGCAGGAACCCAGAGTAGATTGAATCAGGGACTAAACAGATAATGTAAAGCCAGAGTATTTTTTTCAGAAACTTAAAAACTTTACGTGTGTTAATTTCTACCAAATTTTTGATGTTTGTGTCCATAACAGGCATAACATACATTCCAATACTCATATCATAGCAAATTGATGTCTACCTGTTGATGATCTTAAAGACAAATAACACAAGAAGAGTTTTCTATTGAAGAAAAAAAACCATTTTAGATATGTCCTGAAACAAACTATGCAGATGTAGACATTAAGGAATAATATATAATTGTTTGTGCTGTAGAGTTGTAATAACATTTTATCTTCATGGATGCATGGGTCTGAACTCTCTTGGCTTCCTTTTTTCTGTATTTTGTTGGAAGAAGAGCAAATGAAGTGAATAATTGGGCCACAGAGCCTCTGTCCCTCATAACACTCACTAATATAATATTTTTTCCTTGTCAGTGGATAACGCTCTGAGCACGGAAATGACTTCTTGCTATATGAGCCTTTCTGAGGATGTGAGACATGTGATATTTGTAGATGACCGTCGCAGTGCACCCATGGATCCCCACGGAGTGGAGAGCTTTGCTGTGTGGGGAGCGCAAGCATTCACCTCCTGCAGGCATTACTGGGAAGTGGATGTGACCCACTCCTCCAACTGGATTCTGGGAGTCTGTTCAGATTCCAGGACAGCAGATACCAATATCGCTATTGATTCTGATGAAACACTTTTTTAAATTTCCTCAAAGAGGAGCAATCACTATAGTCTCTCCACCAACTCTCCACCTTTAATTCAGTATGTACAAAGGCCTCTGGGTCGGGTTGGGGTGTCTCTGGATTATGATAATGGATCTGTGAGTTTTTTTGATATTTCTAAAGGTTCTCCTATCTATGGTTTTCCTCCTTCCTCCTTCTCTTCCCCTCTGAGGCCTTTCTTTTGCTTTGGTTGTACATGAAAATTTGGTTTCATGATGATTTATTGTGACATCCCATATATGAGGCAAATAGTGTCCTAAGACCCTATGTGTGAGAGCCTGTGAGCTCATTGTAACTTCGTGGAATGTAATTACTTTATGGTTATAAATTGGATAACCAACTTGAATGTGTACATTTGTTAATTAAGTTATTTTAATTAGTAAATTATTGTGGAATCTTTACTAGAACATCAATAATGGCTTTTTTTGTACAAGTTTTGTTGAGATTCATTCACTTACCATGAAAGTCACGTTCTAATGTATTTAATTCAGAGATTGTTAGCATATCACACTTGTGTAGCCATCAGAACTCTCTACTGCCTGTGCACTTTTATCACTTCCAGAAGAATCCCAATACCCATTAACATTTATTCTCCATTCACCCTCCCCCATTCCTTCAGAACACATAATCTACTTTTTAGGTTTTTGCATTCAGATAAACAAAATCATACAATATACGTTTTGTTTAATCTGATTTCTTTTTCAGAGAGTAGGTTTTCATACTCTCTGTGTGTACACACTATAAACCATTTGTCTTACTTGTATATTTGAACCAGGCTGGGGTAGAAAAATGAAGTAGTGGATACCTTATCTTATAAAGAATAAAGAAGAGTGCTTATTTTCTTTTTAAGTCTGACCAAGTTAAGTTGACCTCACAGACTTTATTATTTCTCAACATCTTAGTTATTAATCACATTTCAGCTCATACAACAGTTTTTCAGTGCTGGGTTGCTCTGCTATAACATCTTCTCTGAGTATATTATATCAGATTATAATATTCAGAAAACTCTTATACTTATTACTACCAGATTGAAAATTCCAAGGAAGCAATGGCAGTATTTGTCTTCTTTGCTAAGATATTACCATTATCCAGTGAAATTTTTAGAATAGATTACACAATAAATAAGATGAATAAATGGATAAGTAGAGGAGTTAATACGTATAAATATTATTCTAACGTTAAGAAACTTTTCCAAAATATAAGTAACAAAATAGGATAGAACATACTAATGAATATCTATCAAAAGATAAGAAATAAATTGATTTTCAGATTCATATCAAAGATAATACTATTATGTTAGGGTTTAAAATAATTGTAGCATAATTTTTATAGGGTTGATTTCAATTGTCTTAGGTTTTTTAATATAAACCATTGAAAGAGGAAGTTTCCTATATAAGATGATGGGGAACAGGAAAAGGACTTAAAACAATGGAGACTGTCCTTATTTAAACTGACATATAAATTTAATTATTTACTAAGCATAAAGTGGTATAAACCTTCTTATGCAGTAGAAAGAACAAAATTAGTCTACATTTTAAATAAGAATCCAGATGATACAGAATGGAAAATTCTATAATAGAACGTTAATAGCTATGTCTCCTAGGGCACCGGCTTACCTGCTCTAACAAAGACCACAAATTTGAAATGATTCAGAAGGTGCATTGCTCTCACATGTTTGTACCAATATAGGAGTTGTCAAGAAGATTGACATCCTCAACAAGTGAATTTTATCTCTGTGTGCAGAAAACTGCCATTTATTGCCACGTCCCATGCAGCAGGAAAGCCAAAAGAAAAGTAGGAGGGACAAGAGTATTTGGCTTTAAGGAAATCACCTGGTATTTTTCACAATGCAGTTATTCCCGTCCTATAGGTTCAAAATTAGGCAGATGGCACACCAAGTTGTAAGATATATCTGGGAATGCTGTTTACACTCAAAACCATATCCATTCTTATTATTTGATTCAGAAAATAAATTAAATGACTGGCACAACTGAAAATAACCCAAGAGATTTGAGCTGAACCTCAACCAAATAGACAAGTTGCTGCCTAAGGTTAGCACCAGATCTTAGTATTCAAGAGTGAGTAAACCCTGCTTTTTACCACTGTCAAGGTGTCCAGTGTTGTCCTTTTTAGAGCCTGGCTAAGCTGAGGGTTATGTGGCAAGAAACATCTTACTTGTATTTTAGTCTCTTAAATGAATGATTTATATAGGAATGATTCTTCAAATTTTGAAAATACTTATCAGAAATGTTCTTATTCCTTCGCTCTATACCACGTAGACTCTATAATAAACTGTCTCTCTTCTGCCTCCACATATTTCATGCAGAACATTAGGGGTTAGCAGAGAGAAAGCTTATCACCAGCTTCTTTTGGACTCGCTGCCTTTTTCCAAGTGATCTGAGATGATAAAATTATTCACCTTAGGGCTCCAACCCAGCACTCCTTTTTGATTTTCACCTATGTTTTGTAAGCTTTTCTGTTGATGCTAAAACTCTATGCAACATAAAACTGTATGCAACAGTCAGTGCCTCATAATTTAATTACATTATTTGTTCCTAGTTTTCAAGGAAAAATTTATTCCTGACATTCTTCTAATTTAGCTCAGATTCACTTTTGCAGAAAGACAGAATTAGCTACTTTACGATTATTTACTATTTAACTCTGATTTTGGAAGATGAAAAAGTTTTTGTGTCTATTTAGCATACTTTCTTAGCTATTTAACCAAGATAATCTTATTCTATTGATTCTCCTAGAGATACTTAATTTATTTATTCTCTTCACCTGTCAGAATTTATGTTAGAATATCACCAAGAATTACTTACAATTGAAATAAATCAAAGAGGGACCACTAAGAACATTGTCAATCATTAATCCAGAAATCTTGAACTTCCTGAGTTTTCTATCCCTAAAAGAAGTTATTTATCAATAGCCTTGTTACAGATTTTTTAATACAATAATTTTGACTTTTCTATAGTACAAAAAGTAAAAATTGATAAAGAGGATAACTTGGAAAAAATTAATATAACAACACTGAGACACATTCTTGACTAGCACTCTATTTCTGTACTAAATTTAGGAGGCATGTAAATGGCACGTTTCCTAAGTGAAATAAGACAGACACACAGAGAAAAATCCTTCATGGTTCCACTCATATTTGAAATCTATTTTTAAAAGTTCAATACATTAAAAAAGGTGGTTACATTGGTGGGAAGGAAATAGGTAAATGAAGGGCAAAAGTTGTAAAGGCGTAGTAGAATAAGTGAATCTGATGTACAACCTGTAGGCATATTTGATAATGTATTGTTTTTGGGAAATATTCTGAGGGACTAGATTTTTGGTGTTCTTATCATAAAAAAGAAGCACAGCTAAGTGATATGATAGATTTGTTAATTTTCTTCATTATAGTAATCATTTCATTATGTATATGTGTCTCAAAACAACATACTTTGCACCTTGAAAATATAAAATAAAATAAATTTAAAAATAAAGGTAATTTTGTTCTTCCATGTCAGCTGAAAATAAGTGAAGACTGGGTCAGTAATAACATTGCTTTGCTGAATTCAGAGAATTCTAATAAAATATTTTTAGTTGGGAAGCTATCTGTATTAAAAAAAATGATCTAAGGCTGGTAACAGTGGCCATACTTATAATCCCAGTGCTTTGGGAGGCCAAGGCAGAAAAATCACTTGAGGCCAGGAGTTTGAGATCAGCCTGGGCAACATAGTAAGACCTTATCTCTACCAAAAATAAAAAGAAAATTAGCCTTGAGTGGTGGTGTGCACCTGTTGTCCCAGCTACTCAGGAGGCTGAGTTGGGAGGATTGCTTGAGACCAGCTGGGAGTTTGAGACTGCAGTGAGTTCTGATTGTGCTATTGCACTCCAGCCTGGGTGACAGAGTGAGAACTTGTCTCAAAAACAGCAACTAATTATTTTGCATAGCCATTTTACCTGAAAGGTATAATTATTTCTTCTACAATTAATAAATCTGCATATGTCTAGGCCAGCTATATCAGGTAGAGCTTGTCCTCTAGTACTTACATCTATAAAACAAATAAGACAGTTATAAGGAGGCTCTAAGAAAAACAATTTTTTCTCATTCTGGACTTTGAGGTCTTAATTCTTTAAACTAATTTTCTGTCTCAATAGTGGATATCACCCTGAAACTTAATTTGTCCAAACACCTCACATAATCTGAAATTTTACAAAACATAAAGTTCATAGGATCAATACATTCTTGTGCCTTAAGTCTCCAGGCATTCAAGGATACTATTATGTGGAAACTCAGGCCTTCTACTGCATTATTGAAGGAGCACATTTGAGACTCACAGCACTTGTTGCTGTTAACAGGTCTGGACAATGAGTGATGTCAGTCCAGATAATTCTGAGGAAGGCTTTCTGCCTTGTTATAAGGAGGATAATCACTGGAGACTCTAGACAAGTTCCCAGTCATCATTCCAGCGTTTAGTTGCTGTTTTTGTAATCTCAGCATTTTTGGAGGCCAAGGCAGGTGGATCACTTTAGGTCAAGAGTTCAAGACTGGCCTGTTCAACATGGTAAAACTTTGTCTTTACCTAAAATACAAAAATTAGCGGGGCATGGTGGTGCACACCTGCAATCCCAGCTACTATGGAGGCTGAGGCAGGATAATCACTTGAACCAAGGAGGCAAAGATAGCAGTGAACCGAGATCATGCCACTGCACTCTAGCCTCGGTGACAGACTGAGACTCTGTCTCAATAAATAAATAAATAAATAAAATCACCTCTTGCATGGAGGGTGAATAAGGAGTATAACATGAGGACGTGTGAGGAAAATATGCATTAGAAGGGAAGGAGAACATACTTAACATGCCAGTGGAAGGTGAAATTCTAAATTATCTGAGAATATTTTTGAGAACTTTGTTTAATTCTCAGTGTAGAAAGATGTACCCTTTGAATGACATTAAAAATTCACTAGAAGAGTGAATAGTTAAAATGTCACATAAGTAACAAGAGTCTCAAAACAAAAAGTGTTCTAAAAGTTTAAAGTCCGTATTTGAGATAGAGGAGAGAATAAATAATAGTTCATTAATTAGTCTTTATTATGTGAAAAGACTTTTCTAAAATTCTTCCATAATAATTGAAGATATAAATTACAATAATTAAAATTTACAAAAGAATAAAAGCATTAAAATAAAGTGTGAAAAATTTAAAAAGGGTAAAGATGAAAATTATTTAATTTTTAATCTCAAAAATCCGAAAGTGATTTTATCAATGTCCTAAGAAAATTAAAATGAAAACAAACTTAATAATGTAAAGAAAGGAGGTTTCTGCCGGGCTGGGGGCGGGAGCTACGGCTTCTCTGGGGACGCGGAAGCGAGAAGCAGGGACCTTGGGGCGCGCCCGGTTTTCCGGGACGGTGCCCCGGCCCCCAGCCCACGCCTCCGGCCGCTGGCATGGTGCTGCTGGCTGGGACCCGGCCGCAGGGTGGCTGGGAGCGCTGCATGACCCCGCCACCGCCGTCCCCACTCCTAGGCGCACAGGTCGAGGAGGACCGCGCTGACTACAAAGAGTTCCAGGGCCCCACACCTGCAGCATAGCCTGGGACGACTCTGTACCCTTTCCAGGACGAGGAGGAGCACGGCGTCGAGGGCTTGGAGAGCGTCCCGGAGGAGGGCGTCCAGGAGGCATGGGGCTGCTGCGGACGCTGGTGCGGCGAGGGGTGAGCGTTGAGAAGGCGCAGGAGACTGACCACAATGGCTGGACCAGCCTTAATGTCGCCTGCTACCACGGCTTTGTGGATATACCGTGGTGGCCTTAGCTGAGTAACCCCACACTGACGTCAACTGGCAGGACAGGGAGGGGAACGCAGCCCTAAATACAGCTGCACAGGCAGGAGCTGCCTCTGGCCCCATGGGCACCGTTGCCTTGGACACTGGCTCTCAGCCTTGTGCTTCCTGGTCAGCATCACGTGGGCTGGTTCATTTGAGCTTTAACACAGATCTGGTGGAAACACAGGCTGCCAGGCCCTGCCCCTGGAGTCTTTCTTTGAATAGGCCTGGGGTGGGGCCCAAGAATGAGCAGAAGAACAGGTTTCCTGGTGAGGCTGATGCCGCTGGCCCAGGGTTCTCACGTTGAGGACCGAGAGCTTTGAGGTTTTCATACCTGATGATGTCCAGGAACCCTTCTCAGTAGGCACTGAAGACCATCAGCAGAATCACAGACCCCAGGAGAGATGTCGTCAGACAGACACAGAGGCATCACCGAATTAAAGTGAAAATGAAGAAAGGAGCTGAGCATCTGTTTCATGACTTTCGTGGCTGTTTTACTAAAGAGGCTATCCTGGCCCAGTCAGGGCACGCTATCATCACCAACTACTTGTTGAACTACGTTCAGGGTCTTGATCTTGAAGGAGGGACGCGTTCGGGTTGAAAGCCGCCATGCAGGGTCGAACGGATCGCATCGGAGCCCTGAGCTAGCAGGGGCGGGTGTCCACGCGAGGGCCCCCGCCGTGGGATGTCGCCAGAGGAGTGGCCACTTATACGTCCGCCTCATGCAGAGGCTCCTGGAGCGCCCCTGCCGGGAGCTGTTGGGGAAAAAGTACCAGCTTGAGCTGCCGCCGCTCCCCGAGAGGCCGCAAAAGCCCGAGGGCTCCAAGAACTGCCTGCAGAGGCTCAGGGACTGCGAGCTGTCCGCGCTGACGCCGCGCTCCATGCGGGGCCCAGAGGACCGGGGCGCCCTGGACCACATGGTCAGGATGACCACGAGCCTCTAACAGCCCCGCCGGGGCCCTCGCGTGCCAGACTATGTGCCCCGAGAGCACCTTGTGCTGGGGGAAGAGGCGGCTGGCGGTGCAGGAAATCCTGGCGGCGCAGGAAATTCCGGCGGCGCGGCGAGGGGTGGGGGGAGGCAGGCGCAGGAGGCGGGCGAAGAGGAGGGCGCAGAGTAGCATAAGCCGCTCGGCCTAGCGGCCGCTGGCTCCACAAAGGCCTCCCCAAGAGCCGGCCTCCCACCTGCCCGGCTGCCGGGGTCCTGGGGCTCCGCCGCCCCCGCCCCGCGGACGGCCAGCCTCCTGCCCCTGCAGTGCCTGCAGCAGAGCAGCTTGGGGCCCAGCGTGGTGGTGCCCAGGTCCGCCTCAGCAAGGTGCCCGCGCCCACCTTCCAACCCAAAAGGCCGGCGCGGAAGGGCAGCATAAAGGCAGCGGCCACCTGCGGATACCCAAGTGGCCTTACAAGGTGGCCAAGGAGGAGAAACGGGAGGCGGAGGAGGCCGAGAAGAGGCGCCAGGCCAAGGTGCAGGAGAAGCGCCCGCCGCCCTGGAAGAAGAGGACGTGAGAGTCCGCGGGTGCTTGGCACGGGGTTTGAGGGCTGGGTGAGGCCGCGGGGCTGGGCACCATGGCAGCTCTCGGGACCACCGGGCAGCGCGCGTTTCCACGCTGTCTCTCTAGGATGCTCCCAGAAAGGGGCTGGGGGAGCCACATCGATTCGCTTCACACCAGCCACCCTAGCAATCAGTACACCTAGGGGGCATGTTCCCTAAAAGGCTCCCTTTAGAGAACCTCAATTAAGATTTTTTTAAAGATTAATTTATTAGGCCAGGCGCGGTGGCTCACGCCTGTAATCCCAGCACTTTGGGAGGCCGAGGCGGGCGGATCACCTGAGGTTAGGAGTTTGAGACTAGCCTGACCAACATGGAGAAACCCCATCTCTACTAAAAATACAAAATTAGCCGGGCGTGGTGGCACATGCCTGTAATCCCAACTACTCGGGAGGCTGAGGCAGGAGAATCGCTTGAACCCTGGAGGCAGAGGTGGCAGGGAGCCAAGATGGCGCCATTGCACTTCAGCCTAGGCAACAAGAGCCAAACTCCGTCTCAATTAAAAAAAAATCAATTTATTAAAGGATATTTTCTGTGTAATTTTGTATTTTTAATTGTTGTCCAATTTGCCAAGTTTTACAAGTGATAGGGTCCCTTGTATCCAAGGAAGTTTTTATACACTTACCTGAAGACCTTTTATTTAAAACACTGTTTCCAGCAATAAATATTTATGATATCTGTAGGACTTTACACAGAAATCATGGGATTCTCTCCTTTTTGGGCTGTTTGCTTTGGTCTTCTCATCATGGGTGGATGTTTTTATTAATTAGATTAAGTGATGCCGGATATTTCTATTTGATGGAGGGATTGACTGGTTCAGCCACATGATCAAGTGAGACAGAGAGATCAGATTTTATTGTATCTTTTTAAAAAGTATTATCCAATACAGTCATATATTGAGGAAAAACATTTATCGTCAAATTATAAAACAATGCAGAGATAGGCATGTCTGTATTGCTAGAATTAAACTCATTTTAAGCAAGGAGTTTTAGATAAACTGTATACAAAAATCTTTAACATATTAAAATAGACATGAGAAAAATGTGTCATTTGATAAAATGGGGGAAATGTAATAAATGATTACCAGAAATATAAAATTAAGCCGTATATGCTCTTAAGTAAATCGAATCTAGGCATCCTTAAAATGTAAAAAAGGATGCAACAAGAGTAAGGAGCCCAGAATGATGTAAATTACAGGAATGGGGTGTAATGTAACCTCTAGAGGAGGTGATGTTTAGAAGAAGCAAAGAGAATGCAATGAGAAGCAAACTTGTTTTAGGCAAATTCTCCTGGAGTGGACCAGGCAGCCCCCTCTTCCAGACTCAGTTCCAGAGATTCCCTTATGTGGGTATTTGTTTTATTATTCCTTTGAGGACTGCATTTGGTGTTTAGTTCATCCTCATGTGGACCCTATGGAATTTCCAAGATGCGGGGCCTTAGCACTGTGGCACCTTCCTGCCACACGTACATAATTCACAGCATTACCAAGTCACCACAAGCCCCACGCTCACCTCTGTCAGCCCAGGACCCAGCCAGGCAGTGCCACGTGGTCTCCCAGGCTCGCTTCTCCAAGCCGAACTGCGAAAGTTATTGAGGCACTGGCCCAGGGAACTGAGCCTTGGGCCTGTCCTAAAGCTCCATAGGTGACTGCACTGCAGCCCACATGGAGAGCTGCAGCTCTAACACAGGGATTTTGAGAGGCCTCAGTGCCATTTAAGTGGCACTTCCAGGACACCCATCCTGAGCTCCCACAAAGGGCGCCACCTTCCCAAGAACGTCTAATTGTCATTGGAACAGCCAGTGTCAGGCAGCTTCTGCTCAGGCTGATGTGGCGTCTGACCCTTGGTGGGTTGCCAGACATTCCTTCCTGTTTCTGCCATGGGAAGTTGGCACTGGGAATGGTATGGAGCCCCCACTTCTACCCTGAGCCTTGGGTGTCTGCTGCTTCCAGGTGAAAAATGGACATTTCTGATACTGCCCAGCCACTACGGCACCACAACCCATGCTCATAGTCTCCAGGGATGTGTAGAACGGCAATGGCAGGACAGCAAACAACTGGCGATTTCCCCAGGTCCCACGCTCTTGCGGAGTGAGTATGTTGGGTCCCTGTCCCCAGTGTGTTCCAGCCTTACCCAGGTGCACAGAGTACCCTGGGGCCAGCACAGGGCTTGTCCAGTGATGCTCCTGGTGTTCACAAAATGGCTCCAGAGATACCTGCATTTTGAAAAGCCTGCCGAGCCAGCAAGTGTAGGGCAGGACCCGGATTTCTTTGGCAAATCTGAAGGTGAGAGGGCCACTTGCCTGCTGAGTAGAAGCTGCCTTTACCTGGCCAGTGTATGCAACTTGAGAGAAAATGACAGCTGCATGGGGCGCTCTGGTGGGACTGGGAAGTCTGATCTTCCGGGGAGCTGTAGATAGTGAATTTCAAGTTGACAGCTACCTTCTCAGGGATTTATATATAAATATAGTTAGAGGAAAAGCTAAAATCTATTTTACTAGTTTTTAGTGTTTGTGTAAAGTAAGCTTAAACTGGACAGAATAAACATTTCTCAGACAATGTTGATGCTACTGATTACAAGTTAGATGGCTGGAGCTTGCCCCTTGGTGGAGAATTTCTTGGTGATTGGAGACTGGGGACTCTGGCAGCAGAAGTGGCTTTATGGTGGGTGTGAAGTTGCTTCTGCCCCTCTGAGTGGCCTCTCATGGATGTGAATGCGTGTATTGACACCAGTGAAATCCACCTCCGTGTGCGTGGAGGTGGCTGATGAGAACACAAGTGAGCCAGTCCTGGTTCTTCCCTCCAGAACCGGTCACTCCCAGTCTGACGTTGGAGCATGTGAACTAAGAGTGACATTTTTTTCTACTTGCTTCTGTGAATAAAGTGTTCTACAGTCAGCCAGCACTAAACACCAGAAAGGAGGAGGGAACAGCGTGGAGCAATTCATCTGGAATTACCTCGGTGTGCAGAGGCTGTCCCTTGGCTCCACTTGGGATAAACATTGTGAAACATCGTGGGCCTCTTTCTTCTCAAGCTCCTCCTGACAGCCTCCTGGCAACACTAGAGGCCTCAAGACTATGGAGATCAGAATTGCAATGGCTTTGTCATCTCAGCATTGACCACTCCTGAGACCCAAGGTTCCTCCTGGGAGCAGGAGACAAGGAGTTTGTGATGTTGGATGGAAAATAGGATATATGAATGCAGAAGGGCTGTGCTGGACCCCTCTTTTCGCTTCTCTCCCTGCTGTCAGCAGTGTCTCTGGCATGGAGGCGAATCTGTTGTGGGTGAAACAGAAGCCCCTGGGGTAGGACCAGACCCCAGGCCTGAAAAGGATGCAAAGCCTGCTGTTTCAGGCTGTCAGGAAGAATCGTGGGTACCGAGTGATTATGATGAAATGCAACCCAGAGAGGAAATGAATGGGCCCTCACTAAGAAGTGGGTCTGACATGTCTCTGGCAGCCCACCGGCAAGAGCACGACATGCCCTGCAGCCCCACCATCCACACTACATGATGTGGGAGGGCTGTCTGTTCATTCTTACACTGGGGACCCAAGCCTGCTCTGAGGAGTGAGTCACAGCCCTGACGTGCGCCTTGCATTACTGTTTCCTGAGATGTGCCCGGAGACTCAAGCTTGCTCATTTCTGTCCTGACACAGCTCACTGTTCCTTAGGTGGTCATAGTCCTCCCGTGCTGTGTCAGCTCCTACATAGCATTAGTCTTTCACGTGATAAAGTGCAAGCACTTTTCCATTTTACAGTATTTGGGGAAATTCTAACACACTCCCCAGGGATTTGTGCATGTCCTTCTGCCTCCCCGGTGGGTCATTCTGTGGATTCCGCACCTGGCAGTCGGTCTTCCCCCTTGGAAGCCCCTAGGATCCCTGTTTCTACGGGCCTGGTCCTTGGTTTCTACCCCAGTCCCTTTTGGCCGGCACCTGCCTGGAACTGCCTGGAGCGCCATGGTATGGGGAAGGACAGGTGGAACCCTGACCACAACAGATCCTTCTAAAACAACAGTCACATTGATGATGATGAGTGCAGTGGGGTGAATGTCGTCACAGCATGCATGCTGGGAGCTGCCAAGGGCTTACAACAAAAGCAGTTCTTCCTAAGGCACCCTTTGCATCTTCCCATCCACGCCTCTCAGTGCATTTGGAACTTGCTTATGCATTGGAATAACTTGAGTCAGCTGCTCGTTTCTGTGCCTCTGCACTCACAGGTTCCTTCATTAACATTTTAAATAAGTGGTTAAAAACTCCTCTGGAGGTTGTTTTTGAAAGAAACAGGGAAAAGAAAAACACACACTACCTGAATTGATTTGAGTAATTTTCCAGTGACTCAGTTGAAACTCAGTGTTGCATACATAATTTCCTCATGCTGAGCCAGCCTGAAATAAGACTTGATAAGAGGCACAGCCCTAAGTAGCAGGCAGTGCCACTGTGGACAGTGTACACTATGGTGTGAGTGTGTGCACAGGCGAGCCTAAGTGTGTGTACTCATACACACAGATAAACCGAAAGGACACTGGGCTTTGTGCTGGCAAAGGCTGTGATGCTGCTGTGGCTTTCTATGGGCCCTGGGGAGTGTCAGATGGGAAGTGCTTTGATGGCATGTTGTTCAGTGTATTTAATGGGGTCTCCCATGGCCCGAGGACCCACTGTGAGCACTCCACCCACTGTGGCGCAGAACACGGCTGGAGTCATCATAGCCCAGGTCTTTATTGAAAGGGAGTGTTGACCCAGAAGCCTCATATAGAAACCATTTGGCAAGGTCTGGACCATCTCTCTGCAACTGACCTGCCTTGGCCGCACAGAGGGACCCAAACCCAAAAGGCCCAGACCCAAGGGAGACTGAATCACATTTACCATTACACCAGCTTTCATTTATTTGTTTCCATATGATCATAGGGACTGTATTACTAAGTATGCTTATAAATGCTATTTACAGACTGTTCCCTTTTATAAGGTGAAAGATTAATAAAGAACAAAAAATTGCCTGTAGAAAACCATGCCTGAGGCCAGGAGCAGTGGCTCATGCCTGTAATCCCAGCACTTTGGGAGACCAAGACAAGCAGATCACCCAAGGTCAGGAGTTCAAGACCAGCCTGGCCAACTTGGAGAAACCCCAGCTCTACAAAAATACAAAAAAAAAAAAAAAATTAGCTGGCATGATGGTGGGTGCATGTTATTCCAGCTACTTGGGTGGCTGAGAGAGGAGAATCGCTTGAACCTGGGAGGCAGAGGTTGCAGTGAGCCGAGATGGCACCATTGCGCTCCATCCTGGGGGACTGAGCAAGACTCCACAGAAAAATAAATAAATAAATAAATAAAAACAAAAAAAAAATAACAAATAAATAAAAATAAAGAGAAAGGAAAGAAAGGAAAGAAAAAAAAGAAAGCAAAGAAAGAAAGACCATGCCTGAAGGGCACTGTGTGCTCATCACTTCAGCAGGTTGACACTCACCTGGAGGTGGTGGAATCTGTCCATTAGTCCAGTGGATGGGTTGAGCACGGATCTCTGAGCTCACACACTGGGGCATGTGCCACTGCTCTGACTCACTCCTTTAAAGAGGAAAATACAATTGCGCTTTCTAATACCAACTATTTCATCACAGGATTTAAAAACAAATAATCATTCAATGGAAATTCACCTTTAAAACCCTTTCCTGATATAGCAATGTATCTCCACATTCATGAGATAGGATTGAGCCATTTGTAGGGAATCTTTCTTATATTCTTTTCTTACTTCACTCACCTACCACCTGGGAAAAAACTAGTTCATGCACCTAAACATTTTTATGACTTGAAATCCACAATCATAAACAGCTGTGCTTCAAAAACTGCTGTATTGAGTCTGGAAGCACACTTATTCAATAGCCACAGGGAGGAAAAAGGTTAATTTTTCATAAAGGAGAACAGGAAATTATAGCCAGTTGAACCCATATGTATGCATATGCCAACAATTGAGTTTCCATAAGTTGTGTCTTCATTTTGTTAGAAATGGCTTGATCCACTTAATAGCTCTCATGCTACCCCAGTTTGCATTGAGACCAAACTTACTTGGTCAATATGTCTCCCAAATCCTGCAAAGAAAACAAGAAAAGCTTCAGAAATGGGCTACTCTTCCAACCCAACCTTTAGGTTTGGTAAAGTATAGAATAGTGCCATCCCTGAAATGCTTTGTAAATTCCTTTTCCTTTTCATTTCCAAAGTTGATCCCAGTACAACATATTTACAGGATGGCTTTAAACTCTTGATGAATTCAAAGCCCTGGTGGTGAATAGAGGAAAGGAAATGTGTGGCCATGCATTGCTGCAATCAACTGCCTACAAAGTGGACTTTCCCAGGGCTTGTTTCTAAAGGATAATATGTTATAAATTAAGAACAAACAGGAGGAAGAAATAAGTGTTTTTCTTCCCCAAATTCTCCATTTCGCTAAATTGGAGACAAAAATGGGATAGTCACAAATAAGTTAATTTTTTTCTGTTTTTGAAAAGCAAGCTACAAAAGAAGTTTACTAGAGGGTAATATTCTCTGTGGCCAATTTTGATAAATGGGAATAGAAAATTATATCCACTTAAAAATTCCACAAGCTTGCTTGTTCATGGTTAGGAAAAGAATTACATTTTGTCTATGTTATTTCTATTTGGAAAAGATCCTCCATCTTAGCAGCAGGAGCTAAATATTTTATATATATATATATATATATATATATATATATATATATATATATATGCATACACACATATACATATATATATATATATATATATATATGCATACACACATATACATATATATACACACACACATCTATGGTGTTGAATAAATAATATCACCTAAGCCAGTGGTGTGCAATCTTTTGGCTTCCCTGGGCCTCATTAGAAAAAAGCATTGTCTTGGGCCACACATGAAATACACTAACATTAACTATAGCTGAAGAGCTTTAATAAAATGACAAACAAAAATCTCATCATGTTTCAAGAAAGTTTAGGAATTTGTGTCGGGCCATGTTCAAAGCCATCCTTGGCCATGTGTGGCCCAAAGACCATGGGTTGGACAAGCTTGTTGTAAGGTATGAACTTCAAATAATATAAAAATTTTTTAGGCATGTTATTGGTTCTTTCCTGGAGCAGCTCCACATCTAGATCATGGCACATTTTCATCAGCTCCTTATAGATTTTTCTTAGGTGTTTTTTTTTTTCTGAACCATTTTGCGTTTTTGCTTTTCTTAAGTTGCTGTAAAATCTTTCTGTCATCCTCTGTAAGTTTCTCTATATGTTGTTTTACTTCTCATAGGGAACTGAATGCAGCTTCCTCTACTCAGCTCTGGTCATCTCTGCCCATAGCTGCACATAGCACTGCAGGGACCTGGATTTCCTAGATGACATATTTATTCTGACTTCATCCTCCTCCTCTTACACATCCTTTATTCACTTTAACTCAGGTTCTCTTTTCTTTATCTCTTTCATCTTTTCTTCATAATAAAGTTAGGGGTCTCACTATGTTGATGGCCAGGCTGGTTTGAAACTCCTGGTCTCAAGTGATTCTCCTGCTTCGGTCTCCCAAATTATACGGATTATGGACTTGAGACACCAAGCCTAGACTGACTCATGTATTCTACCAATAAGCTATGTACATAAATTTGTGTCTTCCTACTTCTCAGAACCATGAAATCAATCATTCCTCCCTTTCTTTCATTTATCTTTATTGTTTCTTAACAATACTAGAAGTCAAATTCATTCTTTTCTCATACCACTTTTATTCATTATATGACTTCCTGAAACACCTGAAGAAAGGTTATTATTGATCATTTCTTCAATATATACCCTTTGATATTGAAAAACCTACATGAGAGCCATTGGAATTAATGGTTGATTCACAGATAATTGTTTGCAGTATTATGATCTCTGTGTTTTTAAATTAGTCTTTAGTACCAAGTCTCCCTACTGCATAGCCTGACCACTCTCTCTGAGCAGTAATCAATGCTGCATTGTACCCTCAGGATTGGAAGCCATGAGAAAAAATCTTCCTCAAATCCTAACCAACACGATTTCCATTCAAGTGATAAGTGGATACATTTCTAGCATGTCTGTCTGAGGTTGAATCTGAGGGAAAAGGCCTAATACTTACAATCCACTGGCTGGGTTTCCTGCTTTTCTCACTTAAATTTCTTTGGTTTTCTTGAATTTTTGCCCATAAAGATCTCATTTGCTTCATGATCTTCTCCTGTAAAAGAACTATGAATGTGAACATCAGAGAAGCAAATCGTTTTGGGTTTCAGACCCCCAGTGATAAAGAAATCAACTGATGAGATATGAAAGATTTGGGAAGATCTCAGACTGTAGAACCACAACATGTAATGCAACAAGTTTATAGGAAAATCATAAGCAGGGCTAATTTATAGATAATGTGGCATCTTGCAGCAGAATTGGAATCTACTGACACCATGCCTTGCTAATTCTAGCATATTTTATTCTATTATTTCCAGTGTTGGTACATAGGTTTCTTATATAGAAGCCTTTTGAACTTGTAGTTTGGATAGCCAGAAACTCTTCCTGATATTGAGCTCTTTACAGTGCCTTGAACATTACACTAAATAGTCAAATTATTATAATGATTATTAACTTCATCACTCCTTCAGTGAAATGTAAGTTCAAGGAAGGAAGGTATTCTCACAGATTCCACTGAAATTTTTATCATTGATACCTAGGCACTACATGACATCCAGTACAGAACAGACTAATCATCATGCTCTTCAACTTCCCCCTAATCTCTTTACTTGTGCCATCCTCCAGCTTTCAAAGTGCTCTCAGAGCCATCACTTACCCAGTGTTCCTTAGCTGCCCCTCACAGTGTCTGTGATCCTGGTGCTCCTGAGTGTCCCAGAACAGCAAATGAAGCAGGCTCTTGTCCACCTCTTCAAATATCTTTTTGTCTCCCTGTGGGTTCCACACATTTGTTCATTAGAGCTCAGGAATTGCCAGAGACTGGTTTTCCTGGTAATGCACACTAGATTCTTCAGAAGAATATTGGTTTTGATGTCCTCCTGCTGTGATGGTTCCCTGAATGTGGGCAGCAGGTAGGAATTTTGGCTTCTTCCCAGGAAAGGCAGAGACAGGGTCTACAGAAGCTGGGGACACAGCCTGTGGTGATGGGATCTACGAGTTAGTTCAGACAGAAGAGACAGATGGGCTCTTTCTGGAAGGCTTGTGTGATCTCTGAGACCATTTTCCTGAAGGAAGGAAATTAGGAAAGGTATCATTCAAACTTCTTCATCTTATGCCCTGGAGAAACACAGACCAAAGCAAAATTTGACTCAGGTTGTAACTCAATGATAAACTTCTGTCTAGAGTAGAATAAGCTTTATTTTGTATAAGACAAAAATAGAACCTGAGGTACAAAGAGAGCTCTCAGATCTGTAGGTAAAATTGTTGGGTTCATGCATAACTCACAGGGCACTACATACTACCCTTTTCTTTTGCATAGAAGAATGAACCTCAGAGAGGCCAGGTGTGGTGACTTACACCTGTAATCCCAGCACTTTGGGATACCAAGGCTGGTAGATCAGGTTGGAGACGACCCTGGCCAATATGGGGAATCCCCGTCTCTGCTAAAAATGCAAAAATCAGTCAGGAGTGGTGGCACATGCCTATAATCCCAGCCACTCAGGAGACTGGGCAGGAGAATCGCTTGAACCCTGATGTTGCCGTTAGCTGAGATTGAGCCAATTCTCTTCAGCCTGAGCAATAAAGCAAGACCTATAAAAGAAAGAAAAAGAAAGAATGGAAGGAAGGAAGGAGGGCAGGAGGGAAGGAAGGAGAGAAAGAGAGGAAAGAAGGAAAGAAAGAAAGAGAAAGAAAAGAAAGAAAGAAAGAAGAAAACAAAAGAATCCTCAGTTTTGTTGAATTTTGACTTTACTCCAAAAAGCTTGAGGTTTAAGGGGATGAAATTAGGACCAATTTATACCATTAGATGATGGGTCCTGAATACTCTGAAAACCATTCTTAATGCTCGTTGTGATTGGTTTAGAAAAGATTGATTTTGTACAAAAGAATAAAAAAGTGATTAGTTTAGGAAATGGTATTTAACTGAGATTTTTCTCCCATTGTTTCATTTAGATATCATAATTTTCTCCTTTAAAGTATTTTGAAGAATCTCAATCACAGTCCACCACTGCAAAATAATTTCTATATAACCATTATTTATTTACTGAACATTCTGAAATTTGATCAGATTTCACCCAGAAATGCTAAAGAGACATTTAGTATACTCTAAAACAATATTATCCTCAAATTAGTCAATGCATTACCTAAGTTGTATATTATAGAATATTCTGTCTTGCGCATATATTTGTGTGCCACCTTTATAACAGAGGGTATTACATTTATGCACAACATATAGAATAAAATATTCTCAATAAAATTTAGTATATACAGCAAGTATAAAATTGTAAAATATCTGAAAACTATTTTCTGTGTTCTTACAATACATAGGAACAACTAAGGAATGCATAAATGATACAACTAAAATTAATCTTCACTGTAGTTCACAAGTATGTAGGAAGACAGGATGACAAAGTAAGTGTAAAAACATTTTTACTAAGTAAGCAAATGACATCACTTATAGAAACAAGCTCAGTTTATTGAAAAATTAAACATAGCGCAGTCTGTTTTGGATTGGAAAAGTAGCAGGAACTCCTCCTCTGTTAGCTGTGTTCTCACCCTAGAAATATACTTATGGTCTCACTGATACTTGCAGTAGAAGTAATAATATAAAGTCTGATCAGGGATCAGGGCCTCACCATATAGTGATAGTAGCTTTCAGACATCTTCACAGCCAGTTCCGAAGCCACTCTGTGTGTCCCAGAGAAGAATGAGTTTGGCTCCTTGTACCTCTTTGTATTGAATCTCTGAAAAATCACAGCCCTTTTGAAAAGGTTGTATGTTTCTTGGAGTTTGGGATAGCCATTAGGGTTCTTGATTAGGTTTCACCAGAGGAGAAAAAATGATTGATTCGACACCTTGGCTAATTTCCATAAATAAACTTTAAACTTCCTCTCATCAAGAACCACTGAGTTTACAACAAAAGAACCCTCAAATACCAAATTTGTAGATAATTTTTGGGGTACTTTATTTTACTCATCAAAAGATGAGAAAGAGGATACCATCAATTTATGATTTTAATAAATGTCTTCAAAAGTCTGGAATATTTTTTCTCCTTTTTCTTTGTGTTTGTTTTTTGTCTTATGTTTTTGGAAATGTTTTGCCTGAAGTTGGCTTTAATTTTAATAGTCACTGAACTAGACTGGAAATGCACTTTGCTGTTGCTTTTAAAACTTGATTTCAGGTTTTAATGCATTACTGTCAATTTATGTATATATGTACATATTCTGGTTCTGTAGCCCAGGCTGGAGTGCAGTGGTACAATCACAGTTCATTGCAGCCTTAAACTGCTAGGCTCATTTTCTCAAAGAGCTAAAATTATGGACGTGAGCCACTGCACCCAGCCTGTTATTTTATGTTTTTAATAAAAGCATAAGAATTATCTGTATTATAAATTAAGAAATAGAATATCTTTAAGGAAATATAATATCTTTAAGGAAAAATAAAATCTCTAGTAATTATAGGCTCCTATGAAAACCACCTTTACCAATAGCAATTTTGTGTATATCCATATAACACATACATATATAAATATATATAATATATACATGAATTTTTTTTCACATTTGGCAGACATTGAAGAATAAAAATTATAATTTATATTGATAAAAAGTGAAATAAGTAAAATTTGCTGTTTAGTGAAAACTTTGTTTAGCAACTTAAATGAAGCTGCAGAAAGTGTGAATTGGTTAATAGATATAAAGATATGTCATGAGGGCTTCACAGATGGACAAACAGAGGTAAACTAGGAGAGTGAGTGACACATCGAGGATGAGAGTATCATGTATGTGCTTTATAAACAGCATCATGTGTGATTGGCTGTAGCACAAAGTAGAGCTAACTAGAGAAGATGAGGAGAGAACATATTCAAGGGTATAATGTTTGATAATTTTTTCAGAGTAAACAAATGAATTCAGGAAGCCAACCAATCCCCATTTTGGATGTGTAAAATATAACTTTACTTTGTATTGAATGTGCAAAACAATATATTTTGGCTGATTTTTAGTAATTTTCTTCTTTGGTGGCTGATTCATGATGATGTGTTTAAGTTTGAAACCACTACTGAAGATGAAGAATCTCTTAAAAGAAGCCAAAATAAACTGTTTCATTTTGAGGGAACACATAATAGAATGACAACAGACTGCTCCACAATCATAAATGTAAGAATAAGACAGTGGACTAATATTTGTAAAGTGTCAAAAAATGTAACTGCCAATACGGAGATGAATGTGGATTAGAAATTTTTTTATATAAGAGGATAAAAGGATGATCTTGTCACGTAAGTATAATAAAAAAAAAAGGAGGCTTTATACCCTACTAAGGGCTTCTAAAACAGTACCTATGAGATCTACTTGAAAGGTAATTCCAACACCTCTGCCACATTTGAATCTGGCTTTATTTATTGCTTAGTCTCTTAACAGTGTTTCCTTTATGTATCTTTTCTGTTTCTATATATGTCTGGTAAGTTTTACTCAAAAAGTGAACTGTGTAGAGTAGACTAATATAGAAAGCAAAACCAACATGTGTTCCCTTTTACTAGGCTGAATGTGTGTGTTTTGAGGGAGAAGGTTGAATCAATCTAGTCAGGAGTTGATTTGGTTTTGGGTCTTGTTCCTCTTAGAGTTAATTTCAGTGCACCATAGGTTTCCTGCTCATCTAGCATTACTTTGTGTTTCGGATTGGACTGGTTCAGCAGCTTTTCTCAGTATCTGCTGTATCCTCACCTTTAAGTTTCCCTTCAAATTCCGTTCAGTCCCCCAGAAGACACTGCTTTGACCTGTTACTCAACAATTGTTAGCCTAGTTGGGAGTGGGGATGAGGATGGAGAAGCATACTCTGTCATTCTGATGAAGCTCAGTCACAGGTTGACACTGTTTCTGGGTCTTCATGGCTGGAACCTTCTTAATGATCCTGTCCAAACTTCAGGTGTACATCTAAATCCTCCACATATTTTTTTCCTCTTTTTTGTTTTCCCATCTCCAAAGTTCAATTAGTTTTACCAGTGTCCCAAGGGCAATGATATTCCTTATCTTTTCCTTTGTAGTTTTAGGTTTTGTTACACGGGAGAGACGGGGAGGTAAATACAGGTCTTTAAATGTGATATTCACTGAATCTCTTCACAGACTGTAAAACAAATGTATGTGGCACATATACACCATGGAATACTATGCAGCCATAAAAAAGGATGAGTTCATGTCCTTTGCAGGGACATGGATGAAGCTGTAAACCATCATTCTCAGCAAACTAACACAAGAACAGAAAACAAAACACCTCATGTTCTCACTCATAAGTGAGAGTTGAACAATGAGATCACATGGACACAGGGAGGGGAACATCACACACCAGGGCCTGTCAGGGGGTGGGGGGACAGGGGAGGGATAGCACTGGGTTAAATACCTAATGTAGATGATGGGTTGATGGGTGCAGCAAACCACCATGGCACGTGTATACCTAAGTAAAAAACCTGAACATTCTGCACGTGTACCCCAGAACTTAAAGTATAATAATAAAAAAAGTTTTATGTCTTCATGATGATGTTAACTTACCATAAATTAAATTATTTATATATATATGCATTTGAAAAATTAGGCATAACATCAAATTCATCTATGTCAAACTCCTTATTTTACATGTTAAAATATTTTTTAAAAATATTTAATTCTCTTATTCATGAAAAATAATTACAGTTTCTCTCCTTGAATGCAATGCTTCCTGTATCTTATCCTGGTTAATTTTTAAGTTTCCTAACGATCACCTTCCAAAATATTCAATATTCTAACTTCTAATATTAATTAATGGAGTTTGAAATTTATCTAAATAAAACACTGTAATATAACATTTGTGTGTTTCAATTCTTCTTCTTAAACTTCTCTTTGAGATTCATTAATTTGTTACATTTCATTGTTATTATCTTTGTTTTATAGGATTCTTTTGTATGATGAGATCACAATTTATTTAGCAATTCTACTATTGATGAATATTTATTATGTCTCCAATTTGGAGCTACTATAAAAATTGATGCAATGATCAACATTGTGTTTATCTTGAAATACACATAGGTAATCTGTGGAACATATTTTAGAATTAGAATATCTAGCGCATAAGGAATACTCATAGTCAGTTTGCCAAAAGCTGTTTCAGTTTATATCCCTCCAGCCATGAATAACTTTCATTGATTCTTTATCTTTCACAACACACAATTTTATGTGTCTTTAAATTTTACTAATTTTTATGGAGGCCTGCAGTTCAATTTACGGATTAATTTTTACTATTCTGAGGACTAATAAAAGTAATCCCTTTTTCATATTTGGCCAGTTATTAGTTATTTATGGCTCCAATTTTATGAAGTGCCTGTTCAAATATTTTACCCAATTTTATATTGGGTTCACTTTCTTTTATTTATTACAATCCTTAATCACATGTATTATATTTTATTGCATATATGTCGGGATAAATATTTTTCTCCACTCGGTTTGCATTTTAATTCTTGGATGGTATATTTTGAAACACAGAATCATTTTTGATATAAACTAACTAAATTTTCCTTCTTAATTGTTACTTTTTTGTCCTGGTTAGGAAATCTTTCTCTTTGAGAATATTTTATTGTGTTCTCATCACCTTCAGACCATGAATCCATGTGGAAATGAACTGTGTATGGTTTGAGGTAGGGGTGAGCATTTATGTCCATTTGAATATTTAATTGATCCAGCATTGTCCTGATCACCTTGTAAATTTCACTGTAGAACAGCACTCTAATAAGGCATGAGCATTTGTATATAAGATGAGATTTACAAAGATAAGCACAGCATAGGAGGTCAAATAAGATTACCTCAAAGTATAGATTCATAAATAAAACACATGGATAAGTATAATATTGTTAGATGAAGAGAAAGAGAATATTTCCAAGTTACCACTGAGTCTTTTTACTCCAAGTTTTTTCATGAAGCACAAGATCCCTATTTTCTTCCATTGATTTTAACTTCATTTAGACACCTCTGTCATCTCTGATTTCACTTTGTGACATTCAGAAATAATGAAAAACCAGAGAATATATTCTCTGCCATGCATCATGGGTAATGATTTTCCAAAAATGATTAAACAAAGAACCAATACACATGGTTATAGTGTTTTCACCATATTTAATAGAAACCCTATTAATGAGTTGTGATGACATTAGAAGGCAACTAAAGAAGTTAAATGTAACTTGTTTGTCCTCTTTGACAAGGCACAAAAAAGAGGGCTTCCTGGGATAAAGGGGTTCCCACAGCATGTGGACACATTTCTGATTTGTCTCTGGTCAGAAGTGACTACAGCAAAAGATAGGCCTGAGAAGAGGTGAGAAGGCACAATTATGGATGGTGTATATAAGGGAACTTTGATCAACATCAACAATGCTCATGGTTCTACCTTCACAATCCAGGAATAATCCTACTCGGCTGCTAGGTCTTGGAACATATAGCACCACATGTGGGGTGTGGTAAAGAGCCTGCAGTGAACGTCCTCCTTAACACATCCAAGAAGAAAGAGTCCCTCCTCTCCATCTATCTTGTCATTCTGTCTCTTCTCTTTCCAATAATTGTTACAGACACCAAAAGCCCAATTCCAAGAGTCCCCCACATGAACCTCCCAATAGTATTTGCCAGATGTGAAAGTCTGAGCGCCCCATACGAGAAAACATTCCGATTTTGCAGTGATACGGGGATCATCTTGAGGGTCACATCCAACATTCAGGCTTCTCAAATCTCCATACAGGAAGATATGACTTTGGCTCTTTCAGGCTGAAGGGAAAAATCAACTACAAAAAATAAATAAAAATTTATAGACACATGTAAATAAGAGAAATTAGAATTCTTTAGGGAAAAGTTGTTGGATATTAGACACAATATCACAAAAAATGTGTACACCCCCTTCAACCTTGGGAGTAATATCATACTCTCCTTCCCTGGATATTAGAAAACAATATTGTCAGGGGTGAACACTTCCTGTGATAATGGGAGCAATATTTTCTCTTTCACAGGCCATTAGGAACAATATCACGGGGTGTTTACACACCCCGTGATATTGGAGGTAATTTCATGCTCTAACTCCTGGAATATTACCAACAATATCAAACAGGGGTGGTGTACACCCCCTGTGATATTGGGAATAATATCATTCTCTCCACTCCTGGATATTAAGAACAATATCACGGCAGGGGTGGTACACCGTCAGTGATATCGGGAATAACGTCATCCTCTCCTTCCCTGGAAATTAGGAACAATATCACAGGGGGGTGTACATCTTCTGTGATATTGGAAGCAATATTAACCCCCCCGGATATTAGAAAAAATATCACACATGATGTACACCCACTGTGATATTAGGAAGAATATTACTGGCTGTACACCCACTCTGACTTTAGGAGAAATAGCTCCTTAAAATGTTACAAGTAATATCACAGGGTATGCAGCAATATCTCCCTAGGTTATTACAAATACTATCACAGGGTGTCCACCCACTGTGATAACAGGAGTAACACCTTCCAAGGATATTACAAATAATATCACAGACTGTACACCCACTATGAAATAAGGAGGATATCTCCCTAGGATATTATGAATAACATCACAGAATGTACACCCATGGTGTGCACCCCCTGTGACATTAGGAGTAATATCTACCCAGGATATAACCAATAACAGCACAGTGTGAACATACGTGATGTACACCCACTGTGATGTTATGAGAACTACTCCCTAGGATATTACGAATAACATCACAGAGTGTACACACATGGTATACACCCACTGTGGCACTAGGAATAATAACTTTCTAAGATATTACGAATAACATCACAGAATACAAACACATGGTGTACGCCCACTGTACCGTTAGGCGTAATTTCTCTCTAGGATATTACAAGTAACATCTCAGTGTGTACACACATGGTGTACACCCACTGGGACATTTAGAGTAATATCTCCCTAGTATATTACGAATAACATCACAGAGTGTTCACACGCGGTGTACAGGCACTGTAACATTAGAAATAATATCTCCCTAGGATATTATGAATAATATCATAGGGTGTATAGCCAGTGAGATATTAGAGGTAATATCACTCTAGGATATTACGAATAATACCACAGAGTGTACATCCACTGAGATATTGGGAGCAATATCTCTCTAGGATATTACGAATAATATCACAGAGTGTAAACCCAGTGTGACATTAGCAGAAATATCTCTCTGGGATATTACAAATTATATCACAGAGTGTACACACAGGGTGTACACCCACTTTGATATTAGGAGTAATATCTTCCTAGGACATTATGAATAATATCACCGAGTGTACACCCACTGTAATATTAGGAGTCATATCTCCCTAGGTTATTACAAATAATATCACAGGATGTACACCCACTGTGATATTAGGAGTAATATCTACCTAGTATATAACAAGTAATATCACAGGGTGTACACCCACTATGATATTGGGAGAAATATCTCTCTAGGATATTATGAAAAATATCACAGAGTATACACCCACTGTGATATTAGGAGAAATATCTGGGATATTACGAATTATATCACAGAGTGTATACACATGGTCTACACCCACACTGATATTAGGAGTAATAACTTCCTAGGACATTACAAATAATATCACAGAGTGTACACCCACTGTAATATTAGGAGTCATATCTCCCTAATTTATTACAAATAATATCACAGGGTGTACACCCACTGTGATATTAGGAGTAATATCTTCCTAGGGTATTACCAATAATTTCACAATGTATACACACATGGTGTACACTCACTGTGATATTAGGAGTAATATCTACCTAGTATATAACAAATAACATCACAGGGTATACACCCACTTTGATATTAGCTGTAATATTTTTCTAAGTTGTTACAAATAATACCACATGATGTACAAACATGGTGTACACTCACTGTGATAGCAGGAGTCATATCTCCATAATATATTATGAATAATATCACAGGGTGTACACCCACTGTATTATTAGGAGTAGTTTCTCTGTAGGATATTACAATTAATATCACAGGGTGTACACCCTGTGAAATTATTGGTAATACCCTAGGAAGTTATTACTCCTAATATCACAGTGGGTGTACACCCTGTGATATTATTTGTATATCACAGAGTGTACACCCACTGTGATATTAGGAGCAATATCTTTCTAGGATATTACAAATAATATCACAAGGTGTATGCCCACTCTGATGTCAGGAGCAACATCTCCCTAGGATATCAAAACTAATATCACAGGGTGTACAATCTCTGCCTTCCAGGTTCTAAGGGATTCTCCTGCTTCAGCCTCCTGAGTAGCTAGGGTTACCCGCCACCACGCCCAGCTAATTTTCTTTTGTTTTCACTAGAGATGGGGTTTCATCATGTTGGCCAGGCTGGTCTGGAACTCCTGACCTCAGGTGATCCATCAGACTCGGCCTCCCAAAGTGCTGGGATTACAGATGTGATCCATCGCACTCGGCCAAGAGTTATATATTCAATTAATTTGGAAACACAGCTCCCATATTTGAGTGTGTATGTACTTTTATGAAGAAATGATGTCAGAAAACCTAAGGATGGCAATAAATATGAAAAGTAACTAGCATGCTAAAAGGTCTTCCGATTAAGAAGTATAAGGTTCGATTTCATTTTTAGATAATGCAGTCCTAGCTCTTCTATCGTCCTTTTAAATACTCTACATCAAAGGAATTTGTGTCAGAATAAAATAAAGTGTATTTCACTGCTGCTTAATTTTTTTCAATTAGACTGAGATCTTTTTCTTAAAGAGAGAAGAATATTTTTATTGCATGTTATTGTTTCTGAAAAGAGTAGGCCGTATTTTACTGAGATCACGGATGTGTTAAGTATTACATTTTGGTCTTCTAACATTCTTCAGTGGATTTTCTCTAAAGTAGTATGTACAGAAAGAGTTGAATAGCAAAAAAGTAAATCATGTAATAATTCTGAGATTTTTGGGTTTGTCACACCTGAGAAATATTGCTGACAGTGTATGGTCCTCAAGTGTGAAAATGTTCCTTGTGAATTGCTTGCATCCAAAATATACACACAGCGTTAAGGGCTGGTTTTTATCTTTTATTTTTCCAATCCTCTTTTCTTCTTAAGGTGTCCAAGACACACAGAGCCATGGAATCTCACAGGTATCTCAGAATTCCTCCTCCTGGGACTCTCAGAGGATCCAGAACTGCAGCCCGTCCTCCCTGGGCTGTCCCTGTCCATGTACCTGGTCACGGTGCTGAGGAACCTGCTCATCATCCTGGCTGTCAGCTCTGACTCCCACCTCCACACCCCCATGTGCTTCTTCCTCTCCAACCTGTGCTGGGCTGACATCGGTTTCACCTCGGCCATGGTTCCCAAGATGATTGTGGACATGCAGTCGCATAGCAGAGTCATCTCTTATGCGGGCTGCCTGACACAGATGTCTTTCTTTGTCCTTTTTGCATGTATAGAAGACATGCTCCTGACAGTGATGGCCTATGACCGATTTGTGGCCATCTGTCACCCCCTGCACTACCCAGTCATCATGAATCCTCACCTTGGTGTCTTCTTAGTTTTGGTGTCCTTTTTCCTCAGCCTGTTGGATTCCCAGCTGCACAGTTGGATTGTGTTACAATTCACCTTCTTCAAGAATGTGGAAATCTCCAATTTTGTCTGTGACCCATCTCAACTTCTCAACCTTGCCTGTTCTGACAGTGTCATCAATAGCATATTCATATATTTAGATAGTATTATGTTTGGTTTTCTTCCCATTTCAGGGATCCTTTTGTCTTACGCTAACAATGTCCCCTCCATTCTAAGAATTTCATCATCAGATAGGAAGTCTAAAGCCTTCTCCACCTGTGGCTCTCACCTGGCAGTTGTTTGCTTATTTTATGGAACAGGCATTGGCGTGTACCTGACTTCAGCTGTGTCACCACCCCCCAGGAATGGTGTGGTGGCATCAGTGATGTACGCTGTGGTCACCCCCATGCTGAACCCTTTCATCTACAGCCTGAGAAATAGGGACATTCAAAGTGCCCTGTGGAGGCTGCGCAGCAGAACAGTCGAATCTCATGATCTGTTATCTCAAGATCTGCTCCATCCTTTTTCTTGTGTGGGTGAGAAAGGTCAACCACATTAAATCTCTACATCTGCAAATCCTGCCCCTTAGTCACATTATTGTTGTTGCTTGATGGCTTTTATTCATTTCCACATTTCCTATGTGAATATTCCTTTCTTCATTTTGCCTTTAACTGGAATGGGTGAGTATTCTGGGATCTTTTGTGTAGCATAAACCTCATGCTGTATCCTCTATACCTAGGTGGCCTCCTTTAGTTTCTGACCAATAACCCTGTCATCCAGGTGGAATCACAACAATTTTTTTATATACAGGAAGTCCTCACTTCATTTTGGAATTCCCTGAACATTGACTTTATGGAAACAATGTACAGCAGGTCCTCCAACAACATTGTTGGGTTCAATTGTTATGATGTTGATGAGGAATAAGTGGTTTCACTATACATAATTTTGCTTAAAGGTGAAGTTTCCAAGAGACTTTCAAAGATGATAAGTGAGGACATACTGTACATCAAATTCATATCCTCTTCCAGAGTTCATGAGGAATTTCTTTATAAACTGCTTCTAGAGAATCTATTTAGGCAGGTTGTATGTAGAGATCCATGTCACCGGTCCTCAATCTTGTCTTTGAATCAAATCACCTGGGGAGGTTCCAAATGAATGATGAGGCCTGGGTCTCATTACCTGAGATTCTGATTTACTTGCACCTGTGTAGGTATATGGATTTTTTTTTTTTTTTTTTTTTTTTTTTTTTTTTTTAAAGCACCAGAGGTGATTCCAGTGATGAAGTTTTTGGAGGCATCAAGCTCCAATAAGTAAGAAAAGAAGTTAATTGTAATATGATTTCTTCAAATATTATCTTCAAATGCGTTGTCCTTCAACACCATACAAAGTTTTATTATGCTGTTTTTTCTTACCATTTAGCATTTTCTTTTCTTTTCTTTTCTTTTCTTTTTTTTTTTTTTTTTGAGTCAGAGTTTCACTCTTGTTGCCCAGGCTGGGGTGCAATGGCACGATCTGGGCTCACTGCAACCTCTGCCTCCCGTATTCAAGTGATTCTCCTGTCTCAGCCTTCCAAGAAGCTGGGATTACAGGCATGCGCTACCATACCCGGCTAATTTTTTTTTTTTTTTTTTTTTTGTATTTTTAGTAGAGACAGTGTTTCTCCATATTCGTCAGGCTGGTCTTGAACTCCCGACCTCAGGTGATCAGCCCGCTTCGGCCTCCCAAAGTGCTGGGATTACAGGCGTGAGCGACCGCACCCAGCCACCACTTAGCATTTTCATTTTACATTTGTTGAAGTTATAGATCTATACACACATTGATTGCTGCTTTATTGTACACTTGCATATACATAAAATGGGAAATAGAAAAGAATAAAATGGGCACAGTATCCCTATAGTTTCACATTCTGAGACATTTTAAAAATATTTGCTGTTTAGAAATTTGTTTCAGTTAAGAAACTGTGGTATACACACACAATGAAGTATTATTCAGCCTCAAAAGGAATAAAATCCTCTCCACTGTGGAAAAAACGGATGAGATTGCAGGTCTGTATATTAAGAGAAATAAGCCAGGCACAGAATGACAAATATTACATGTCCTCACTTATATGTAGGAACAAAACAGAAAATCTTGGCCAGGTGTGGTGGCTCAGGCCTGTAATCCCAGCACTTTGGGAGGCCGAGTCGCACGGATCACTTTAGGCCAGGAGTGCGAGACCCACCTGGCCAACATGGTGAAACCCCATCTCTACTAAAAACACAAAAAATTAGCTGGGCATGGTGACACGTGCCTGTAGTCTCAGCTACTTGGAAGGCTGAGGCCCAAGAAGCGCTTGAACTTGGGAGGCGGAGGTTGCAGTGAGCCCGGATTGTGCCTGTATACTCCAACCTGGGCAACAGAAAGAGACTCCATCACACACCTACACACAAAAGGAATCTCAGGAAGGTGGAGAGTATAAAGGTGGTTAGCAGATGCTGGGAAGAAAAGGGGTGGGATGGGGAGTGAAGAGAAGTGGATAATTGGGTCCCAAAATACAGAAAGATGGAGTAAGTGAGTTCTAGTGTTTGATAGTACAGTATGAAAATTTTAGTTCACAAGAATTTCTTGCATATTTCCAGATGCTTTGATAAGAAGCTTCCTAACTTTCTCATTATGCTAGTTTTTAAGCTATTCTTTCTGCTCTTGAAATCATGCTGGTTTTTTGTTTTTGGTTTTTTTGCTTTGAGATGGAGTTTCGCTCTTGTTGCCCAGGCTGGAGTGTAATGGTGCAATCTTGGCTCACCGCAACCTCTGCCTCCTGGGTTCAAGCGATTCTCCTGCCTTCAACTCCTGAGTAGCTGGGATTATGGGCATGTGCCATCATACCCAGCTAATGTATTTTTAGTAGACATGGGGGTTTCTCCCTGTCGGTCAGGCTGGTCTTGAACTCCTGGCCTCGGGTGATCTGCCCGCCTCTGCCTCCCAAACTGTTCAGATTACAGGAGTGAGCAACCTAATATCACGGGGGATGTACAACTTCTGAGATATTGGGAATGATATCATCCTCTCGCCTCTGGAAGTTAGGGACAATATCACAGGGGTAGCGTACACCCTCTGAGATATTGGGACTAATATCATCCTCCTGCCTCCTGGATATTAAAAACCATATCACAAGGGGCGAGTACACAAACTTCGATATTGGTATTCATACCATCCTCTCCCTCTTTGGATATTCGGTGCAATATTTCAGGTGGGGTATACACCACCTACAATATTGGAAGTAATATTATTTTCTTCCCCCCACCTCCCTGGATATTAGAAACAATATCACAGGGGCCGTGAACAACCCCTGCGATATTTGGAGTAATATCATCGTCTCCCCTCATGAATATTAAGAACAGTATCGGTCGCGGTGGGGGGGGGGGTGTACACACCCTTTGGTATTTGATATCATCCTCTTTCCCCCTGGATATTAGGAACAATATCAGAAAGGATGTACAGACCCTGTGACATTTGCTGTCATATAATTGTCTCTCCCCTAGATATTAGGAATAATGTAACAGGGGATGTGAACACCCCTGCGATATTGGGAGAAATATCATCCTCTCCCCCCTTGGATATTAGGAACAATATCACAGGGGGTGTACTGCCTCTGCGATATGGGGAGTAAAATTATCCTCTCTTCTGGATATTAGGAAGGGTATCAGAGGGGGAGGGTGTGCATTTCCTGCGATATTCAATGTAATCTTATCCTCTCCCTCCCAGGGTAGTAAGAACAATATTACAGGAGGGGTGTACACCCTCTGTGATATTGAGAGTCATATCATCTTGTTTCTCTCTGGATATTAGGAACAATATCACAGGGTTGTGTACACCCCCTGCGATATTGGGAGTAATATCATACTCTCTCACTGTGGATATTAGGAAGAGTATCACAGGGCTGTGTACACCCCCTGCGGTATTGGTAGTAATATCATTCTCTCTCCCTCTGGATAGTAGGAAGAGTTTCACAGGGGTGTGTACACCCCCTGCGATATTGGAAGTAATATCATCCTGTCGCCCTGAGGAGAGAAGCCATTTCTCTGACTGTCTCCTGTCTCTGAAGAGGTGGAGGAAGTAAAAGTTGAAAAACAACAGGAATGAAGTCAGTGGCAACAGCAGCCGGTGCCACTGATAAGCCGGCCTGAGGTGAAAAAATTACTCCCCCACCCCCTCACCACTCTAAGCACATGTGCTCTCAATCCATCACGACCCTTTCACGTGGAACCCCTTAGAGTTGTAAGCCCTGAAAAGGGCCAGGAACTCTGTCTTCCTTCCAGGAGCTCGGCTCTTAAGACGCGAGTCTGCCGACGCTCCAGGCCGAAAAAAACACCCTCTTCCTTTTTGAATTTGGTGTCTGAGTGGTTTTGTCCATGTCTTGTCCAGACCATTTCTTGGTTCCCGGAATGGGAATCGAACCCGGGCCGCGGCTGTGAGACCGCAGAATTCTAACCACTAGACTACAAGGGGAACTTACAACTTCATGCTAAGTAGATTACCCAACTTTAATAGTGGGTTGGCCATCAGAAGGAAGCCTGGACAGGTCCCTTGTTTCTAAGGTGTGGCACAAGGTAACTGGTAAAGGATACCTAGACCAGTTCCCATACATAGACACTTGGTGACAGCTGGTGCTAGACCCCCCAAAGTGGCTAAGAGGGCAGGCAGCAGCAATACTAGGAGCAACGGGACAGATAGCTAAGGAAGGATCCCGCTCCACGCGCCCAGGGAAATCAACTCCTGAGGTTCTCTTCGACCCAACATCAGAAGATCCATTGCAGGAGATGGCACCAGTGATCCCAATGGTGCCCTCCCCTTACCAGGGAAAGAGGCTCCCCACTCTTGAGCCCACAGTGCTTGCACCTTCCCAAGGCAAGCATATCCTTAGGCCACCCAGAGCAGACAAGAGAGGAGGTGGAGACCTACAGAGTCTGCAGATAAGTATTTCTTTTATTTTTCATTCTTTGTTTATACAAATTGTGAACTTCTGGAGGGAAAGTCCTAGATATTATACAGTTTTATGTACAGCATGATATCTAAAATTTAATTGGAAATCTTTCTTGTAGAATATGAGAAGTGCTATGTTGTCTGGAACTTCAGGTTGCAGCCTTGGTTATCTGCAAAGTTTTCAAAGTGCTCAATAGCCTTTTTTATTTTCCTAATATTCCACTAAAGTTATTACTTTATAGTGGTATTTTGAATTGACACAATCTATTTTGTTGTTTGAATGTTCTTTTTATAGCATCTTGTTATTTTTGATATTTTGTTATTACTTGTGTTACTTTGTGAAACTATGTGAACTTTTTATTTGTTTATGTATTTATTTATTTATTTTTGAGACAGAGTCTTGCTCTGTCACCAAGGCTGGAGTGCAGCGGTGCACTCAAGGCTCACTGCAGTCTCGACCTCCAGAGCTCAAGTCACCCTCTCACCTCAGCTTCCAGAGGAGCTGGGACTACAGGCATGTACAACTATGCCTGGCTAATTTTTTTTTTTAATAGAGTAGTCTCTCTTATGTTTCCCAGGCTGGTCTTGAACTCCTGAGCTCAAGCAATCTTCCAGCTTCGGTCTCCAAAAATGTTGGAATTGCAGGCATGAGTCACTGTGCTTGGCCTTATATAAATTCTTAGTTTTCCTAGTTCCTTTTTTTTTTTTTTTTTTTTGTAGAGCTGGGGATCTCACTTTGTTGCCCAGGCTAGTCTTGAACTCTGTAGCTCAAACCACTCTCTTGCCTTGGCTTCCCAAAGTGCTGGGATTACAGGAGTAAGCATGCCTGGCCCCAGATTCCATCATCTAAGTAATGGAACAGCAAGCATAAAACGACCTAATGAGTTTTGAAGAAAAAAATAAAATAGAAAGTGTAAAACCATTTGCATATTAGTTTCCTGGGGCTGCTGTGATAAACTATCACAAATAAAACAATAATTCACTCTCTCACTGTTCTCAAAGTCTGAAGTTTAAAATCAAGATGTTGACAGAATTGGTTCCCTCTGAGGATTCTGAGGGGAAATCCACCTCCTGCCTCTCTGCTAGCTCTGCTGGCTGACGGCCACCTTTGGCTTTCATCAGCTTGTGGCAGCATAGCTCCAGTGAACTCTGTCTCTGCCTCTGTCGCCACATGGCTATGTGTCTCAGACCTTCCTTTAATTTCTTCTATCCAGTCATTGGAATTAGGTCCCATCCTAAATCCAGATTGATCTCATTGGGAAATCATCAAGTTAATTACATCTGCAAAGATCCTATTTTCAAAAGGTCATATTCACAGGTATCAGAGGTTAGGACTTAGAAATATATTTTCAGGGGCCACCCTTTAACTGACTACAGTTTGAAAAAATTTCTGGCTCATAAAAGGGCCACATAACAACAAAAACTCAACTGTATTTTCATTTCTACTGCTTATACACATCATCCTAACTTTTAGAATTGGAAAGACAGAGTTTTTTCCTTCCTAGACTGGATTCTGAATATTCCACATCTTTTTTTCTAATGTCAATTTTATGTAATTTCCCCGTTTTCTGAGTTAGAATACATCTTATATTTATTTTTTATAATCATCACTTACAAAATATTCAGAAGTTTAAGACTACTTTTCATTCCTGAACCATTTGAGGGTAAATTTTGATCTGGAACACAATGTATGGAATTATTTAGTTCTTCATTTCTTTTTTTTTCTTTTTTTACTTTTCTATGTGAATGTTACTTTTTTTCTTAGTTATTCTTTGTTTTACATTATTAAGTTTGTTTTTATTTTAGTTTTCTTAGGACACTGATGAAATAACTTTGATTTTTGACATTAAAATTAAATAATTTTCAAATTAATCCTCAAATTTTTTCACAATTTATTTTAATGCTTTATTCTTTTGTAAGTTTTAATTCATAGCTGTATTTCTTATGGAAGAATTTTATAAAAGTATTTTTCACATAATAAAGTTTAATATATGAGCTATTATTCATTCTCTCCTCTTTTCCAAATATGGACTTTGATTATGCTCCAATACTTTAGAACACTTTAATTGATGTTTGGAGACTTTTGTTACTTATGTGATTTTATCTCTATTATGTGTCACTCTTCTAGTAAATTTTTAATGTCATTCAAAGGCTACGCCTTTCTTTCCTGAAAATTAAAAATAGTTCTCAAAAATATTCTTCTCAGATATTCAGAATCTCATTCACAGGACTTCACCTTCCACTGTCATCTTAAGGCTGTCCTCTTTCCCTTCTAATGCATATTTTCCCCCAAAGGCCCTAGGTTACACTCCTTATTTATTCTCCATTCAAGATGTAGTTTTATTTATTTATTTATTTATTTTTGAGACAGTCCCACTCAGTTGTCGCACAGACTAGAGTGCAGCGGCATGATCTCTGCTCACTGCAATCCTTGCCTCCCGAGTTCAAATGATTCTCCTGTCTCAGCCTCCTGAGTAATAGGGATTACAGGTGTGCTCCAGTGTGCCCTGTGAATTTTTGTATTTTAAATAGAGACAAAGTTTCACTGTGTTGGCCAGGCTGGTCTCGAACTTCTGACCTCAAGTGATCCACCTGCCTAGGCCTCCCAAAGTGCCGTGATTACAGGTGTGAGCCACCACACCCAGCAAAGATGTGGTTTTATTTAATATTATATTTATTCATAATGCAATTTTACTTATGTGATACTTTGTCTTAGGATAGAAGATTATCCTAAAAAGACTAGTGAAAGAGTTATGAGAATTTAGAGAGTGATCTGAGGAAACATGTACAAGAGGCATGACTTTGAACAAAAAATAATTGTTAAAACAAATAGTAGTCACCAGATCTGCTATGTTTTCAAGTTCTAGTAAATGTCAGGTATTTTGCAGGGACTTTCTGGAGGAAGAAAAACTTTTACTGAGGCTTAAATGTGAGGAATAGTTAACCAAATAAAATGAAAAATGTTTTAAAATTCTCATTAAATCCTTGTTATTTAAAAGGAGAAGCAGAGCGGTTCACTAGAAAGAATTCATTCTCATGCACAGATCTTGAAGAATCTATAAAATTAGTTTTTTATTACAGGTTCAAGATCCCCCATATAAAGACAATAGCTGGACGTATGTCTGGAGGAGCTCTTGGGCTTGTTTTATTGTATCTTGAACTTCTCAACTGTACCTTTAGCCATGAACATCTGGCTGCACTTAGAAAGTGGTCGTACTAAGGTCACTATAGAATGAATGTTCTTTCCCTTTTAGCCATTTCTCCTTCCACTTTAACTTTTTACTCTCTGTCTCCAGGACCTTTCTGTTATATTAAGCTTCTTGAGTGAAGGGCCTGGTGTTTTGTCTTATTCAGCTCTATTTAAGATAGGTTCATGTGAAATCTGGCACAATGCAGGCTTGGGTGGGATGTGGAGATACTGATATTAAAAATGGAGCATATGAAAGGCAAACATAAATTTCAATTACAGAATAGGCAATTTTCCATTTATATTGTTAACCGTAAATTAATTATACAAGGGACATGGCAAATAGGGTGAAATTCCTCTCATTAATCTGAAGGAAAGCAACTTTTCTTTTTTCTGCTCAGAAATACAGAATCACACATACTGCAAGTGTCCGTGTCCTCTGCCATCTGTGCTTTGTTCTATTCAGGCCCTAAATGGGTTTGATAATGCACATCCCACACTGGGAAGGGAAGCTTACTTTACAGAGATCAATTCAAGCTGATACATAAAATTAACCATCACACTTAATTATGCTACTATGAGGAATTGAGTTAACGAGTTACCAACTATTAAGCCCTTGTCACATTTCAAAAATAAAACCAATTGACTTTGCTGTATTGAAAATATGACTAAAGTTCATGCAATTCTTTCAACCATTCTTATATCAGTATATAATTATGTATTGCTTCAGTTGTACTCATTAAATGTGATACCTCTTATTTTTCATATTTTGTGGTCAAAATTTGTATTGTTTCTTCCCGCAGGGTAATAAAACCTGAGAGGGGCTCAGAAGAAGATATTAGATATTTAATTAAAGCCCAAAGACTTATCTCACTCTCTTCCCTAAAGTATTGAAAGGAAATGAAGATAAGGGAAAAGAACGAAAGAGAAAAATCTCTCACAGAACTGTCCCAGACACAGAGAATGGACTGGATTAATATTTGCTCTCTTTCACTTTGCAGAAAATTGGGGGAAAAATTAGTGTTAAATATACAAGCAGTCATCCACGTGCTAGAATGTGCTATTATGAAAGACAAAAAAAGCCAGGTGTCCCTTTTTAACAGTGATGCTTGAGCTGAATTTTCAAGGAGCTAGTAAGCTAAAATGGTGAAATAAGATTGTAGAGTTATTTGTTTTTTTGTATTTCACACATTTATTAATTGGCTCACATTCATTGGGCATTCTTTTTCTTTAAGTACCATTTTTTTCCCAAATTGGCCTTCTCAATCTCCTTTGTTGCTTTCTCTTTCTCACATTTTGTACCTTCTCTTCTTAGTCTACACACCTTTCCAGCTTGAACTCATAATGTGTCACATTTTTTATCTATCATTGTTATGTTAATGAGTCTTAAACTGATACCCCAATCTATGTATATCTACAGAACTTCAGATCACAAAGTAATTGTCTCATTGACATCTCCATCACATTTTCTTCCGGAAAAATTTAGGAGTGTCAAAAACTCAGAATTCATCCTACTTGTAAATCCTGCTCCTTCCTTGAGAATGCTTGCCCTTGGCAACAATTTACAAATCACCCTATTGTCCGAATATTATCTCAATGATGTTCCCTGCCTCTACTCCATTAGCACAGTGAATGTGACACAGCCTCTCAACATGATGTCATAAATACGAGCTCCGTGAAGGGTGTCATGCAGCCTCCAAAGCTCAATGAATTTTAATAAATTTTCTTGATAGTTAAATTTTCATCAGCTTTTCTGGTTGTTAATCACAAAATAAGCAGAGAAGGCAGTTTAGTGAAAGATAAATTTTATTCAAAAATTGATTTATAAATATTTTGATAAGAGAAATCAAAATATTTTTAAGACAGATTTTCAAAAGTTTTACTTATATATGTAATTTTATATTTCCATTATGTATTTTATATCTATATAGTGCAGACTCTAAAATGTGTTTCCACGTTTTTTTAAACAAATTTTTATTAAGGCTTATTTTGAGTTTTTGCTTAATAAAAATAAGGAAAGTAATGCAGAAGGCATATGGGACATTAAAAAATTAGTGAATCTTGTATTGCCTTAGGATCTTGTAGACAGTTTCAGTAGTATGATAGGTGTAAATATATGCTTTCATTTTCTTATAGAATCTGGGGATTTAAGTATTCTTATATGAATTCTAGATGGCTGACGGGTTGAATTTATTTGGAAAATGCTGTTGCATAGTATGTCCCTGTTTCTCTTCTTAACATTAAGTTTACAAAATTAATTTTAAAGATCTGATTCTTTTTTACTTCCAAATCAGAAGATACTGTAAGTGACATTTGCCACTAAGTGATAGGCCTATAGCTCAGGCTAGATTGTGAGATGTTCAAATTCAACTGGAGCTTTGCTAGTGATTTTAAATAAAATGTTTTAAAATGTATTCAGCACCTACTTTTTTTTTTTTTTTTTTGAGATGGAGTCTCGCTCTGTCGCCCAGGCTGAAGCGCAGAAGTGCCGTGGCATGATCTCGGCTCACTGCAACCTCTGTCTCCCGGGTTCACGCCATTCTCCTGCCTCAGCCTCTGGAGTAGCTGGGACTACAGGCGACCGCCACCAAGGCCGGCTAATTTTTTGTATTTTTTTAGTAGAGAGAGGGTTTCACCGTGTTAGCCAGGATGGTCTCCATATCCTGACCTCGTGATCCGCCCGCCTCGGCTTCCCAAAGTGCTGGGATTACAGGCGTGAGCCACCGCGCCGGGCCTACTCTTTTTTAAGACTAGCCCTCCTTGTGTAGGATACAGAGATGAATGGTACAGTTCTCGACTTCATGACACTCAAGTTAAAGGTGGTATTATTTGGTTTAAAAAGCACAAATACTGACAAATACAGAATAAACTTCTGAGTTTGCTATTACAATAAAATATTATTGGTTAAAATAATGATCTCTTTGCTTTTCTGTTCCTCATCTATACATTCATGAACTGGGAAACAAATTACAGTGAGATTAGATATACGTAAAAGTTAGACAATGCTGATAAAGTACCTATTGCACAGTAGATTCACAGAAAATGTCAGGTTAATTTTCACCTTCATCTTCTCCTTTCTTTTATCATCCATATTTCTCCTTTATTTAATTCAAACAAAAACATTTAATGTATATTATAAAACAAGATATATTACATTGAATAAATAAAAATACAATCAATGACATTTCTCTGCAATGCACATAAAAACCTATAACCTTGCTAGAATTTGGTCTCAACTTTGACTCAAAGTACCAGAATTTTTTTTAAAAAAATAGTGTTTTTGATTGTGTGTGTGTATACATACATACATATATATATATGCAAACACTATATATTTGTACATAATGATAGGAGATCCTTGAATGCAAAGGCAACTAATAGAAAGTGCAGTAAAACTTTTAAAATGTAAAAATATTTTTGATCTGGTCTTCTGTTTCACACAGCTCATGAAAACCACTAAACCCACTGAGATACAGTTTAGAGGCATCCTTTGTTTACACAATTCTAAAATTTTCACCTGGCAATTCAGAAAAGATATAGAGGTGCAGTATAATTTCGCACTATTTCCAAGCCTCTAAGTAAAAACAGAGAAAAACTAGGATAACAGAATCAAAATTCATGAACAATAGATATTGTACAAGTTTTGCCTTGTGCATTATGAAACTCTTGCTTTATGCATATATACTTAGGATTTTTATCTACTTTCAGAAAATTAAACTGTGATAAGTATGTAATATTTTCTCAGTCCTTAATGATATCTCTTTTCCCTAAGTCTACCTTATCTAAAGTTAATGTAGCTACTGCAGCATTCTTTAGGTTAGCCTTTGTCTGGTATGTATTCATCCTTTCCCTTTCAGGCTAAGTCTTCCTTTATTGATTTTCTGGTTTTCTTTCTTTTTTTTTTTTTTTTTTTGCGTAGATCCAAGTGTCTTTCTTTCTGGCCTCATATGCTTTTGTCTAAAGAACTTCTATGTATATTTCTTGTAGATATTATATCTTCTGGCACTAAATCCTCTCAGGTTATCTTTGTATAGTACTTATAACATTGCTTTCAGTTGAGAAGTCCCTCGTTCTCAATTTTTTGGAATAGTTTCAGTAGTATTGGCACCAGTTCTTTTGTATGTCTGGTAGAATTTGGCTGTGAATCCATCTGGTCTATGATAGTTTCTTTTTTTTTTTTTGGTTGCTAGGTTTTTTTTATTACTGATTTATTTTTGGAACTTGTTATTGGTCTGTTTATTTTTTTACTTCTTGGTGTGTTGATATTTTTACTTTCTTCCTGGTTCATTTATGACAGGTTGTGTCTTTCCAGGAATTTGTCCATTTCTTCTAGATTTTCTGTTTTTTGTGAATAGAGGTATTCATAGAAGTCTGTAAGAATCTTTTGTATTTCTGTGATATTGGTTGTAATGTCATCATTGACATTTCTTATTGTGCTTATTTGTATCTTTTCTTCTTTTTTTAATCTCTCTAGTGGTCTATCAATCTTGATTATTCCTTCAAACAGCCAACTTTTAGTGTCATTAATCTTTTGTATGAATTTTGCATCTCAATTTCATCCAGTTCTTCTCTGATATTAGTTATTTCTTTTCTTCTACTAGCTTTGCTGTTGGTTTGGGTTTTCTCTATATATATCTTTTTTTTTGCTTTTTGTTTTTTAGTTTCTCTGAGTGCATTGTTAAATTATTAATTTGAGATTCTTCTGACTTCTTGAGGAAGACATATAGTGCTATAAAATTTCCTCTTAACACTGTGTTAGTGGCATCTCAAAGATTTTGGTAAGTTGTGTCTCTATTTTTATTAATTTCAAAGAACTTTTGATATCTGCCTTAATTTTATGGTTCACATAAGAATTATTTAGGAGCAAGTTTATTATTTTCCATGTATTTGTATAGTTTTTAGAGATCTATATATTTTTATTGCACTGTGTTACAAGAGTGTGCTTGGTATGATTTCAATTTTCTTGAGTTTATTGAGACTTGCTTTATGATCAAGCATGTGGTTCATCTTAGAATACGTTTGCATGCAGATGAAAAGAATATATATTCTGTGGTTGTTGGGTGAAGTATTTTGTAGATGTCTATTAGGTTCTATTGGTCAAGTGTTGAATTAAATTCCAGCCTTTCTTTAGTCTTCCACAGTGATGGTCAGTCTAATGCAGTCAGGGAGGTGTTGAGGTCTCCCACTATTATTGTGTGTCTGTCTCAGATGTCTCTAATTTGTGCTAGATTTTTCTCACCAGTAAAGCAATACCCTTTTAAGTACTCCACCAGATACCCCCTGCAGTGTGAGAATTTCCCACTGTGGATTACGGGAACATCAACCTCTTCTATCAACTTTTTCCCACTCCTCTGTATGAGGAGAACATCAACTGGCCTTGTGTGAACTGCCCGTATTCTCTCTGCTCCTTTGGGCTGGTTCTTTTCTTGGTCTCCTTGAATATGTTCCTCACAGGCATTGACTGATCTGCACTCAGTGGCTGAATCCAGCTATGGACATCTCTACAGATCTCTGGTTCTGTCTCTCTGTGCAGCTCTACCCTCAACCAGTACTCAGTCATGGAAACTGCAGTCACCTTGATCTTTCCAAATGTCCAAGTCTGTCTCTTCAACTTAGAGAGACCTATTGACTCCATGTACATTCCTTCTACAGCACTAAGTGCTGACATTCAGAAGTCTTCAGTTAGTACACTGGGGCTATCATTAGGCTTCCTTTGTCTGTTTTTTTCTCTCTCAGGGTTCAATCTCTTGTGACCCCTATTGTGACTCCAATGTCTGAAAATTGTTCTTTCTTATTATATTTTTGTCCTTTGGTTTTTGTTTTACATATGATAGCAGAGTAAATCCTAGTTCTGTCACTTCATCTTTGCACAAAACAAGTCTGTGGGGAATTTTTAAATTACGGATTCATTTTTTTTCTAAACATAGACCAGCTATTCATTTTATCAACTTTTATCTTCCATCTGTTTTGGTAGCATGTATCTTTCAATGAATTGATCCATTTTGTGTCAGCTGTTAAAGTTATCAATATTGGCCTTTGCCAGATTTTTTTCCTGAATAAATTATGTAAGCCAGTAGCTATTGGTTTGGGGGTTCCCATAAGAGTTTCTAGAGATGAGGCCTGTAGCACTGTTAAGAGTGTGGACCACACTAAAGGTTAGGTGTGGGATGAATGCCCCTCATCACTGTCCTGTGGGAGGCAGTACCAGGCGGAAAGGTAAGCCCTTGTGGGTTGCTGCTATGTGCGAAACTGAGCCAGGCAACCTTTCTGAAATTGGGTCCTCCTCCTAATTGCTAGTCCAGTGTTTCAAATGTCTCCAACCAAAACTGCCAGACACTGCTCAGTCCTATTGGACAAAAGTTTTCTCTCTTTTTTTTTTTTTTTTTTTTGAGACAGGGTCTCACTGGAGTACAGTGGTGCAATTTCAGCTCACTGCAACCTCTGCCTCCCAGGTTCAAGTGATCTTTCCAACTCAGATTCCTGAATTGCTGGGACCACAGGCATGTGTCACCATGCCCAGCTAAATTATATTTTTATTTTTTATAGAGATGGAGTTTTGCTAGGTTGCCCAGGCTGGTCTCAAATCTCAGCTTCTCAAAGTGCTGGGACTACAGGCACAAGCCACAAGACCTGGTCTGGTTTCCTGATTCCTTTAGGCACTGTCCATCCCTGTGTTTCCTGAGTGCTGTCTAATGCCATAAAAACCTCGAATCACTGGTCTTCATCCCCACTGCACCCCAAGTACCCAAAGCCTTTGTCTCCAGGTATTATGCCTTTGAAGAAAAAAAACCATAGCCTTCAAACTTCTTTAGTGCCAGCCACCTTCCCTCTCTACTGTCACTGCCAGTCACTCATTTATCCTGTATGATGGACAGAGGAACCCTTGGCCTTGGCCCTGAGCATAGCCAAGCACTGGGCTATGGTGAGTGACTGGGACTTCAGGAAGGTCCAATCCGTGGTGCAGTGGATATCCCAGAGAAAATACTGTAGTCAAAGCCTCTGAAGCCAGTACAGGAGGAAAGTTTTTTAAATAAGTAATTGGAAAGTGAGGTGGATAGAAGCTAATTACTTCAGTCTAGCCATTGTAGTTTGCTGAATTTTTGTCTAGAGCAAAAATAGCTTTGAAGCACTGTGCACATGCTCTGCTTGACTACTGCTCTCTTGAAAGAACCCGTGACCATGTGGCTCATAGCAGAATTTCCACTGGAACTAACAGCATCACTCTGTCTCCAGACCCTGATGTTCCAGGGCCCTCTACTCTTGTCTTATGCTCCTGCTCTGTGAAAAGTTGAAGAAAGCATTCACCCTGTTTTCCCAAACCCTACCCCCTAGAACGCCATTTCTGTGAAGCCACACAACATCTGTTTCCCAACATCTGCAAAACCCAGAAGAAGAGAGGGAGCTCCAACTGTCTGGGAGCACTATTGGTCTATGTGATTTATTGTGTTTATCTAAAGTGTTGTTGACATTTATTATTTTTATTTTATTTAACAAATTCAAAAGTGCTATGGAATATGTTCACATTATAAAGAAAAACAAGTTAGCAATGGCCTGTGTCCTCTACATGTTAAAAGATAAAATACTGCCTTTCACTCCCAGGCCCAATGTGTGCCTCTTTCTTTGCCCACTGTGCTCCTTCCCAGAGCAACAGCTGCTAGGCAGTTTATTGAAAGCCACATGCTTGCTTACCTTATCACTTCCTACCTGTGCTTCTGGCCCTCAATAATATAGTGTATATTTCTGCAGTTTTGCTTATTTTGAAACTATAGAAATATCATAATCTGTATATTCTTCTGTAATTTTATTTTTCCCTCAAGCTTGTGTTCCTCCTTTTTTCAGATTTGCAACATGTTCTGTTTTCTCCTACGTAAGCCCATATTATTGTCTAGCTCCTGTGCTATCAGTTTTCATCACCACAGGCACATTTTTGAAATTGCTGTTCATAACTTTTGGTATCCCCAAGGGATCATTGTACTGTTCAGTGTAAAATACTTGCAATACCCAATTACATGCTCTTTAATTCCTAGAATTTATCTCACAAACAAAATTTTACCTGAAATACCTGTGGACATTTAACATCTGTTTGTCTCTCTGAAATCAGCTTTATTTTCAGTCTATTGAGAAATTTTGCCTGAACACCTTAAGGGTTACCAAATTTCTCAAAATCCCTGTATGTGCCTTCGACTTACCACTTGTTGAACTTTTTTTGAATATTTTTTAGAGTTCTGATACATTAGAGTCTAGAAATAATAAGAAGAATGTGACCCTACATTAAAAAGTTTTATTATCTTTACATTTTTACTATTGTTCTACTCATTTACAGAATGTCATAAACCATGATAATTTCAGATCACATTCTTAATGGGCAGAAATTTTGAAAAGATTAACAAAACAGATAGACAAGATTATAGCACGTCTGTGTTGAAAAGGTTCTGATGGAAATAACAGTCTCATACTTATCATCCACTCTTTGGTTATTCTATACTCCTCATTTAGGTTTTTTTATTTCATTGGATTTTTTGTCCATAAATATGTCATTTCATTTAATAGCTTCTTCTGTGGGGTAAAATAACTATGAATGTGAGTATCAGAAAACAAGCATTATGGATTTCAGACCTTAACTGATGGACAGGGGTCAGAAATACTGAATGAAAGTACTTTAGGGAGAGTAGAAGGATCATGTTTGCCTGCTTACTCTCTATAATAGTCTATTTAAGATTATTTCAGACTGTAGACCATGTGTAATATAATCATTTACAGGAGAAAACAAATAATGATTCTATATAGCATCTTCATAAGCATCTTCTATGAACACTTCTTTTTTGCTAATTCCAGTATACTATATATTTGTTTAAGGTACTAAATTTTTCCAATGTAAAAGCCTCTTTTTCCATAAGTTTTCTTAGCCAGTGGTTCTCTGAAAATTTAGACTGTATCTTGATGTTAGCAAAGTTATGTATAAGTAAAACTTTAATCAATTGACTTTATCACTCTCCCATTGGTATTCAAAACTCATAAATGCAAGTACATTTATGTATTTTATTCACGGATTTATCTTCCATGCTTAGAATACTGCATGGTACAAATTAGGCATTCAGTAGAAAATGGAGTGCTCATCATTATGAACCTCATCTTCCTTTTAATCTCTTTACCTCTGCCACCCTGAGATTTAATCTTATTATTTCATCTAATTGTCATAACCCTCCCCTCTTGAGTACATCTCCAACATTACCCTATGAGAAAGTGGTGTAGCCTTTGATCAAAATTTAAATCAGCTAACCAAGAAACCATTGCTTTCTAAACAACTACGGTAATTTAATCGAAAATTATATTTGGGTATATTTACTGTTCTAGGCACCATCAACTTTAAAATATGATGTTTAATACATTATCCTTATAACCAGGTGAAAGTTTCAATAAGAATAAACAAATTGATAAAACATAGCCATATGGAGAATGCCAATGATCTCTATTCTGTCTCTCACTCATGATCTAGAAAATGCCTTCCTTGCAACCCATTGATAAAAATGCATGAGTACATTGTATATACAAGACATATTAACAAAATCAAATTTCTCCTTTGATATCTGTTGTCATTTTAAACAGGTCCCCACCCAAAATCAGCTTCTAAGTACATTATAAAAAAAAAACATGCAGCAAACAAACATATGAAAAAAATGCTCAACATCACTAATCATTAGGGAAATGCAAATCAAAACCACAATGAGATGCCATCTCACACCAATGAGAATGGCCATTATTAAAAAGTCAAAAATAACAGATGCTGACAAGAGCATGAAGAAAGGGAAACACTTATATACTGCTGAAGGAAGTATAAATTAGTTCAGCCTTTATAGAAAGTAGTGTACATTTTTCAAAATACTTAAAACATAATTGCCATTAGACTCAGAAATTCTATTATTGGGTATATACCCAAAGGAATACAATTTGTTCTAACATAAAGACACCCACACACCTCTGTTTACTACAGCACTATTTTCAATAGCAAAGGCATGGAATCAACCTAAATGCCCATAAACAGTAGACTGGATAAAGAAAATGTGGTACATATACAACATGAAATACAATAAAGCCATAAAAAATGATATCATGTCTTTTGCAGCAACATGAATAAAGCTGGAGATCGTCATCATAAGCAAACTAATGCAGGAACAGAGGACCAAATACCATATGTTCTCACTTATAAGTGGGAACTAAACAATGAGAACAAATGGACACAAAAAGAGTAGAAGACATGAGGGCCTACTTGAAGCTGGAGTGTGGAAGGAAGAAGACAAAAACGAGCAAACAAACAAACAAAATTATTGTGTACTATATTTATTACCTGGGTGACTAAATAATCTGTACACCAAATCCCCATGACACACACTTTACCTGTACAGCAAGGCTACCACCGACCTCTAAACCTGAAATAACATTTTCTTAAAAGAATTATAGTAAACTTTGTAAAATTGAATCATGTTTCAACCAGCCTCTTTATATATAAATATAATAAGCTGTTGAATCTGTCATATCTTTATCATCTACATCCCTGCATTGAAACACACCAATAATTAAATAATTGAACACAGCAATATACTTCAAGTCCTTTAAAACTGGTAAGAACCAGTTTCTATTGTGAAATAAAAAGTAATGATCATGTAATAAACATTTATTTTACAAAAGTAGATATTGTGGTCCTCATTTCTACAGGAGGTTAGCACAAATGGCACTCTCATTCCTGAGGATTTCTGATAATTACCAGCATCACTTTTTTGCAGGCCTAAAGATTTCCTGACTTTTTTAGAATTGGTCCATCATCAGAAGCTTCTGAAGAGAAAAAATTACCACAATCAGAAAGAATATTTTCCTAATTATTTCATGCATTATTTACTTGTGTATTGAGAATAGTTTCTCTTTTATGTATATATGAATGCACCACTTTTACTACACTTGATTGTAGCCAACAGACTCAGAAGCAAAACCACCTATAAAGTAGTATGTAATACATGTGAGGCCTATTTATAGAATAAAATGTTACTAAATAATTTATAGGATGTACAAAAGAGAATTATAAGATAACTGGCAAATGCTGTTGAGTCCTTACCGTACATATGAACAACCAAAAATATATAAAACAATAGACAAAAAATCATTATATTAATTCAAAAATACATAGTGAAATGACATGACAAAATAATTTATAAATAGGATATAGAAATTGAGTCATTTTTACCAACTAAGTGAACATTATTTCGTAAAAACAATCTCAGTTTGCTGATGTGTAAATTAAATTATGTTTGTTCAGCTTCACATAGTAGAAACTTCGCTTCTGTAAATTGTGAACTCACCTGAGGAACATACCTATGGTCTTACCAATGCTTGCTGTAGAAGTAACATGACATCAGTTTAGGGATCAGGACCTCATAGTGTAGCAGTGTTAGCTCTCACAAGTCTCTGCAGCCAAGTGAAGACTGACTATTATAGAGAAGAGTAAGCCTGGTTCCTTGAGTGTCTTTTTATTGAAACTTTGAAGGCCACAACCATGTCTTTCAAGTTATGGCATTTCAGGAGTCTTCAGATCGGTGTAACAATGGATAATTAGGTTTCTTCAAAAGATTGATTTACCTTGGCAAATCTTAAAAAAATCTTCAAATATCATCTCATTAAGAATCATAAATTTTTCAACAATAAACTTCCAAATGATGACTTTTTATCTAAAAGAATTTTTTAAATTTTAAAAAAAAAATATTTTATCAGTTAATAATTTTAGCCAATATCTTGGAATCTTTGGAAATATTTTGCCTGATGTTGGCTTTACATACATATTGTAACTGTAGAAAACATTTTATTTCTTGTATCGATTTATTTTTGTATTTTAATGCAAAAACTCAATGTAAGAACAACTTTGATGCCCACTTCAGAAGGGAGATTTTCCTTACCTCTCACACTCCAGATAAGGCAGCCTAAAATTTTTCTCTTAACAGTGGGATACATAAATGTAGGGAAAAGAAAGAGAGATCAGACTGTTACTGTGTCTATGTAGAAAGGAAAGACATAAGAGACTCCATTTGGAAAAAGACCTGTACTTTAAATAATTGCTTTGCTGAGATGTTGTTAATTTGCAGCTTTGCCCCAGCCACTTTGACCCAACCTGGAGCTCACAAAAACATGTGTTGTATGAAATCAAGGTTTAAGGGATCTAGGGCTGTGCAGGACGTGCCTTGTTAACAAAATGTTTACAAGCAGTATACTTGGTAAAAGTCATCGCCATTCTCTAGTCTCAATAAACCAGGGGCACAATGCACTGCGGAAAGCCGCAGGGACCTCTGCCCTTGAAAGCTGGGTATTGTCCAAGGTTTCTCCCTATGTGATAGTCTGAAATATGGCCTCGTGGGATGAGAAAGACCTGACCATCCCCCAGCCCAACACCCGTAAAGGGTCTGTGCTGACGTGGATTAGTAAAAGAGGAAAGCCTCTTGCAGTTGAGATAGAGGAAGGCCACTGTCTCCTGCCTGCCCCTGGGAACTGAATGTCTCGGTATAAAACCTGATTGTACATTTGTTTAATTCTGAGATAAGAGAAAAACCGCCCTATGGTGGGAGGCGAGACATGTTTGCAGCAATGCTGCCTTGTTATTCTTTACTCTGCTGAGATGTTTGGGTGGAGAGAAACATAAATCTGGCCTATGTGCACATCCAGTCATAGTACCTTCCCTTAAACTTAATTATGATGTAGATTCTATTGCTCACATGTTTTTGTCCTTATTATCACCCTGCCCTCCTGCTACATTCCTTTTTGCTGAAATAATGAAGATAATAATCAATAATAACTGAGGGAACTCAGAGACCGGTGCCGGTGCAGGTCCTTGGTATGCTGAGCACCGGTCCCCTGGACCCACTGTTGTTTCTATATAGTTTGTCTCTGTGTCTTATTTCTTTTCTCAGTCTCTCGTCCCACCCGACTAGAAATACCCACAGGTGTGGAGGGGCAGGCCACCCCTTCACATAATTCTCTGCATGGCATTCCCCAACCCCTCTCAGGGATATAAGAGAGAAACACTACGAAGCATCAGTCCAGAGAACCCCTGTATCAGACCAGAGGAAGGAAGTTGTATTCAGGTAAATCAAAATTTATTTCTACTTGAGAAAATAATTAGGATGGAGAACTTTCCACCACAAGCACATTAAGTCCAGTACTTATGGAGTATGAAGGGATGCTACCCTAAAACTTTGAGAAACCCCCTTCTGATTACAATTGAACTGGATATCTTTCAAACAATCTGAGAGACCCAATCTATGGACTTTGAAGAAGCAGCTCAAATCTGTGCACAGAAGTTTTTAGAAAAGTGCCTTGGTTTCACAAAGAATAGTGTGGGTCAGTGGAATGAGACAATAACACTGAAGAGCTGGAGGTGCAAAATGCTAAGAAGAGTGAAGGAAAAGGAGGGAGCCTCACCTTCTAGGATGCCTCACTTTGTACATAGGTAAAGCTGGACTATTCCACCACAAGGTGTCTATCACGTTGCTGTGTTTCTCTGAGATCTGGGAGTTTTCCAGAATGGAGCCATTCAGAGACAGGACAGGAGGTTTCACTCTGGGGGCAGAAGGCTGAGACTTAGGAGGAATAATCTCTATGGGAAAGATGCAGCTGAGCAGATAGTTGGATGCAGGTGCATAGTGGAAGAAGAGAGAGGAATAAACTTTTAAAAGCTGCAAGTCCCAGAAATCTCCTGACTCTCCAACACCAGTGAATACAGTCATCCAAATGGGGGAGAAGAAGCCAAGGGAAACCTGGAAGAAGGAAATTGGAGATGAGAAGTTGCAAGGGGAAGCTCTTACTGCTCACTAGACAGAGCAAACTCTTAGCCTCAGAAATAAGGAGCAAAGGGAGAAAGTCTGGCTCTTGCTCTGGGACCAACACAGTAGAGAATTATGCAATAACTCCTCCAGACCCCTCTAACATTGCTGGAAGGGACGTCTGTGAGGTTTTCTTGCTCCTATAGTTTCTCTAGAGATTCTAAATTCCAAATTCCATGTCTGAACCAGGAGCTTTCCAGTTTTCTCTGTATATATATATATTTTTTTTTACCAGAGCAGATAAACATACATTACCCCATGCATGCTAAGGTCTTGAAACCGTGTTTTTAAAATTTATGAAATGAATCATGCAAGAATATATAGAGAGAAATGTAAATAAAACAAGCTTGCAAAAGTTTCAGCATTAATCATTATGTCAGCGTGCTCTCTGACCTGCTTTTTGATAGTCATTGCCTATTGTGCTAGAGTCATGTAGACCCTAGATTATAGTTCCTCTTAATTGTCCTATTCTGCAGACTGGTGAAACTACAGACTCTGCTTGTCTGAAAGAGCCCATAAGCAATGGACTCACCAAATAATCCAGTCTCCACATCCTAAGGAGTCCATCCCTCTTGCTCCAAATAATCAACAACCCTAATTTTCCAGCTTTTCACATTTCACAATCTCCTTAAAAATCCCAGCCCAGAACTCTTTGAAGAGATGGATTTGAGGGTCTCCTCCAATCTCCGCATTCAGCACCCTGTGATCATTAAACTTGTTCTCCCTTGCATCTCTGCTATCTCAGTGTGATTGATGTTACTTTACAGCAGCCTTTTACTGTGCAACCTGTTGGTCCTATATCAGTCTGACAATTCTAAATTCCAGCCCAGCCTTAAACGTTGTAATGAAGGTATATAATATTTATCAAACAAGGAAGATAAAAGATATTTATTGACAGTTTGTTAGCTAGAGTTACACATTTTAAACATTTAGATATTTGTAGGTGAGTCTCAGTTTATTTTCTTGCACTGGCTTCATAAGTATGAGAAGGTGTCTGTGAAAAACATTAGATGCTGGTGAGGCTGTGGAGAAATAGAAAAACTTTTACACTGTTGGTGGGAATGTAAATTAGTTCAACCATGTCGAAGACAGTGTGGTGATTCTTCAAGGATATAGAACCGGAAACACCATTTGACCCAGCAATCCCATTACTGGGTATATACCCAAAGGAATATAAACTATTTACTATAAAGACACATGCACGTGTATGTTTATTGCAGCACTGTTTACAATAGCAAAGAAATGGATCCAACCCAAATGGCCATCAATGAAAGACTGGATAAAGAAAATGTGGTACATATACACCATGGAATATTATGCTGCTATAAAAAAGAATGAGATCATGTCTTTTGCAGGAACATGGATGAGGCTGGAAGCCATCACCCTCAGCAAACTAACACAAGAACAAAAAACCAACCAAACACTGCATGTCCTCATTCATAAATGGGAGTTGAACAATGAGAACACAGGGACACAGGGAGGGGAACAACACACTCTGGGTCCTGTCAGAGCATGAGGGACAAGGGGAGGGAGAGCATTAGGACAAATAGCAAATGCATGTGGAGCTAAAAACTTAGATGATGGGTTGATAGGTGCAGCAAACCACCATGGCACATGTATACCTATGTAAAAAACCTGCACATTTTGCACATGTATCCCAGAAATTAAATTAAAATTTTTTCACAAGTGGAAAAAAAAAGCATCTCTTGACCAAGAGACAGGTCTTCTAGGGAGGAATTCAAATTTTCAATCTCTCATCACATTGTGTACCTATAAGTGCCACTTCTTCTTGGGCTGAATTTTAACTCATTGTTGGAGAGTCACATTCAGAATGCCATTCTATCATAGGACTTACATGTGACATGAATGTGTTTACTCCATGTTCTATCCAAATAAAGTCTCCCACTTCTCTTAATTGTTGTGCATCTATATGCATATTCAGTTAGAAATTCATGGAAACCTGTCCAGTAAGCTAAGCTGTTGTTGTCCTGCCTTCTGGTATTGAGTTTCTTGCCTCAAAATGGTTTGTGTCAAAGCCAGGGGCTACAAATTTGCCTATGTGAAGAGGTTAATGAAAATCACATCTGCTGCCTAATATGTGGGAAAGTAGGGCATTCTATTATTCTTACTCTCCCAAATCCCTTAGTTCCCTTTCAATTAAAATTAAAGTTTTCTAGTGCTGTAAAAACATATCTAAAAAAAAAAAACAATTCTTGCTGAAAGGTTAATGGTTAAAAGGATGAGCTGGGTTCAATAACTGAAAACATTTTTTGACACCTAACTTTTTCCAGGCTATTAACTGTTCCCATGTCAGCTTCTTTGATTATTACTTTTTTCTTCATTTTAATATTTAGTTTGCAAATGGTTTTTAAATTGCATTGCAACAAAAAAAGGCAAAATAGCAGAAATATAATAAAGAATATTTTTGTAAAACTAATTTATTTTTCAACTCTACCAAAATTGCCTAATTAAAATGAAAAATAGGCATTAAATTTGTGGTTGGAAGACATGAACAAGAAATGTGTTCCAATTTGTGACAATTTTTTTTTTCAGAAAGTGTTGAACCTACATGAAGATTTCAGCAAAGAATTAACTAAAATAATAACACTAAGCCATTTACTGCAAGTAAGTACAGTTACAAAGATTCAGAAATGCAGGAGATCAATATTAGCCTAAAGCTACATGCCAATGCCTACATCATTCAGCTCATTTCATCTCATCATGTAGGTAATGTATCATCTCACATCATCATCAGCTGGATGTTTCATAGTCCCTTAAATTCAACATGTTCTGTTTTAGCTCATCATTTATTGTATATCTCAAATCCTGAGGCACACGGTCATCTCCTGGGACCCAATAAGACATTCTAAATTATTATTTGGGGTTATTTGGTTAATTAGTGAATTATCTTAGAGTGATAAAAAACAAAAAAGGAAATATTACTTCCTGTTTGCCTTCTCTGAGAATACCCTGTAGCTGTATTAAAGGAGCATTTATAGCTCACCCTGTATTCCCAGCATTTTGGGAGGCTGAAGTCAGATGATAATTTGAAGCCAGGAGTTAGAGACTAGACTAGGCAATATAGCCATATCCTGTCTTTAAGAAAAAAGTAAATAAAAAAATTAACTAGGTGCGATGGCATAAGCCTCTAATCATTACTTTGAAAGCTGAAGTGGGAGGATTACTTGAGCCCTGGAATTCAAGGCTGCAGTGAGCTAAGATTGTGCCACTGCACTCCAGAGGGAGAACTTTTCTCTAGAATTAATAAATAAATAAATACGTGTGCACTTAGAGGAATGCCTGTGCCTTGGAAGAAACTCAAGAAACAGTATTAATTGAATCTTAGTTAATTTCTAGCATACGTTTACCTTGAAAAGATTGATGATAGATATGCTTCATTCAGGCAGTGGTTTTTACAATCAAAGTGTGATGCTAATTTAATCAGTGATGAAAAGGTGTGTACTAAATATTGCATAAACCTAATCATCTCTGTTTCCACCTTTCTTAATACCTTAAATATCCCTGAAGAGGTGAGTATGGTCTTCAAAGATCCATATAAAAGGATGTAGAAGAGACAAGCTCATTTTTCTCCAGAGGAGAAAAACAGCACTTAGAGTTACCTGCATTCAGGTGACCTCTGAAAGTCAACTCTGCAGTGGATGAGCTCCTGATCTTGAGGAGTATTTAACAGAATTTTTTTTGGAAGAATAACTGCAGGAAACATTCATAGAATTCTGGGATGAGTGCAACTTATATGGAGAAAATTATTTCTCCCTTCCTTTACCAAATAATAAATTACAGTGATAAAAATATCTGTCTTAAACCTACTTAATTATATTATTTGTAACTCATATTATTACTATTCATTTTATGACACGAGGTTATTAATTGTTGTTATTTTGTGTATTCCATAAGTGTTCAATATATTTTTGAAAAATTTTAAATATCTAATGTTTGCTGCAATAGATTTGTATGCATCGTGAATATATGGAATTCACATTAAAACATATGTGTGTGCACTGCATGTACTAATATTGGTACACTGAATTAAGTAAAAAGAGACAATTACTGAATACTGTAAATGTTGTGCTTTCATAACGTTAAGCTTTTAGACATGATTTTAAATTACTAAGGCAATGATGAGATAAAATGGTGATACTAAAGGAAATGAGAAGGCTCTCCAAAATACCCTAGCTTAGAAATCAAAACACAATTGTTGAACAGATAAATGTATAAGGCATGATTTGATACATGATACGAGTTGTCATTTTAATTGAAGCTTATGTCAGAAGAAACTATGAAAAATTTCTGGAAACGGCTCAGATGACCTCTGAAAAATATTTGCAATTCTTAAATTTTCACTTTTGGCACTTAAATTCAGCAGTGTTTAGTAAAAGAGAGTAAGGTAAAGGACTTCAAACTGCCAAAGCAAAAATTACAGTTTATATTGGTCAGGGTTCTCCAGAGAGACAGAACAATAGGAGGTATACATATATATATACACATATATACATATGTATACACATATATATGTATATATGTATATATATATATATATACACACACACACACACACAAAGAGAGAGAGAGAGAATACTTACCATTGTGTTACAATTGCCTACAGTATACCATACAGGACATGCTGTACAGGTTTGTAGCCTAGGAACAATATGCTATACTGTATACCATAGGTGTGTAGTAGGCTATACCATCTAGGTTTTTGTAAGTATAATCTACGATGTTCAAACAATAACAAAACTGCTGAATGCATTTCTCCGATCATCTATCTGTCCTCACTCTACACATGACTATACAGGAGAGGAAGTCTACTAGGGGAATTGGTTCCCTTGATTATGGAGTCTGAGAAGTTGAATATAGCCTGCCATTAAGCTAGTGTCCTGGAGATACCAATATCGTGGCTGAGTTAGAATCAGCTTCAGCAGAGAGAGAGAGAGAAGAAATTGCCTTCTCTCTGCCCTTTTTCTTCAGTCTGAGCTCCCAGCTTGATTGGATGGTGTCCACCCACATTGAGGGCTGCTGTTCCCCGCTCAGCTCACCAACTCACATGTCTCTCTGGAAACACCTTCACAGACTCACCCAGAAATAATGTTTCACTAACTCTCCATGTATTACTTAATCCAGTCAAGTTGACACTTAAAATTAACCATAATACCATAGTAATGTAATTATACATGTTTCAGTTTTTAAAAAATTGACTATATGTCAGTTCAGAGTTTGAGTAGCCAAAGGAAGAAGTTAATGTAATCCGTAAGAAAAATAAACCCAATATCTTTCATTATGTATTTTCTCTACTAGTGAACCTAAACTGGTTTAATTGCTGTTTTTTGTTTATCTGGTTAATTGGTTTTCTTGCAGGGTTGATTTTTATTTTAAAGAGATGGGCTTCTGGGTCCCTCTCTAAAAACACATCATAGTGCCCTCTGTCCATCTTCTCATATTTTTTTAGCCAATGTAGGTTTTGTACTTCTCTTCCATAGTCATTCAGTAGTTACTTGAAACAGAAATAGGGACAACCTTGATTTATTCTAGACAACTTAAGACTAAAACCTGAGTTTCATATCGACATCTAGGGAATAGGTTCTTGAACAGATTTGCATTATGTTATGGGCCGGAACTACGAATAGAAGGGGTTGTGAGTCATCTAGTCAGTAATGTCTGCTATAAAGCCTGAAGGCTCTCCTTGTGTATGAATTTTTTTATTTTTGTTACAGAGGAAATAGTTTGTTCTGCTTTAATCAGCACTGTCGAGAAGAAAATATAGCTATCACATATCACCACATGTACATAGATTTTCACCAACCCAGACCACAAAATGACATGTTGCTCTTCCTTCTTCAGAAACATGAATTCTGGAATCTCGCAAGTCTTCCAGAGGGAACTCAGCTGCCCCATCTGCATGAACTACTTCATAGACCCAGTCACCATAGACTGTGGGCACAGCTTTTGCAGGCCCTGTTTCTACCTCAACTGGCAAGACATCCCAGTTGTTACTCAGTGCTTTGAATGCATAAAGACAACACAGCAGAGAAACCTCAAAACTAACATTTGACTGAAGAAGATGGCTTCCCTTGCCAGAAAAGCCAGTCTCTGGCTATTCCTGAGCTCTGAAGAGCAAATGTGTGGCACTCACAGGGAGACAAAGAAGATGTTCTGTGAAGTGGACAAGAGTCTGCTCTGTTTGCTCTGCTCCAGCTCTCAGGAGCACCGGGATCACAGACACTGTCCCATTGAGTGGGCTGCTGAGGAACACCGGGTAAGTGATGCCTCTGAAGATCTATTTCTCCAAAGGACACATGAAATTCCTGTGGGTCTATTTTCTTGGAGATTGGATGATGCCATCTCTGTGTCCCTTTAAACATCTCTGTTATGAGCTTCCTTGGCTTCAACCCTCTCAGATTTGACAAACATGAAGAGAAACAAAGGAAACACTATTTCCTATAGGCTGATTTGTGTCTCATTCTGGGCCCCTTCATATATCAGAGTGTGAATGATACTTTATTGTCTTCATTGGTGCTCCAATTCCTGGCTCTTTTGCAGGAGAAGCTCCTAAAGAAAATGCAGTCTTTATGGGGAAAAGCTTGTGAAAATCACAGAAACCTGAACATGAAAACCACCAGAACCAGATGCTAGAAGGTTAGCCTTGTAATACTCTACCTTCTCTAGGAACTTGCACTGGGCAAATGGGTGACTCTTAAAATAGGAACTTGATCTCAACCCATAATGTATCTGGAATTCAATAAAAAAGGAAAAAACAGTTGAGAAAAAAATAGCCTATTTTTTATGTAAGATATTGTGATTCTTTGATAGGATTTCTAACCAAACCACAGATGTTACCCAAGCATGCTCATCTGTTTCCATACAAACCTATAGCAATACACCAACAAACACAAGAAACTGGGCCATTTCACACTGCTCCCCATGGGCTGCCTGAATAAATCCTGGGCACAAGAGTTATTTGGCAGTCATGGAAATTTTAGGTGAAACTTCTGAAGCTGAGTCAGCATGAATTTGAATCCTGGTGGGCAAGTATATTTGAAATGTGAATCAAATTTCAGACAGAAGGAGCAACAATGCAAATTTAGGGAAAGCATGAAATTAAGCATCTGAACTAATTAATATTGAATAAATCATAATGCATAATGGGAAAAGTGAGAAAGGTAGACTTGTCTTGATGAAGACATAAATATGCAAGAAATATGGCAACTAGTATTTAATATAAGGAGCACTCTAAGGACTTGAGAAGAATTCTAGAAATGTTTTCTCTTTGTAGATGTTTCTCTTGAGGGTATGATATCTAATATTAATTCATTAATTCATTCTAATATGAATTCATTGAAAATATTTTATAAGTACCTAGTCTATGTCAAATATCAACTTAGAAAATTAAGTAGTAAAGAAGGAAGAAAACATACAAATCTTGCAATGGAAATGAGAGAAGCAAATGGCCATCATGCAGATATGTGAAATACACACATACACATATCACACAGATACACATATATATTCCTCATATATATCCATATATACATATATATGAAGAATATATGAGTATATATATGAGAAATATATATATGAGTATATATATGAGAAATATATATATGAAAAGAATTCTAGGTATAGAAAACAGCACGTGCAGTAATATTGCATTTGCATTTATTTGGGATGTTGAGGAACCACAAAGCAGCCCATGCTGCAGATTAGGGTGAGGTTGGAAGAGAATAAATGAAACCAATTAGACTATGTTATGCTGGGTGAAATGCATTGAGCTGACAACGCTAGTATGAGGTCATTTCATCATTTCTCATATAATGGGTTTACATAACTTGGCCCAATCCTCCAAAATAGAAATAATGGTTTTCTATCTAGTCAATATAGCTCAATAGTTTAATTCTTAAGCAAAAACTGTGTTTTCTTTGTATAAATGTGGGTTGGAAGAGAGAAATCCATTTTTATATAACTATCTTAGAAAACATTTTATCATTAATCAAGTAAACATAACTGAAACAACTATGTTGTTATTAACGCAGAAAAAAGGAGAGGAATAACATTTTGTGGAATCTGAGAACTGACAAGACTGAGGGCTAAAATATTGGATATTCAGGATGCTAAGAGGAATCAGTGAAATTCAAAAGAAGATGGATACAACATTTCTATTTTGACCAATTGTCACTGCAGGATTATGTGAGTTTAAGGATAGAAGTAATCAGAGCTGAATATCAGAAGATGCCTGCATTTCTCCATGAAGAAGAGCAACATCACTTGGACAGGCTGCAAAAGCAGGGCAAGGACATTTTTCAGCAACTCAATGACAGCAAAGCCAGAATGGAACATGCGAGGGAGATTTTAAGAGGAATGTATTAGGAGCTGAAGAAAATGTGCCATAAAGCAGATGTGGAGCTACTCCAGGTACAGACTGACCATGGGGTATCGGGATGTTGAACATTCACATGCATGGGTGTTTTTCCTCTCTCCTGAAATCCATCTCCCCCTTTACTTCCATGATTTGTTTCCAAAAACACATTTCTATAACTAATGCTGCTTTGATGGGAGGGTATAGCCTCTCCTAGTAATTCTACCAGACCTAAGGTCCCTCCTACTTTATCCACCAGCAACAAAACTTTGTGGGACGGTCAAGGTAACAGCCCCCCAAAATATTTACCATCAAAAGTCAATGGTATATTTAGGATTTTTGAAAGCAGATAAAATGAGAAGTGATTCGTTGGCATTTAGATTAATTTGGATGCATGGCACGATGGAGAAGTTGGAAAATCTAGGATCACACTAGTATTATTTTGGGGTCCACTCATTTTGGCAACAGGGCTTAGGGAAGATGACTGAGTAGCATTTCTATGGTTACAGCAGAGCGTAGACTCTGTGGGCCTCCTCTCCCTTCACTTATAAAGAGAATGTCTTCAAAACTTAGACTTTATCAGAACATCAATTCATGACAATATGATAGACTGGGATTTTCACAAGAAAAGAAGAGAAAATGCTTTCCAGGAGGGACAATGGTAGGGAAATAATATCTTCAGAAACTGCCTCCAAATCTCACACTGAACTTAGTGGAAGATGCATCTTGTGGAAAACACTAAGCCTTTATCTTTTTATAGGCTTTTGGAGACATATTACACAGGTGAGAGTGTACCAATATTTTAGTAGATGTTTGTTCAGTTTCCACAAATATCAAGCAGGAACTTTGATATTGAAGGCATAATTGATTCAGCTATTGATACTACTTTATCCTGGTTGTACTTTATCCATCCCCCACCCCATGTAGTCATCTATTTTGTTACCATACTTAGTTATTTTATTAGGCAGTTCAATGAAAGTTCTGCAAAACCATAAAAACAAAAAATAAATAAATGAAAGAATAAAGAAAGTGAACATCTCTATTCCTAATTTCCTTTTTGTTGCTCAACAGCCTGCATATTTGAAGGAGAAAATGTTACATTTTCTACATGGCTACAAAGCCAACCAGGGGAAGCCAGAGAGAAAAGTGTTTGAAAGTATCTTAGCAGTGAAAAGTGTTGATGATTTCTTGTTTATATTTAAATATATAATTCTGAAAAACAGATGAAACAAACTGTCAGAATGTTAGAACTGTGTAGGCCTCCAGAGAACCTGAGCTATAAAAGGCAGATCCCCCTGCCTGGATCAAGTTTCAACACCCTGGCCTTGAAAAGGAAGCAACGAATACAGCAGCCTTCAAATAACCCCACTTTCCCAGACAGTGATTTCAGGGAAGCCTGGTGAGTTCTGGAACCAGAATTTCACTTTTGAATATTCTCCTAGCCTTAAGACTAATGATCCTTACTAATTTGGAGCAATAAGAAGAAAGATCAGATTGAATTCTCACTCAGATAGACTTTTCCATCATGCCTGAAAATCAGGAACTGTGAATAATAATGAATTTGAAAAACAAAATGATAATTTTGGAATTAGCGAATGTGTGGGTTAAAGGGATTCTCATGAAATGTCTTTTGAATAAATGTAGTGATTTTTATGTGTGTGTGTGTTCTTTCTTTTTCTGTGGATGTAGTAACTGCATCTTTCTCCTTGCAGGGGTGAGTCCCTGCTGCTGCAAGTGCCCAAGCCTGTGAGCTCAGTGCAGGGCCCATCACTGGACTGCTGGACAGTCTCAATGGATTCAGAGGTGAGTGTCAGCCCATTGGCAGAATTTCTACAATGAATTACTTCTTGTTAGAATCATGAGCATAATATTTTACCCTTCATCAAATCCGTTTTTCATTTCAGAAGGAAGTGAACAATATGACTATGCAACCCTTTTATATCTGTGTTTCTATTTATACTCCAGTTTATAACTTGAAGGGTAAAACATAGTGAAAAACAATTATGTTCTGGGCTCACATGTATTGAGTTATATATTGGGTAAAAGGAATGACATAAGAAATAAAAAATTGAGTAAGTGTACTAATGGTGAGATGGAAGTTTAATAATCCAATGTTACATAAAAATTGTACATTCCTTTACAGTATTTTATTTGAATTGTTAAAAACGGTTATCTGGGAAATAGAGTTCACCACAATTTGTTGGAGTATTTGTATTTACTTACAATAAATATATACTATTGATATAATGTAAAAATTTGACTTAATACTATGTAAAAATAGAAATGATAATTTCAGTTTAGTTACAACATGCAGAGTTATGTGTAAAATCTAAAATTCAGTTTCTGTCTAGAGCTAGCAGGGAAGTCCACAGAGTGACCGGTAAAAGATTTTGCAGAAATCTGCCTTAAGTTATCACTTATAATTTGGACATATGGACTTTTATCCAGTTATCTAGAGTAGTGCTTGAGTAAGTGAAACTCTTCCCATTCTTGCCAAAGTTATATCACTAGTATTTAAGAACAAGAAATATTTTAATAATAATGACCTTGATAGCTAAAGGGCAGTCAGGGCATATAATATCTCACTTTCACATTGGAAATTGGATTAAAACAGGCTGGTCTTATATTTGACTCTCAATTTTTGAGTTTCCAAATTTTCAATGTCTGTTTTTAGGGTTTTGTTTTTCCTGTAGAGAGTATTAATCTTCCTTGTCCTTTATTAAATGTTATAATCAAAATTATCCTGTTCTTGTAACTTCAAATTCCTTGGTAAAGTAGATACTTGGTAGAACAATTTTTCCCTCAAGAATTTTAACTTTTATTATTTACACGTGTCCATACTTTTTTTAAAAAAATTTGCAGTTGATATTACTCCGCATCCTGAAAGAGCCAATAGTCATATCTTCCTGTATGGAGACTTAAGAAGCATGAATGTTGGATGTGACCCTCAAGATGGTCCCCGCATCATGGCAACATCTGAATGTTTTCCTGAGTAGAGCGCTCAGACTTTCACATCTGGCAAATATTATTGGGAGGTTCATGTGGGGGACTCTTGGAATTGGGCTTTTGGTGTCTGTAACAATTATTGGAAAGAGAAGAGACAGAATGACAAGATAGATGGAGAGGAGGGACTCTTTCTTCTTGGATGTGTTAAGGAGGACGTTCACTGCAGGCTCTTTACCACACCCCACATGTGGTGCTATATGTTCCAAGGCCTAGCAGCCGAGGAGGATTATTCCTGGATTGTGAAGGTAGAACCATGAGCATTGTTGATGTTGATCAAAGTTCCCTTATATACACCATCCATAATTGCTCCTTCTCACCTCTTCTCAGGCCTATCTTTCACTGTAGTCACCTCTGACCAGAGACAAATTGGTAATGTGTCCACATGCTGTGTAAACCCCTTTATCGCAGGAAGTCCTCCTTTTTGTGCCTCATCAAAGAGGACAAATAAGTTATATTTAATGTGTTTAGTTGCCTTCTAATGTCATCACAACTCATTAATACGGTTTCTATTAAATATGGTGAAAAAACTAAAACCATGTGTATTGGTTCTTTGTTTAATCATTTTTGGAAAATCATTACCCATGATGGATGGCATAGAATATATTCTCTGGTTTTTCATTATTTCTGAATGTCACAAAGTGAAATCAGAGATGACAGAGGTGTCTAAATGAAGATAAAATCAACGGAAGAAAGTAGGAATCTTGTGCTTCTTCAAAAAACTTGGAGTAAAAAGACTCAATGGTAACCTGGAAATATTTTCTTTCTCTTCATCTAACAATATTATACTTATTCATGTGTTTTATTTCTGAATCCATACCTTGAGGTAATCTTATTTGACCTCCTATGCTGTGCTTATCTTTGTAAATCTCATCTTATACACAAATGCTCATGCATTATTAAGAGTGCTGTTCTAAAGTGAAATTTACAAGGTGATCAGGACAATGCTGGATCAATTAAATATTCAAATGGAAATGACTGAATACTGACCCCTATCTCAAACCATACAGAGTTCATTTCCACATGGATTCATGTTGTGAAGGTGAAGGGAACATAATAAAATATTCTCATAGAGAAAGATTTCTTGACCTGGACAAAAAAGTAACAATTAAGAAGGAAAATTTAGTTAGTTTATATCAAAAATAATGACTTCTGTGTTTCAAAATATACCATCCAAGAATTAAAATGGAAACCAAGAGTGGAGAAAAATATTTATCTCAACTTATATGAAACAAAATGCAATACATGTGATTAATGAATGTCATAAATAAAAGAAAATGAACCCGATATAAAATTGGGTAAAATATTTGAACAGGCACTTCATAAAATTGGAGGCATAAATAACTGGCCAAATATGAAAAAGGGATTACTTTTATTAGTCCTCAGAATTATAAAAATTAATCCACAAGTTGAACTACAGGCCTTCATAAAAATTAGCAAAATTTAAATACACATAATAACCCCATCAACATGTGGGCAAAGGATATGAACAGACGCTTCTCAAAAGAAGACATTTATGCAGCCAAAAGACACATGAAAAAATGCTCATCATCACTGGCCATCAGAGAAACGCAAATCAAAACCACAATGAGATACCATCTCACGCCAGTTAGAATGGCGATCATTAAAAAGTCAGGAAACAACAGGTGCTGGAGAGGATGTGGAGAAATAGGAACACTTTTACACTGTTGGTGAGACTGTAAACTAGTTCAACCATCGTGGAAGTCAGTGTGGCGATTCCTCAGGGATCTAGAACTAGAAATATCATTTGACTTAGCCATCCCATTACTGGGTATATACCCAAAGGATTATAAATCATGCTGCTATAAAGACACATGCACACATATGTTTATTGCGGCACTATTCGCACTAGCGAAGACTTGGAACCAACCCAAATGTCCAACAATGATAGACTGGATTAACAGAATGTGGCACATATACACCATGGAATACTATGCAGCCATAAAAAAGGATGAGTTCATGTCCTTTGTAGGGACATGGATGAAGCTGGAAACCATCATTCTCAGCAAACTATCACAAGGGAAAAAAAACCAAACACCACATGTTCTCACTCATAGGTGGAAATTGAAAAATGAGAACACAAGGACACAGGAAGGGGAACATCACACACCGGGGCCTGTTGTGGGGTGGGGAAGTGGGGAGGGATGGCATTAGGAGATATACCTAATGTTAAATGACTAGTTAATGGGTGCAGCACACCAACATGGCACATGTATACATATGTAACAAAACTGCACGTTGTCATGTACCCTAAAACTAAAAGTATATAAAAAAAGAAAGAATCAATGAAAGTTATTCATGACTGGAGGGGTATAAACTGAAATACTTTTTGGCAAACTGACTATGAGCATTCCTTATTGGCTAGATACTCTAATTCTAAAATATATTCCACTGACTGCCTATGTATATTTTGAGATAAACATAATGTTGATCTTTGCATCAATTTTCATAGTAGCTCCAAATTGGAGACAAAATAAATATTCATCGACAGTAGAATTGCTAAATAAATTGTGATCTCATCATACAAAATAATTCTATAAAACAAAGAGAATAACACCAAAATGCAACAAATTAATGAATCCCAAGTTTAAGAAAGAAGTTTAAGAAAAAGAATTGAAACACACAAATGTTATATTACAGTGTTTTATTTATATAAATTGCAAACTCCATTAATTAGTATTAGAAGTTAGAATGTTGAATAATATTTTAGGAAGGTAATGGTTAGGAAACGTAAAAATAACCAGGATAAGATCCAGGCAGCATTGCAATGAAGGAGAGAAACTATGAGTTTTTTCATGAAGAAGAGAATGATATATGTATTGTTTAATATTGTAACATGTAAGAAAAGTTTGAAATAGATAAATTCAATTTTATGCCTAATTTTTCAAATGTGTAAATATATAATTTCTTTTATGATAAGTTAATATCAATCAACATTAAGACATAAACCATGCTTTTTTGTTATTATACTTTAAGTTCTGGGGTACATGAGCAGAATGTGCAGGGTTTTTACATAGGTATACATGTGCCATGGAGGTTTGCTGCACCTGTCAACCCGTCATTTACATTAGGTATTTATCCTAATGTTGTCCCTCCCCTGGCTCCCCACCCCCCGACAGGCCCCGGTGTGTGATATTCCCCTCCCTGTATCCATGTGTTCTCATTTTTCAACTCCCACTTGTGAGTGAGAACATGCAGTGTTTGATTTTCTGCTCTTGTGTTAGTTTGCTGAGAATGAGGGCTTCCAGCTTTATCCACGTACCTGCAAAAAAAATATGAACTCATCCTTTTTCATGGCTGCATATTATTCCATGGTGTATATGTGCCACATACATTTTTTTACAGTCTGTGAAGAGATTCACAGAATATTACATTTAAAGACCTGTAATTACCTCCTCATCTCTCCTGTGTAACACAATCTTAAACTACAAAGGAAAAGATAAGGAATGTCATTGCCCTTGGGACATTGGTAAAACTAATTGAACTTTGGAAACGGGAAAAGAAAAAAGAGGAAAAAAAAATATGTGGAGGATTTAGACCTACATCTGAAGGTGGGACAGGATCACTAAGAAGGTTCCAGCCAGGCGTGGTGGCTGACGCCTATAATCCCAGCACTTTGGGAGGCTGAGGCGGGCGAATCACCAGGTCTGGAGATCGAGACCATCTTGGCTTTAGTCTCTACTAAAAATATTAAAAAAAAAAAAATTAACTGGTCATGGTGGCTGGTGCCTGTAGTTCCAGCTAACTTGGGAGGCTGAGACAGGAGAATGGCGTGAATCCGGGAGATGGAGCTTGCAGTAAGCAGAGATCATGCCACTGCACTCCAGCCTGGGCAACAGAGCGAGACTCCGTCAAAAAAAAAAAAAAAAAAAAAAAGGATTCCAACCATGCAGACCCAGAAACAGTGTCAACCTATGACTGAGCTTCATCAGAGTGACAGAAAATGCTTCTCCATCCTCATCTCCACCCCCAACTAGGCTCACAATTGTTGAGTAACAGGTCAAAGCAGTGTCTTCTGGGGGACTGAACAGAATTTGGAAGGAAACTTAAATGTGAGGATACAGCAGATATTAAGAAATGCTGCTGAACCAGTCCAACCTGAAACACAAAGTAATGCTAGATGAGCGTGAAACTTATGGTGCCCTGGAAATAACTCTAAGAGGGAAAAGTCCCAAAACCAAATCAACTCCTGACTAGATTGATTCAACCTCCTCCCCCAAAACACACACATACAGCCTAGTAAAAGGGAACACATGTGGGTTTTGATTTCTACATTAGTCTACTCTACATAGTTCACTTTTTGGGTAAAACTTACCAGACATGTATAGAAACAGAAAAGATACATAAAGGAAACACTGTTAAGAGACTAAGCAATAAATAAAGCCAGATTCAATGTGGCAGAGGTGTTGGAATTATCTTTCAAGTAGATCTTATGCGTACTGTTCTAGAAGCCCTTAGTAGGATATAAAGTCCCTTTTTTATTATACTTATATGACAAGAGTCATTTTATCCTCTTATATAAAAGATATTTCCAATTCACATTCATCTCCATATTGGCAGTTACATTTTTGACACTTTACAAATATTAGTCCACCGTCTTATACTTACATTTATGATTTATGATTGTGGAGCAGTCTGTTGTCATTCTATTAAGTGTTCCCTCACAATGAAACAGTTTATTTTGGCTGCTTTTAAGAGATTCTTTATCTTTGGTGGTGGTTTCAAACTTAAAATATCATAATGAATCAGCCACCAAAGACAGAGAAATACTAAAAATCAGTCAAAATATATTGTTTTGCACATTCAAAACAAAGTAAATTTATGTTTTACACATCCAAAATGGGGATTGTTTGGCTTCCTGAATTCAATAATGTATTTGTTTACTCTGAAAAAATTATCAAACATTATATCCTTGAATATGTACTCTCCTCATCTTCTCTACTTAGCTCCCCTTTGTGCTACAGTCAATCACACATTATGCTGTTTATAAAGGACATACGTGATACTCTCATCCTCCATATGTCACTACTACTCTCCTAGTTTACCTCTATTTGTCCATCTGTGAAGCCCTCATGACATCTCTTTACATCTATTATCCAGTTCACATTTTCTGCAGCTTCATTTAAGTTGCTAAGCAAAGTTTTCACTAAACAGCAAATTTTACTTATTTCACTTTTTATTAATATAAATTATAATTTTTATTCTTCAATGACTGCCGAATGTGAAAAAATTCATGTATATGTTATATATATTTACATATGTATGTGTTATATAGACATACACAAAATTGCTATTGGTAACGGTGGTTTTCATAGGAGTCTATAGCTACTGGAGATTTCATTGTTCCTTAAAGATATTATATTTCCTTAAAAATATTTTCTTAAAGATATTCTATTTCTTAATTTATAATAAGGATAATTCTTATGCTTTTATTAAAAACATAAATTAATAGGCCGGGTGCAGTGGCTCACATCGGTAATTTCAGCTCTTTGAGATAATGAGGCAAAACGATCACTTGAGCCCAGCAGTTTAAGGCTGCAGTGAGCTGTGATTCCACCACCACACTCCAGCCTGGGCTACAGAGCCAGAAAATATATATATAATATATGAATTGACAGTAATACATTAATACATTAAAACCAGAGATCAAGTCTTAAAAGCAACAGCAAAGTGCATTTCCAGTCTAGTTCAGTGACTATTAGAATTAAAGCCAATTTCAGGCAAAACATTTCCAAAAACATAAGAAAAAAAAAAGAAAAAGGAGAAAAAATATTCCAGACTTCTGAAGACATTTATTAAAATCATAAATTGATGGTATCCTCTTTCCCATCCTTTGATGAGTAAAATATTCAAGTACTCCAAAAATTATCCACAAATTTGGTATTTGAGGGTTCATTTGTTGTAAACTCAGTGGTTCTTGATGAGAGGAAGTTTAAAGTGTGTTTATGGAGATTAGCCAAGGTGTCGAATCAATCATTTCCTCTCTTCTGGTGAAATCTAATCAAGAACCCTAACGGCTATCCCAAACTCCAAGAAATGTACAACCTTTTCAAAATGAGTGTGATTTTTCAGAGATTCAATATAAAGAGGTACAAGGAGCCAAGCTCATTCTTCTCTGGGACACACAGAGTGGCTTTGGAACTGGCTGTGAAGATGTCTGAAAGCTACTACCGCTATATGGTGAGGCCCTGATCCCTGATCAGACTTTATATTATTACTTCTACAGCAAGTATCAGTGAGACCATAAGTATATTTCTAGGGTGAGAACACAGCTAACAGAGGAGGAGTTCCTGCTAGTTTTCCAATCCAAAACAGACTGCCCTACGTTGAATTTTTCAACAAACTGAGCTTGTTTCTATGAAATGATGTCATTTGCTTAATTAGTAAAAATGTTTTTACTCTTATTTTGTTATCCTGTCTTCCTACATACTTGTGAACTACAGTGAAGATTAATTTTACTTGTATCATTTATGTATTCATTAGTTGTTCCTATGTATTCTAAGAACTCAGAAAATAGTTTTCAGATATCTTGCAATTTTATACTTGTATATCCTAAATTTTATGGAGAATATTTTATTCCATATGTTGTGTATAAATGTATTACCTTCAATTCTGAAGGTGGCACATAAATATATGCACAAGACAAAATATTCTATAATATACAATTTAGGTAATATGTTGAATAATTTGAGGGTAATATTGTGTTTTAGAATATACTAAATGCCTCTTTAGCATTTTTGGGTGAAATCTGATCAAATTTTGGGTGAAATCTGATCTGATGAAATTTCACCAAATGTTCAGTAAATAAATATTGCTTATTTATTTAGAAATTATTTTGCAGTGGTGGCTTGTGATTGAGGATTTTCGAAATACTTTAAAGGAGAAAATTATGACATCAAAATGAAATAATGAGAGTAAAATCTCAGTGAAATACAGTTTCCTAAACCAATCACTTTTTTCTTTTGTACTAAATCGATCTTTCCTAAACCAATCACAATGAGCATTAAGAATGGTTTTCAGAATATTCAGGACCCATCATCTATGGTGTAAATTGGTCCCAATTTCATACTCTTAAACCTCAAGCTTTTTGGAGTAAAGTCAAAACTCAACAAAATGGAGGTTTCTTTTCTCCTTTTCTTTCTTTTCTTTTCTCCTTCCTTCCTTCCTTCTTTTTCTTTCTTTTTGTGACAGGTATTGTTTTATTGCCCAGGCTGAAGAGCAGTGGCTCAATCTCAGTTGACTGCAACCTCAGGGTTCAAGCGATTCTTCTGCCCAGTCCCCTGAGTGACTGGGATTACAGGCGTGTGCCACTACTCATGGCTGGTTTTTGTATTTTTAGTAGAGATGGGGTTTCCCCATATTGGCCGGGCTGGTCTCCAACCTGATCTACCAGCCTTGGCATCCCAAAGTGCTGGGATTATAGGTGTGAGCCACCATTTCTGGCCTCTCTGAGGTTCATTTTTCTATACAAAAGAAAAGGGTAGGATGTAGTGCCCTGTGAGTTATGCATGCATCTGACAATTTTACCTACAGATCTGAGAGCTCTCTTTGTGCCTCAGGTTCTATTTTTGTCTTATGCAAAATAAAGCCTATTCTACTCTAGACAGAAGTGTATCATTGAGTCACAACCTGAGTCAAATTTTGCTTTGGTCTTTGTTTCTCAGGGCATAAGATGAAGAAGTTTGAATCATACCTTTCCTAATTTCCTTCCTTCAGGAAATTGGTCTCAGACATCACACAAGCCTTCCAGAAAGAAAGAATCCATCTGCCTCTTCTGTCTGAACTAATGTGTAGACCCCATTGCCACAGGCTGCAGCCCCAGCTTCTGTAGGCCCTGTCTCTGCCTTTCCTAGGAAGAAACCAAAATTCCTACCTGCTGCCCACATGCTGGGAACTGTCACAGCAGGAGGACTTCAAAACCAATATTCTTCTGAAGAATCTAGTGTCCGTTGCCAGAAAAGCCAGTCTCTGGCAATTCCTGAGCCCTAATGAACAAATGCGTGGGATCCACAGGGAGACAAAGAAGATATTTGGAGAGGTGGAAAAAGAGCCTGATTCATTTGCTGTGCTGGAACTCTCAGGAGCATGGGGTTCACACACACTGTGAGGGGCAGCTAAGGAACACTGGGTAAGTGATGGCTCTGAGAGCACTTTGAAAGCTGGAGGATGGCACAGGTAAAGAGATTAGGGGAAGATGAAGAGCATGATGATTAATCTGCTCTGTACTGGATGTCGTGTAGTGCCTAGGTATCAATGATAAAATAATAAATATAATCTGAGTGTGCTTTCCTTCCTGGAGCTTACATTTCACTGAGGGAGTGATGAAGTTAATAATCATTGTAATAATTTGACTACTTGATGCAGTGTTCAAGGCACTGTAAAGAGCTCAATATCAGAAGAGTTTCTGGCTATCCAAACTACAAGTTAAAAAGTCTTTTCTATAAGAAACCTATTTACCAACACTGGAAATAATAGAATAAAACACGTTAGAATTAGCAGGGCACGGTGTCAGTAGATTCCAATTCTGATGCAAGGTGCCACATTATCTGTAAATTAGCCCTGCCTATGATTTTCCTATTAAACTTGCTGCGTTACACGTTGTGGTTCTACAGTCCGAGATCTTCCCAAATCTCTTTCATATCTCATCCCTTGATTTCTTTATCACTGGGGGTCTGAAACCTAAAATGATTTGCTTCTCTGATGTTCACATTCATAGTTCTTTTACAGGAGAAGATTATGAAGCAAATGAGATGTTTGTGGGCAAAAATTCAAGAAAACCAAAGAAATTTAAATGAGGAAAGCAGGAAAACCAACCAGTGGATTGCAAGTATTAGGCCTTTTCCCTCAGAGTTAGCCTCAGACAGACATGCTAGAAATGTATCCACTTATCACTTGAATGGAAATCATCTTGGTAGATTTGAGGAAGATTTTTCTCATGGCTTCCAATCCTGAGGGTACAATGCAGCATTGATTAATGCTCAGGGAGAGTGGTCAAGCTATGGAGTAGGAAGACCTGGTACTAAAAACTAATTTAAAAACACAGAGATCATAACACTGCAAAAAATTATTTGTGAATCAACCATAAATTCCAATGGCTCTCATGTAGGCTTTCAGATATCAATGGATATATATTGAAGAAACGATCAATAATAACCTTTCTTCAGGTGTTTTAGGAAGTCATATAATGAATGAAAGTGGTTTGAGGAACGAATGAATTTGGCTTTCAGTATTATTAAGAAACAATACAAATAAATGAAAGGAAGACAGGAATGATCTATTTCATGGTTCTGTCAAGTGGGAAGACACGAGTTTATGTACTTAGCTTATTGGTAGAATACATGAGTCAGGCTAGGCTCAGTGGTTCATGTCTGTAATCCCAATACTTTGGGAAGACCACTTGAGACCAGGAGTTTCAAACCAGCCTGGCCATCAACATAGTGAGACCCTGATCTTTATTATACAGAAAAGATGAAAGAGATAAAGAAAAGGAAATGAGTCAAAGTGAATAGAAGAGGTATAAGTGGAGGAGGATGAATTCAGAGTAAATATGTCATCTAGGAAATCTAGGTCCCTGCAGTGCTATGTGTAGCTATGGGCAGAGATGACTACAGCTGAGTAGAGGAAGCTGCATTCAGTTCCCCATGAGAAGTAAAACAACACTTAGAGAAACTTACAACCATGATGACAGAAAGATTTTACAGCAACTTAAGAAAAGCAAAAAGACAAAATGGTTCAGAAAAAAAAAACACCTAAGAAAAATCTATAAGGAGCTGATAAAAATGTGCCATAAACTAGATATGGAGCTGCTCCAGGAAAGAACCAATAATATGCCTAAAAAAATTTTGTAGTATTTGAAGTTCATACCTTACAACAAGCTTGCCCAACCCACGGTCCGTGCGGCCAAGGACGGCTTTGAATGTGGCCCAACACAAATTCCTAACCTTTCTTGAAACATGAAGAGATTTTTGTTTGTCATTTTATTAAAGCTCATCAGCTATAGTTAATCTTAGTGTATTTCATGTGTGGCCCAAGACAATTCTATTTCTAATGAGGCCCAGGGAAGCCAAAAGATTGCACACCCCTGGCTTAGGTGATATTATTTATTCAACACCATAGATATGTGTGTGTGTGGGGGGTATATATATATGTATATGTGTGTATACATACATATATGTACCATATATATCATATATGTATCTCCTGCTTCTAAGAGGGAGGAACTTTTCCAAATAGAAATAACATAGGTGAAATGTAATTCTTATCCTAACCATGAACAAGCAAGCTTTTTTGGAATCTTTGAGTGGATGTAATTTTATATTCCCCTTTATCAAACACTGACCACAGGGAATATTCCCCTCTAATAAGCTTCTTTTGTAGCTTTTTTCTGAAAAACTGGACAAATGTAATGTGGGAGTCAGACAGCATGTGTCACTAAGCTGAGAGCAGTGACATATGCAGGTGACATTCGCATGTCCTGGCAGCATTGTCCAGCAAAGTCTTCCTTTCTTTGGGGATGGACCCTCCCTCCTCACCTGGAGCAGCTCCACGTCAGGCATGAGGCACGTCTCCCACAGCTCTCTGTACATGTCTTTCATCCTTTCTAAATGTTGGGTCATTCTCACTTGACTGTCTTGTAGTTGTTGGAAAAGCTATTTGGCTTCGCTGTCCAGTGCCTGCAGATGAAGTTGCTTCTCCTCATCGAGAAATAGATGCATCTTTTGATATTGAATATTGATTATCACCTTACTTAATGACACATAGTTCTGCGGAGACATTTGGTTAAAAGGATTACATACTCTCACTCTCAACAGAAAACTTCAAATAATTATATGCTGGGTGTAATCAAGCAATCTATAAACTTTCTGCCTCACTCTTGCAAGGAGTCTTGAATATTTGTTATTTCTTTCTGTCCTTCTTTTTCAATGTTCCTATTCTCTCTCCCTCTTTAAATCAAAACCTATATAAAGACTTCTAGTTTCTCTTCCTGAGATGCTTCTTCACAGTTCTTACTGAGTCAACTATCTCCTCTATTAATCTCCCTTTTAGGATTTTTCCATGTCTGATTCGCCTAAATATTAAAAAACATTTAGCCATACACCATATTATGCAGATTGATTTTTCCTTTTACTGTATTTTTACTCTATATACTATTTTATATACTATTCTATTTCTTTCCTCTTCCTTACACCCAATCTTGGTGAAATGTCTCATCTCCAGTGTCTGAAAAGGTTTATACCAACCTTCAAATTTGAACTAGAATACATATCATACCATTTATCCAATAAACTAGAATTAATTTGGTTAGCTTGTGTGGGCTTCTCTATTTGCAATTCCTATTATATCAATTATATCAAACCCCCTCTCTACTAAAAATGCAAGAAAAAAACTAGCCAGCGACAGAGCCAGACTCCTTTCAAAAAAAATAAATAAATAAAGATAAAACTTCTGTTCTGAAGAAACTTAATCATCTATGTTAACACCCACCTACGCCCTGTGAAATGCAATCAATTGGAAGAAAGGGGTGTGGTCTTCAGAGATTTATAAACCGACACTTCAGGAGCCAAGCTCATTCTTCTCCAGAGCCCACAGAGTAGCTTTGCAACTGGCTTTGGGGACTTCCGAAAGCTACCAGCACTGCACTGTGAGACTCTCATCCCTGAGCTGAATTCATCTGATTCGACGGCAAGCTTTGGTGAGAACATAGATATATTTCTGAGGTAAGTACACAATTTCCAGAGTAGGAGCTACTATTAGGAGCTACAAACCAAAACAAAATTTGGGGACTTTAATTTATCTGCAAACTTAGATTATTTTTAGATGAAATGATCTCATTTTCTGAGTTTTAAAAACGGCTCCATTTCTTTTTTAAAATTATTTTAAACATAATCCATAGGTTTATGGATTAAACATGGGCCACCATGTTCAGCTATTTATTTATTTGTTTATTTATTTATTTTGAGATGGAATCACGCTCTATTGCCAGGCTGGAGTGCAGCGGCGCTCTTGGCTCACTGCAACCTCCGCCTTCCAGGTTCAAACGATTCTTCAGCCTCGGCCTCCAGAGTAGCTGGAAATATAGCCGCCTGCCACCACGCCCAGCTAATTTTTGTATTTTTTTTTAGTAGAGACGGGATTTCACTATGTTGGCCAGGATGGTCTCCATCTCTTGATCTTGTGATCCGTTCACCTCCGCCTCTGAAAGTGTTGGGATTACAGGCCTGAGCCACCGCGCCCGGCCTTTTTTTTTTAAATTTATATAAGTATTTTTAGAGACAGGATGATCTAGACACTTTGCCGTGTCACCAGTCTAGAGTTCCTGAGCTCAAAAAACCTGCCTGACGGCCTCCCAAAATGCTGGGATTACAGGCTTGAGTCACCTTCCCTGGCTTGGTTTTTATTTTTATTTGTATTTTAGCAAAACATACATTTAAAACGCTGACTTACTGTCTAGTGCCTAGTTTTTGTTTTTTTTTTTTAGAGGGGAGACAGAGTCTTGCTCTGTTACCCAGACTGGAGTGCTGTGGCACTATCTCGGCTCACTGCAAGCTCCGCCTGCCGGGTTCACGCCATTCTCCAGCCTCCGCCTCCAGAGTAGCTGGGACTACAGGCGTCCTCCACCACTCCCGGCTAATTTTTTGTATTTTTTAGTAGAGTTAGGGATTCACCATGTTAGCCAGGATGGTCTTGAGCTCGTGACATCGTGATCTGCCTGCCTCAGCCACCTCGGCCTCCCAAAGTGCTCGGATTACAGGCGTGAGCCACCGTGCCCGGCCTCTAGTGCCTGTTATTGCATGATACTTACTCTTTTCCTGACTGTGTGAAAGAGTAATGATAATGCTTCAATTATCATTATCTTTTTGTAAATTGAATTAATTGTCTTTTAAGGATGTTGTAATATTAACTAGTATATCCCCAAATTAACAGACTGTCCAGGAACAGTAAACATGCCAGAAAGTTTTTGTTGATTAAATTAACATAGTAGCCTAGAAAAACAATGATTCTTAGCTTTACCTTGGAGAGGTGCCTTACCTTGATTTGACTGTTTTTCCTTGGAGAGTAAAGGCTAGCTTTTTCTGATTTGGGTCAAAGTATGAGTTCTGCTCTAACATTTTCAAGCAATGTCCTTCTGGAAAAGTCATTATGGATGGTTGTTATAGTTAAATAAAATAATGAGAGTAGAAGAGCTTAGTTAGCTTTCCTTCTTTAAACCAATCACTGGCAATTAAGAGTGTTACTGATTTTCAGACCATTCAAGACTCAAACCTTGAGTTTACAGGTTGATGAAACCCTTGAAGCCCAAGCAATTTGGTGGATACTAACACCTCAAAAAATCCGACATTCTTCCATGCAAGAAAGTAGAGTTTGGAAAGCTGGTCATGTGTTGATTGGAGAACAGTCACTTTTTATAGAGGTTGATGTCTCTTTGTGCCTTAGTTTTCTGTTTTTCCTATTTCTGTCATTGCAGATTAAAGCCTATACTTCTTTAGAAAGAAAGGATATTATTCGATCACGATCTGATTCAAACTTTGCTTGGATCTTTGTCTCTCCAGGGTAGAAGATTAAATTCCTGTGGTTTTCTTTCCTTAGGAAAATGGACTCAGACTTCTCACATGCCTTCCAGAAGGAACTCACCTGCGTCATCTGTTTGAACTACCTGGTAGACCCTGTCACCATCTGCTGTGGGCACAGCTTCTGTAGGCCCTGTCTCTGCCTTTCGTGGGAGGAAGCCCAAAGTCCTGCAAACTGCCCTGCATGCAGGGAACCATCACCGAAAATGGACTTCAAAACCAATATTCTTCTGAAGAATTTAGTGACCATTGCCAGAAAAGCCAGTCTCTGGCAATTCCTGAGCTCTGAGAAACAAATATGTGGGACCCATAGGCAAACAAAGAAGATGTTCTGTGACATGGACAAGAGTCTCCTCTGCTTGCTGTGCTCCAACTCTCAGGAGCACGGGGCTCACAAACACCATCCCATCGAAGAGGCAGCTGAGGAACACCGGGTAAGAGATAGCTCTGTGATCACCTGAAAGCTGGAGGGTGGCAGAGTTAAAGATATTAGAAGGATGATGAGAATCATGGTGATTACTCCATTCTTTACTGAGTGCCAGGTGCTGTTCTAGGTACCAATGATGACATTTTGAATAAAATGTGCAACTCTACCTTCCTTCATGGAGCTTGCACCCAAAAAGAGACTGATTAAGTAAATGTCATTATTATTGACTCTACAGTTCAATGCTAATGACATTGAAAAGCTACCAAAACTACCAGTGCAAAGAAAGGTATTTTGGAAATATATTTAATATTACTGGACAAATGAGTATGGGAGTAGCACACTACAAAATCAGGGGCTAGCATAGTGGGTTCTGAAGCAGGATGTTTCCCTGAACTAATTTAGCTGGGTTACAGGAAATCTTCACTCTTCAGTTCCCTAAGCTGTTCTACATTCTGAAACCTCAAACTGAAAAATATCAATTAAGGATGAGCAATGAAAAATTTTGTTTTTTTCTCCTCTCACTAATGTATTTATATATTATCCCTTGCCTGTGTATACCACTCAGATTGTGGAATCTTTGGCATTTGACTTTCTGTTGTTCAACCTTGTAATTCTTTTGCAGGAGAAACTCTTAAAGCAAATGAGGATTTTATGGAAAAAGATTCAAGAAAATCAGAGAAATCTATATGAGGAGGGAAGAACAGCCTTCCTCTGGAGGGTAAGTATGAGACCGTGAGTCCTCCTGACCAGCTTGAGACAGGCATGCTGACAACATTTATATTAGCAACTTGAGTTGAAATTCTTATGCCAGATTTTGTCATGTGTTTATTCATAGGCTGGAAAACAACCAGACTGTTCAACATAACGATTGTTCAGGTTTTCTGTAAATGCTTTTCAGATAAGTAAAAAATAAATATAAATTCTGAAGGGCAAGTATGTGCTTAAAATTAATAAGTATTTCAGACAGAGTTTTCTGTATAAAATTAATTATGAAATGTTGATTAAATAGTATATAATTGAGAAATAAAGGCATTTATTGGTGAATATGATATTGTCCAGGGGGAAGAAATCGGGTGGGAACAGTAATTTAAGAAATGTGCCTGTGCTGGTGAAATCTGATAGCAAAGGACCCACATGATGCCAGTCCGAGTAGGAGAAAATGCAACATGAGGAAAAGCTGAGGAGAAGGGATAAAAAATGACTGGGGCAGTGAGAGGATAAATATGTCATTATTGAGAGGAGAAACACAATGGAATGGGGATTAATGTTCTTAGAATGGCAGTGCAATACAGAGTCTATGGATTTGACAGAAGAAAGATAGGAGACAGAAAAGAGGTAGTCAGTTTGAGAGATGGGGGTTAAATTTTTTACTAAGATCCTTTTTGTGTGATGGCTTCTGATCCTGATTATAATATACTAAAAACATTTCTACTAAGAGTGATTGTTCAGGCTGTGAAGTACAGAGATTTGAAACAACAACCTAAGTGAATAACAAAGATTATGTGTATTATCCATGACAATGTAACAATCATAAATTTTAGTTGTTTTCTAATTGTATTTCCGATTTGATTTAAACATTTAAACCTAAAGGGCTTTTTTGCAGGTGTTTGGGAATTGATGAATTACATAAATTTTGAAGGAAGGTCTTGCTTAACTCATCATCCTGTTTGTAAAGGATGGAAAATAAAAGAAGGAATGAGGAGGATGAAGTTGTAGGCTCTGTGAGGTGGAAGTAGGCCTGGGTATATAACCTACAAAATTCATATCCCTACAGGGCAATGTGGTTTTACGGGCACAGATGATCAGGAATGAGTATAGGAAGCTGCATCCGGTTCTCCATAAGGAAGAAAAACAACATTTAGAGAGACTGAACAAGGAATACCAAGAGATTTTTCAGCAACTCCAGAGAAGTTGGGTCAAAATGGATCAAAAGAGTAAACACTTGAAAGAAATGTATCAGGAACTAATGGAAATGTGTCATAAACCAGATGTGGAGCTGCTCCAGGTAAGAATGGAGGATGCCCCTTGAGACACTTTGTGTTAGCTGACCTTTACATCTTTGCCTTCCATTGGGTACCAAAGACATTATTTCCTCATCTCCTGTACTGACGGTGAGAGTCATTCCCACCGGTTATAGAGATAAACTATAACTCCTACGCTAATCATGGAAATAAAGCTTTATGGAATTGTGCAACTAGATTTCCATACAACATTTTCTACCACAAGCTTCCTCCTCCAGCACATTTCATTAAAACTCTGGAAGAAAAAATTTCATGCTTGATTTGAGCCACATTACACTTTGGGGACTAGCCCTGAAAAAGACCACATTGTAGACAGCTGCAGCAATGCGCAGTCACTACTCACACCTTTCTCTCTCACTCAAATTTAGGGTCCTTAATTTATCAGAAATCCATATTGTCAATAGGTCTTACTGGTATAATTGTTAGAGATGAGAATACATTTTAAAAGAGTGGCAGTAATAGTATACGGTAATTCTAAAGTTTTGAAAACCTAAAGACCAGATAGGCAGAATAGCAACTTTTTTGTGTGTTTATTTTGAGACAGAGTCTTCTTCTGTCACCCAGACTGAAGTCCAATGGCCCAATCTCAGCTCACTGCAACTTCTGCCTCCTTGGTTCAAGCAATTCTCCTGCCTCAGCCTCCCTAGTAGCTGGGACTAAAGGCATGAACCACCACACCCCACTATTTGTGTGTGTGTGTGTATTTTTAGTAGAGACGGGGATTTGCCATGTTGTCCAGGCTAGTCTGGAACTCCTGACCTCAGGTGTTCCACCCACCTTGGCCTCCCAAAGTGCTGGGATTACAGGTGTGAACCACCTCACCCAACAAGAATAACAACTTTCTAAAGAAGTCATTTTTTTTTTCTCTCTCTCTCTACAGGATTTGGGAGACATCGTGGCAAGGTATGTTTTTGGCCGTCAGTGCAAACTGGAGCACAAGGCATGCTATGAAAAACATCAAGCTGTTTCCAACAAAGTGAAAACATAATTTACTAACACCATAATGTGTCAGTGTGATTGTGTGTGTATGTGTGTGTAGTCATGTGTTTATGTGGTATGATGAATGTCATCTATGCCTTTTATCAGACATTAATCTTTTCTTACTTTCCCAAGTGACTCAGGGGTTTATGTTTTGAAGAGTGCAATGCAGAGGTTGCTAGAATACAGTTGCCTCTTTTTGCGATTCAGAATCATAATTAGAGATAAACTATTTGGTGGCAGATAGGGAGAGAGGCATTTATCTTTCAGGGGCAGTAGGTTAGAAATGGAGTGAATAGTTAGAAAGATTCCCTAAGAGCCACAAACCCATCCTAGCGTTGTGGAGGTACATTACGGTATCAGAAGTGGGTTTGAATGAAGCATTTTCTGTTGGAATCTGTTTCTTAAACACAGACATCAGAAAGTTAACCAACTCAACCTACTTCCTTGCAGGAGTGAGTCCGTGCTGCTGCACATGCCCCAGCCTGTGAATCCAGAGCTCACTGCAGGACCCATCACTGGACTGGTGTACAGGCTCAACCGCTTCCGAGGTGAGTGTGGCCCTGTTGGTGGGATCCACATGCAATGCCTTCAATTATGGTTTTCTATGGGCAGCTTTCCCAGTGTAATGATCTTTCATCTAGAAGAAGAGAATAGCCTGTGAATAGGTATTTATATTTATAGTTTCACTATCATCAAACAGACAAAACGAAATAAAAGCTGGTGAAATGTAATAGGAATCAGCCATATAACAAATTTCTTAGAAAAATAAAACATGCAGAAGGGCTCTTTAGGACTTTAGGAACCATTCTCTGATACAATTTCATGTATACAATTATTACATGAAGTATACAGAACTGAATTCAGGACATTTCAATTTCAAATTCAGTGCAGTTAACGACTGATTTGAGTGACAGCGTTTTTTTAAAAAAAATACATTTTTAGGTGATGTTTCATAGCATTTATAATTTTAATCATGTTTTTAATCAACTAAAGCATACATGAGTAACTTATATAACAATGCAAAAACTGAGAATCTGTCAACAATAGGAACATGATTTGGTGGTTGATGAGGTCTTAGATAGAACTCCAGGATAGATCATGACAAATCCAGCAGAATAAAAGAAGTCTGTGCCTGAATCTGGCATGAAAGTCAGATAATTTTTGCAAGGAATCAGCACTTTTCAGAAGGCAGATTCAGGTTTTCTCTTTAAGTATGAATTTGCTAGGTTAAGTGGCAGATCATAATATTTCTGGAAAGTGATAACTTTTTTATTTGGGACTAAGAATAGCTCCCCACCTCATCTCCTGTCCAAAGCCTCCTGCTCTGCCCTGACAGAGACGAGACAATGAAGGTTAATTTTATGGCTATGGACTTGGCTGCAGTGGAGGAGCTTCCAGTTTTTCAGTTGTTATGAAAGGTCGCTAACGAGACATAGACATGACCTTCCTCCCCTTTATACTTTTTGAGTTTATGGAAATTGTGATCATCCTAGTTTAGCCATTTACTTGTGCAGATCTCCTAACACCCTTTGATTCCAACATTTTTCCAGACAGAAGTTTCTTTCTAATCTTGACCTGTGTTTTCTAGTGAGAATCTCTTTCTTATCTGAACATAAGAATTTACAAACTGATTTTCACTGGAACATTCTCTTTTTTCTACAGTGGAAATTTCCTTCCATTTTGAAGTAACCAATCACAATATCAGGCTCTTTGAGGATGTGAGAAGTTGGATGTTTAGACGTGGACCTTTGAATTCTGACAGATCTGACTATTTTGCTGCATGGGGAGCCAGGGTCTTCTCCTTTGGGAAACACTACTGGGAGCTGGATGTGGACAACTCTTGTGACTGGGCTCTGGGAGTCTGTAACAACTCCTGGATAAGGAAGAATAGCACAATGGTTAACTCTGAGGACATATTTCTTCTTTTGTGTCTGAAGGTGGATAATCATTTCAATCTCTTGACCACCTCCCCAGTGTTTCCTCACTACATAGAGAAACCTCTGGGCCGGGTTGGTGTGTTTCTTGATTTTGAAAGTGGAAGTGTGAGTTTTTTGAATGTCACCAAGAGTTCCCTCATATGGAGTTACCCAGCTGGCTCCTTAACTTTTCCTGTCAGGCCTTTCTTTTACACTGGCCACAGATGATCAGGATTAAGAAAACTTACTGTTTGGGAACTCCATATACAAGGGAGCCCTTCACTGTTGATACAAAGAAATCATACTGTTCAGGCTTTTTTGTACTTTAGTGTCACTTCATTTTATTGCTATTAAATAAAAAATTTGTAAAAGGCAAAACTTTTTGTACATTTTCTTACAATTAAAATAATCTCTTATGGACCATTACCTAAAATACGTATTGTGATTTTCAAGTGTTTGTGAATTTATTGGATGGAATTCTGGAAATATGTGGGTGTGTGATTCCAACTTAATGATCTCATTCAGGAACAACTTTTGTACATCATGGGCAGACGGGGTTTTGTACAATGCACTTGTAAGTGTGAGAGTTCCCTCCTATTAATACAGTAAATTCTACACCTCATCCCTTTGGGGGGAAAAATTTATTTCACACAGAAGTTGTCACTGAATCTTTGGGCTAGAACAGGAATTTAACAGTCATGCATCCTATGGCAACAAAATACATTCTGAGAAATGCATTATTAGGCGATTTCATCATTGTGTGAACATCAGAACACACTACAAAAACCTAGATAGTATATTCATCTACAGACATAGGCTAATGGTACAGCCTATTGCTTTTCTGAGAATTTGCTAGCGATGTCTGAGCAAGAACCAAAAGGGTTTAACCCACATTGAATTCTGCAGCTGTTTAATAAAGCAAACAGCATCATCCAGGGAATAATAGATGTGCAGACTGTCTGCTTTAAAATGTGTTTATATTTCCAATTCACACAGACTGTGAATTCTCATTGACAACCTAGAGACCAGACATAACCAACACCTCATGTTACATTGGAAACATATTAGTATCAGGTAAAAATAAATAAATAAATAAATAAACAAACTAACTAAATTAAACCAAAACAAAAAGTGAAACAAACAAAACCCAGTTCTGATGAAAACCCAGTTTATAGTGAGTCCATTGAGTCTGTCTAGCCACCAGATGGTCATTTTCATGATCACTGATTAAATAATGGAAACATTCTACTTCCAGTCCAGCAGATGATCCTGGCTGATGTCTGAGGTTCATTGCTTGGGGCTGTTACCTAGAATATATTCAAACGGCCTTTCCAGGTAGCTCCCTGGGCTTGCTCACAGCATGGTAGATAATTTTCCACAGTGAAGATTCCCATAGAGTCAGGAGAATTGTATACTACCATTATTCCAGAGAGTAAAACATCAGCTGTAGCCACAACCCTACACAAAGTAAAGGGACTAGAACACACACACAGCAGTAGCAGTCTTGAAGTTACATCATAGAAAAACAATGTGGGATGGAATATATATTTTAGCACTCTTTTAGAGAGAGTGGGGGAGGAATATAACCTACTACACCTACTCTTCCTAAGAAGTGGACACTGAGGATCTATATCCAGAGACTGGGGGTCCTGTAAAACATGAGATCCAACGAGCCCCTTATAGAAACACCATTCAAGTTCCAGATTCCTGGAAAAGGGCAATTGACAATTGACCAGGTAAATATTCTTTTGGAAATTTTCTTCAAGATTTGGTATCAACTGGACAATCATTATGAACACAGCACAGCAAAATCACTGAGGAAGATGCACATGACACTGGAGTAGAGGGGGGGAAGGGGTGGTCCATCTCCTTCAAGATGACCAGGGAGAGACACAGTAATTCTATGTCAATGAGATGAAAAAGGTCAGGGCATCCTTGTCAGGAACCGCCTTCTGATGTCTATACGCGGCTGCAAACTATTCATGTAGGCCTTCTGAATGCCTTGTACTTCCCAAGATTTCTTGATGTTAAGAACCACTGACTGGGGTTCATAGTACGTAGAATACCTTCAGCATAGAGGGTGACAAAGTCTTTCCCTCAAAAGCCAGAAATTCAGAAACCTGTAGCTGAGTCATCCACTGGACCTTACCAGTAAGTGTGGGCTGAAGAGAGAGACACTGGCTTTAACCTCAGATAAAAGCTGTTCCATTCTCATTGCCTTGTAGCCTCTCATACTCAGAAGGAAAGGTGAGGCTCGGTCCTGTGACTGTTCATTCTTCCAGACTGTGAAAGTTTTTGATGCTGACTCAGAGAAATGTCCTCTGTTTACTAAAATATAATATCTATTAACATTCTGCTGCAAAGGAGATAGGCCCTGTCTTGTCGCAGTCCTCTCAACCTGTGCCCATATGTTCCACTCCTCTGGCCCGTACTGAACCATGATGCCTGCCAGAATCACTCTGAAATTCTTCTGTCCCTCTGTCAGTTTTCTGGCCCAGTTCTCAGAACGCAGGTCCCTGTCTGTCCGCTTTGCAATGATCTGTCCATGCCCTTCAAATTCACAACATAAGAAGAGTTGATCATTAAAATATCCCAGAATGGGAAATAGGGGTTCCCTGTTCTGTCTGAGACCAGCAATGCAGATGCAGGATTCTAAGGGAGGAGGAGAAAGCAAAAGTTGGTGTCCTTGAAACTGCTCAGTCACATCCTTGTGACATCTAAAAGGGTAAAAGGTATTCAGGGTTAAATAATTGGAACAGAAGGAGGACAGTCAAGTTCAGGCATATATGGAGAAAGAGAGCTTCTGTCAGTGCCTGACACCAAGTAAAACTCTTTCTTTAATGGAATGCACCCATAAATGTGTCAGAAAAATAACCCTTGGTGAGGAAAACCAAAGTTGCAGAGAACAAGGGATAAAGAAGACAGCAAGCAACATTTCCTGCAGATTTCAAAATAATTCTTGAGTGCTTACATTTCCTGGAATTGCTGTGAGGCTACTGTGTATTATCACCCACTATGAAAAAGTCAGCTGAGAGTAATATGGTATCATGGTTAAGAGCAATGTCTTGAAGCTAAATTGCCTGGGTTTGATTCCCAAACTCACTGCTCATAAGCCTCCTTCCCAGAACAAAGTGCCCTTCTCAAAGCCTTGTGTGTGGGTGTGGGGTGTATGGGTGTGTTAGGCATATTTTTATATAATATAGCAGTTGTATATTCACAGTAATTGTGTGTGTGTGTGTGTGTGTGTGTGTGTGTGTATGTATATATATGTGCTGGGATTATAGGTGTCAGCCAATGCGTCTGGCTTACTCTCACTTTTAACTATTGTCTTAGAAGCATGCATGACTCAATTTGTTTTTCAATTCACGAATATATCTAATGGTTTAGAGAGTTATTTTTTAACTGAACTGTCACGTTTTGCAATTATGATATCTTTATTTCTATTCAACCCTCACATTATTTACTTCTTTTTCTTGTCTAGTTGCATTGAAAAGGAGATCAAGCAAGGTGTTGAACACAAGTGATGATAACAGGATTTATATCTCATTCCCATTCCTGGGTAGAAGCTTTCAAATTCTCCATTAAATATGGTACTGGCTCTAAGTTATTACATTCTTATTAGAGAAAGTTCATGGCTATTTGTTTTTAATAGTGCTTTCAAAATCATAAATGACCATTTCATTGTATCAAATATTTTCTTCCTCTTTTTACAGGAACAATGATATGTATTTCATCCTGTTCATGTCGTGATTACTTATTTCATTTTCTGATGTTACATTAGTCAACCTTTCTAGAATAAGCTCCACTTGGAGATGATATGAGTTTATCTCTCACAAGATTTGACTAGCTAGCTTTTTTGAATTGTTGCACCTATATTTATTTTAGAGTCTGTACTGCAATTTGCATTTCTTGTAACACACTTTTCAGGATCGAATATCAAAATTATATGTTGGAGCTTGGCACAGCAGCTAGAGCCTGTCATCACAGCCCTTTGGGAGGCCAAGACAGGAGGATCACTCGAGCCTAGAAGTTCTGGGCTTCAGTGAGCTATGATCTTGCCATCGCACTTCAGCTTGGGCAACAGAGAGAGAAGCTGTTTACAAAAAGTAAAAGAAAACACAACAGAAAACCAAAGTTACAAGTTGGGAAGTATTACTGCTTTTTTCTGTTCTCTAGAAGGGTTTGTCTAAAAGCGTGTGATTTTTTTTTCTTAAATGTTGTGAATATTTCACTGAAAAAGATCACCAGGTTTTTCGCTGGGAGAAGTTTTGTTTTTTAAATAATAGGGTAAATTTTTAGAATCTAAATCATATCTTAGATTTGTCTATGGTTTCTTCTGTTGGTTTTTGTCAGATATGTTTTTCAGGGAAATTTCTCATTTCATCTAAATCATCAAGTGTATGAACATAAAAGTCATCTTAAAATCTTCTTATTAACATATTAATTTGTGGATGACCTAAGTGTTGGCCTATTTATTTTTGATTTGAACTCCTCTTCTCCATTTTTTAATTGAGTCTCACTAAGAATTTATCAATTTAATTGATCTATTTAAAGAGCCTACTTTTGGTGGGTGTGGTGGCTCACACCTGTAATCCCAGCACTTTGGGAGGCCGAGGTGGGTGGATTATTTGAGGTTAGGAGTTTGAGACCAGCCCAGCCAACATGGTGAAACCCCAGCTCTACTAAAAATACAAAAATTAGTCAAGCGTGATGGCACGTGCTTGTAATCCCAGCTACTCGGGTGGCTAAGGAAGGAGAATCACTTGAACCTGGGTGGCAGAGGTTGCAAGGAGCCGAGATCGCACCACTGCACTCCAGCCTGGGTGACAGAGTGAGACTCTGTCTCAAACAAACAAAAAAAAAGCCTACTTCATTGATTTTATCTACTGTATGCTTTTTAATCAATATTCTACAATTTTTTTTTTTAGATTTTGGCATGAATTTACTCTTGTTTATCTGGCTCTTTGGGATAGATAACAGATGAATTTAATGCTTTATTTCTAAATAACAGATGAATATAATGCTATACATTTTCTTCTTAACATTGTTTTAATTAAATCTCAGAAGTTTTGTTTCTATATATCTTGAATATTATCCCATGAAAAATATATTCATTGCTTTTCTTTAATTCATGCATTTACAGAGACACTGTAAAAGAAAGAGAAGAAAATACTTTTTTAAACCTTTATTTTAAGTATAGCAATACATGCGCAGGTTTGTTACATGGGTAATCTTGTGTCATCAGGGTTTGTTGTATAGATTATTTTATCAACCAGGTCTCAAGCCTAGCACCCATTAGTTATTTTTCCTGATCCTCTCCCTCTTCTAATCCCCCACCCTCCTATAGGTCCCAGCGTGTGTTGTTCCCCTCTATGTGTCCATATGTTCTCATTATTTAGCTCCCACTTATAAGTGAGAACATGCACTATTTGGTTTTCTGTTCCTGTGTTAGTTTGCTAAAGATAATAGCCTCCAGCTCCTTCCCTGTCCCTGCAAAAGACATGATCTAATAATTTTTTATGGCTGCATAGTGGGAATACATTTTCTAGTTACATTATAAAACAATAAGAAACAACTGAAATTAATTTTAATAAAAATCGTTAACCAAATATATCCAATAGGTTTCGACACGATTAACATTACAAACGTTAGTAAGATATTTTGTATTGTTACTTTTTTGTTTATCTGTTTGTTTTGAGACAGGGTCTTCCTCTGTCACCCAGGCTGGCATGCAGAGATGGGCATTCCAGCTAACTGCAGCCTCAACACCCTGTGCTCCAGCAATCCTCCCACCTCAGCCTCCCCAGTAGCTGGGACTACAGGTGCTTGCCACAACACCCGGGTAAAGTTTTTTTTCTGTAATGATGAGGTTTCACAGTGTCGACCAGGCTGGTCTCAAACTTCTTGAATCATGAAACGTCCCACTGCAGCCTTCCAATGGCTGGTATTACAGGCATGATCAACTGCACTCTGCTTTCTTACCTTTCGTGCTAAATTTTTGAAATTATGCACTAGAAGATCCGAAGTAAGAGAAGTGTTAAAAAAGATGAAGCCCCCAAATTGCAAGAACCACAGAGAGTAATAAACTGTGGTCCAAAGGTAATCAGACAGATTTAAACTCATATACAGAAAAACCAATCTAAAAAGAAAAGAAACGTTGATTATAAAGCGAGATTCTTGACTTTGTGATTGCAGACTTTGTGATTAGCAGTTTTCTATAATGGTAAAATCCAGGTCAGGCCATGAAAGTGGAGGCAGAGATACAATAAAGGAGAAGTTCTTTCAACCAGACCTCACAATCTAGTAGAAGTAACAGACACACTAGTAAAGCAACAATCCCAGTACAACATGGAAACTGCCACAAATATCTATCTATTGGACATATAGAATCAAAGATCAAATCGTTTGCATGAGTCTTGAAGAATGAATGGAAATTTTCCGGGTGAATAAACAGTAACAGTTGTCCAGGTTCAGAAAAATGCCTGCATAAGGGAGAATTTGCTGTCTAAGGTGGTTTTCAATACCTGTGATTCTCGGCAGATGAGCAATGCTTTGATGGTCCAGAAAAACCGAGGGGTTAAAAGTGTATTTGTGGAATGCAACTTTTTATAAATCCAAAAAGTAACTTTAAAAGGAGACTGTGGATGGATTTCTGAATCACAAGTAAGGGAAACTCTGTCAGAGAGGACTTCCAACTGGACAATTTCAAATGAAGAATCCTTAGCTCATTTGAAATACCAAGGTCTTAGAAAAAGAGAACAGAGGCCATGGACTGGAGACGAGAGTTTGAGTTTTAAACAGGGTGGTCAGAAAATGCCTCAATGAAAAATTCATATTGAGACAACGTCTTGAAGAGGAAGGCAAACACAAGTGTGTGTGTGTGTGTGTGTGTGTGTGTGTGTGTGTTTGTGTGTGTGTGTGTATGCTTAGAGAGAGAAAGAGAGGCAGAGAGAATTCTAGGTGAAGAAAACAACATGTGCAGTAATATTGAGTTTGTGTTTATTTTGAGGGCTGAGGAACCACAAAGAAGTTTATGTTTTATGTTAAAGTCAGTATGAAAAACAATGGAAAGAAATGAGATTAGATAGACAAAGAAGGCCAGATCATAAATGAAGCCTTATTAGCATAGGTTTTGCTTGGTGAAATGCATTGAGTTGAGCATGCTAGTCTGAGGCTATTTCACACATAATGAATTTAAATAACTTGCCCCAAATTTCAGAAATGAAAATAATTATTCCCTTTCTAGTCAATATAGCTCTAGAGTCTAACTATTAAGCCCGAACTGTCTTACTTTTCTATAAATATGAGTTGGAAAAGAGGAATCCAATTTGTTTTTCTTCTTTATGACTATCTTAGAAAAAACACTTTATCACGAATAAAGTGAATATATTTGGTTAGATACATCTATGTTCGTTGATCTTCATGCAGAAAAGAAAACAGAGTAAAATTTCGTATAGTCTGAGAATTGGCAAGACTAAGAGTTAAAATATGGGATGTTCAAGAGACAAAGAGGAACCAGTGAGATTCAATAGGAGATGAGTACGTCGGTTTTGTTTTTGACTAACCCGTTGTTACTGCAGGATTATGTGAATTTAAAGATAGAAGCAATCAGAGCTGAATATCAGAAGATGCCTGCATTTCTCCATGAAGAACAGCAACATCACTTGCAGATGCTTCAAAAGGAGGACGAAGACAATTTTTAGCAACTCCATAAAAGCGATGCCAGAATGGCCCATGAGAGGGAGATTTTAAAAGGAATGTATGAGGAGCTGAAGGAAAAGTCCCATAAACCAGATGTGGAGCTAATCCAGGTACTGACTGACCATGGGGTATCAGGATGTGGAACATTCATGTGCACAGGTGTTCTTCCTCTTTCCTGAAATGCCTTCTTCCCTGTATTTCCACGACTTCTTTCCAGAAACACATTTCCATAACTCATGCTACTTTGTGGGTAGAGTATAGCCCCTCCCAGGGATTTTACCAGAAAAAAAGGTCCCTCTTACTTTATCCACCAGCAACAAAACTTTGTGGAATGGTCAAGGTAACAGCCCTAATAAATATTCCCCATCTACGGTCAATAATATATTTGGCTTTTTGAACATTTATAAAATAGTGAGAAATTCATTTACATTAGGTCAGTTTGGAGACATGGCAAGACTGGGAGTTTGGGGAATCTAAATATTATTTTTCATCCATTCACTTTTATAATAGGGCCTAGGGAAGATGACTGGATAGGTTCTTCATGGTTACTGCAGAAGATAGACTCTGGGCCTTTTCTCCCTTCACTTGTATAAAGAATGTCTTCAAGACTCTGACTTCACTAGGACATTAATTCATAACAATATGATAGACTATGTTTTTCATTAGAGAAGAAATATAAAATGCTTTCCAGAAGGGAAAATGGCAGGAAAATAATATTTTCAGAAACTGCCTCCAGATCTCACACTGAACTTAGTGGAAGATTCATCTTGTAGAAAGCACAAACCCTTTCTATTTTTTTTTTACAGGTGTTTGGAGACATATTACACAGGTGCACGTGTACCTGGATTTTAGCAGGTGTTCTTTCAGTTTCCACAAATATCAAACAGGATCTACTAAAGCGAAGGCATACATGATCAAGATATTAATATTACTTTTTCCTGGTTCTACTTTTGCTCCCCCACCTTATGTAGTCATCTATTATGTCACCATACTCAGTGATTTTACTGGACAGATGCAAAGAAAGTATTGGGAAAAAAAAGGAGAAAAAGCAAACACCAATACATAAATAAATAAACAAAAGAAGAATGAAAGAAAACAAGCATCTCAATTTCTGATTTTTTTATACCTCCAAATCCTGGATAGGTGAAAGATAAAGTGTTGTTTCCTGGATGGTGGGAAAATCACCAGGGGAAGCAGCAGGAGAGAGAAGGGGAAACTATTTTAGAAGTGAGAAAGTGTGGATGATTTGTTGTTTACATTATATATATATACACACACACACACATATATATACACACACATACACATATATATAATCAGTTGATGCTCTGAAAAATAGATTAAACAAACTGTAAAGGGTTAGAAGCCTGTAAGCCTCTAGAGAAGTCTGGCACTAAAGAAGAAGAGCACACTGACAGGCACCAGCAGATGCTGGCAGCCATTAATGGTAGAATGACATGGAAATCAGCTGAGAGCTCTTGGAGGCGAGCCCTGCTGCTGAGACGTTTTACTGCAGGGGAACACCACCTTCCCACTCCATCCCCCTTCTGGCACACCATTTATCTGCTGAAAGCTGCTTTCACCAACCAATAAATCTTGCACTCATTCTCCAAGCCCACATATGATCCGAGTTCTCTGGTACACTCAGGCAACAACCCCAGGATACAGAAAGCCCTCTGTCCTTGCAAAAAGGCAGAGGGTCTAATTGAGCTGGTTAACACCAGCCAGCTGTGGAAAGGTAAGCTAAAAGAGCACAATGAAACACAAGCCCACTGGTGCTTTTCTTTTCTAATAGTATAAAATCTAAAACTTAAAGAAATGTCAGTTTTATTTACGACTACACTCCAGGAAATAATAACAATCAGTTAATATAACGTCTAGGACATAATGGAAATGTAACAAATATTTGAATAATTAAATTTAAAAATGCATAAGAGAGATTTGAAAACTTTGATGTTAAAGATAGGAGCATTAATTTAATGGTTTGCGTTTTTTAGGATTTTAGGTTGATGTGAAAACCAATTAAATTCTAGAAGCTTATTTTAAACCTCATCCATTTTTCATCTTTTTAGAAAGATTCCTGTTTGTTGGGATGCAGGGAGTATAGAGAGTGTATTAGCACAGAAGCCTAATGTGTGGGTGTGTGATAAAGTCATGGCAGTTATTCATTATTCATTTTATTTATATATATTTGGATAGAGAGATAGACTGAATTTTTAAAATGGAGATAGGGTCTCACTATGTTCCCCAGGCTGAACTCATACTCCTGGGCTCAAGGGATGCTCCTCCCTCAGCCTATGGAGTAGTCAGGAATATAGGAGCTGGCCACCATTCCTGGCAGTTTGTTTCATTTTAATTTAATTTGAGGTCATCCCCCAGGCCATAAGAGAAGAGATGGGAGAATAGAAGAACAAAATGTAGACATATACTCCCTTCTTTCTATTCTCATTTCACCATCATACAATATCCCCTTGGTTTTTGTTTTAATAATTGTTCTGCCACAGTTAATTACACATTCACTAGTGTGTTTCCACTATCAAACGTACTTCTTCGGTATACTGTGGAAATTAACAAACGCTTGTTAACAGAAAAAAAACAAAACCTAAAGCTTGGTCAACATCACTGTCTTCCATACCGGGGAATGAGTGTTGCTGTGGGGTCTTGAACAAGTCTCCTCAAGGTAGGAGGCTAAACTTGACTTTCGAGGTAGGGCTCAGACACCAAACCAAGTTGAGGTTAGCTAAAACAGGGACCAGGCAGAAGCAGCTTTCCAAAAGACACGCCCACCAGTGTGCCAGAGCAGGTTACCATTGCCATGGCAACACCCAGGAGTTATCACCCATTCCATGGCAATGACTTGACATCCCAAATTACCCTTTCTCTAGAAATTTCTGCATAAACCCCTTAGTCTACATGCTATTAAAAGTAGGTGTAACCATGACTGCAAAACTGCTGTGAGCTGCTAATCTCTGCCCATGGAGTAGCCCTGCTCTGTGGGAGCAGCCACAAAGCTGTAACATCACCAGAGCTGAAACGCTACTGCTTCAATAAAGCTGTTTACCTCTACCTTTGGCTTGCCCTTGAATCCTTTCCTGGGCAAAGTCAAGGACTCTCAAAGGTTAAGCCCCATTTTGAGGCTCAGCTTCCCTGCATTGAGCTTAACTCACTTTGCCAAAGTGTTGTCAATTATCAAGCCTAGTGATGAGAGCTTACAAAGCTTACATTTATTGAGAACTTATCATGTGGTACGCATGTGTTTTAAATGCTTCAAATATAAAAACCTCTATAATCCAATATTTACAATAAAAAACTGAACTGTGGGAAATTTAACAGATCTGAACTAAGGCAACTAGTCTCCCACATCTGTACTCTTCATTTTGCAGTGTGTTGCCGTCTCCAGTGAAATGTGGGTAATAGACCAACATTCCAACGACCACTGGTTGAGAGTCAGGTCACATCATGCTGTATCCAGAATTGGTGAGTTCTCGGTCTCGCTGATTTCAAGAACGAAGCCACGGCCCCTGGCGGTGAGTGTTACAGTTCTTAAAGACAGTATGTCAAGAGTTTGTTCCTTCAGATGTTCAAATGTGTACAGAGCTTCTTCCTTCTGGTGGGTTCGTGGTCTCATTGACTTCAGGAGTGAAGCTGCAGACCTTGAGGTGAGTGTTATAGCTCATAAACACGGGGTGGACCCAAACAGTGAACAGCAGCAAGATTTATTTTAAATAACAAAAAGAACAATGCTTCCACAGTGTAACAGTGTGGTAAGGGACTCTAGTAGGTTGCGCCTGCTGGCGCAGGTGGCCTGCTTTTATTCCTTCTCTGGCCACACCCACGTCCTGCTGATTGGTCCATTTTGCAGAGAGCTGATTGGTCCATTTTACAGAGAGTTGATTGGTCTATTTTGACAGAGTGCTGATTGGAGTTTTTACACTCCCTTAGCTAGACAGAAAAGTTCTCTGTGTCCCCACCTGATTAGCTAGACACAGAGCCCTGATTGGTGTGTTTACAAACCTTTAGCTAGACACAGAGTGCTGATTGGTGCGTCTACAATCCTTTAGCTAGACAGAAAAGTTCTCCAAGTCCCCACCCATCCCAGAAGCCCAACTGGCTTCACCTCTCACTGGCACTTGCCGCTGGACTTTGTGGCACCTAGCCCGGGCACTCTGGCATCCCAGAGGGATCTCGTCCCAGACAATCTAGAGGAAAAGAGGGGAAGCGAGAAAGAGACAGAGACCTACTAACGTGGCTAACGATCCCGCGAAAAGGGAACAGGGGTCCCACGCACGGGATTGAGCCTCCTATCAAGCCCAGCAGGCTCCGACGGGCTGCGCTGAGTGCGGGACTTGCCGAACCCTCGCTAGCCCGCAAGAGATGCGTGCGGCCCAGGCTCCTGCTGGCGCGTCTCTCTTCACACTTCCCCTTCAGCAGAGGTAGCCAGCTCTGGCCTAGGCCAGCACCAGAGGGGTCCCTCATAGCGCAGCAGCAGGCTGAAGGGCTCCTGGAGCGCGGCCAGAGTAGACACCGAGGCTGAGGAGGCACCCAGAGCGAGCGAGGGCTGCTAGCATGTTGTCATTTCTCAGTGCCACTAAAGAGTTTATTATAATACCTAACACAATAAAAAATAAATATCTGCTGTAATATTAAAATATTAATAAAAATAATATTTACCACATAATTTACCACTTTCACTCCATCTCATCACTGAATAATCTATAACTTTACTGCAACAACAAGCCCAATCCACCTTCTCTTTCTTTCTCAGGAGATGACTTTGCATCTCATCTTGTCAATAAAATGGAGTTTATGTAATCTTTTACATTTAGGCTCAAAGCCATTTTTTTCATAACCTTAATAGCACCCTTCATCACCGCATTTCAACTGTTTACACAAAAACACAATTTAAAGTTTTTTATGGCTTGGCATGGCAGCTCATGCCTGTGATCCCAGCACTTTGGAAGGTCGTGGCAGGAAGATTGCTTGAGGTTTGAGACCAGCCTAGGCAATACAGCAACACCCCATCGCTACAAAATATATATGTATATATAAGCCATACGTGGTGGCTCACACCTGTAATCTTAGCTACTCACAAGGCTGAGATGGGAGGACCCCTTCAGTCTGGGAGTTTAAGGCTAAAATAAGCTAAGATTGCACCACAGTACTCCAGCCTGGGTGACAGAATGAGACCTCGTCTCAAAAAAAAAAAAAAAAAAAGTTGTATGTGAATATATGTTTACAAAAATGCCTGCTTTGTTCTAGACATGGATTGTTGTGCTCTGGATATATGAAGTTCTTAATATTCTCCTTACATAAGAATAAAAGAATTAATATAAACAAATATTTTTCTGTAATAGAATTAGGAAATTTTCCCAAAATATGGGTAGCATAATATGATAGAAAATATTAAAGGATAATGTCAAAAAACGTAAGAAGATTAGTGTCAAGATTCACATGCTAATGAAGTGTCAAGATTCACATGCTAATGAACTTTCATTATTTATATATTTGAAACAATTGTATCTTATTTTTATTCTATAAGGTTGATTGTGAAATTTTCTGAGGATGGCCAACATGTACCAGGAAAATACGAAGATTCTTAGTGATAAGAAAATATAAAAAAGGACTTACAATGATGGAGACTGTCGGGAATTAAACTGACATACATATTAAGCTACTCACTAAGAATAAAATGATTTCCATCTCATTTACTGTAGAAATATACAAAACACACTTACATCATAAAGAGGAATACAGATGATAGAGAGTGCATATTTTTATAATAAATTGAGAAACCTATGTTAAAACAAAAAAAGGAAAGAAAATATCTTGGATTATAAACAAGGGATCAATTATGACTAATATGTAAAGAATTTGTATCATCTGTAATTCATTCAGTCTCATAAACCTGAGGGTACATTTCTCACAGATACCCAGAATCAGCAAAAACCTCTCATGGGATCAGTTAGGGCACAGGCTAATTTACTCTAATAAAGATCCCAATTTTAAGTAAATGGGGGCTATTTTTTACATCTACTTATCTAAATAGAGGAGGTAATCAAAAAAAAACGACTGTTACTTTCAACAACTGGATTTCATCTCTATTTGCAAGAAAGTGAAATTTGTTGCCATCTCCTGTTCAGCGAGAAAACTGAAAAAGCATCCTGAGCAAGAGGACCTGAATGTCAGGAAATGACGTGGTGCTTTCTACAATACTTCTGTTCCCATCCTCTTCCTTCAAGCTTAGGCATGCAGCACACTGAGCTGCCAGATGTATCTGGAAATGCTGAATACACATTAAATGTTTATTTTTATTTCCTTTATTTTATTTATTTTTATTTTATTTTATTTATTTTTTATTTTTGTTTTTATTTGCCAGAGACAAGGTCTTGCTATGTTGCCCATGATGGTCTCAAAGTCGTGAAATCTAGTAACCCTCCTACCTCAATCGCCCAAAGCATCGGGATTAGAGGCATGTGACACTGTGTCTGGCCTTTTCTTTATCTTTTTTTTTTCTTTGATTTAGAAGAAAAAAAAAATTCAATGACAGACAGAGCAGAAGAAATACCCAGAGCTTGTGTTCAATGAAAATCAGGTGATCCTTTACTAAAGAGTTGCTTTTAGTTCGAACCGGGAATGAGTATTCAGGAATAAGTAAACTCTGCTTTTCACCACTGTCGAGGTGTCCAGTGTTTCCCCATTCAGCAACTGGCTAACTGAGGATCATATGGCAAGAAGGATCTTATGTGTCTTTTAATCTCTTAAATTGGTGGCTAAATCAAGGTGATTATCCAAATTATGAAAATACTTATCAGCAATGCTTCCTTATTCTTTCTGTCTGTACTACCTAGACTGCTTAGTTAACTTTCTCTCTTCTCCTCCTACACATGTTTTGTAGCACTTTACTCGGCAACAGGAAAATTCTATCACCTTCTGAAATTTGTGTCTCTCCAAGTGATCTCACATTGTGGAATTTTACCTTCTGGGCTTTCAACCCAATTTTCCTTTCTGTTTCCACCTAAAGTTCCTGAGCATTCTCTATTGACACTAAAATTTCCATAAGCAGCAGCCATTACACTCTCAATTACCTTGTTACCAATTTTGTTTGTCATTTATTCAAAGAAAATTTTGTAGCTAATCTTATTTAGCTTAGATTTACTTGTACATACAGGTGGTATTAGCCACTAAGGACATTTAAGATATAGGTTGGTAAATTTTCTCAGCCATTAAACCAAAAATTTATTACATTCTTCTGTTTTGATAACTTCTATTATAATTATTATCACCTGGGACATTCCTAAAATTCAGAAATAAAATTAAGGTAAGACACTGGGAACCTTGCCAGTTATATCAGAAACCTAAGATTCCTTCTCACCTCGTGAAGAGGTTATTGATCCATTTGCCTTGTCACATTTTGGGGGGCAGAAGTAAAATTCTTCATAGAAATAAAATTAAAAACTGATGTGGAAACATAGTATGTGTGTAGTTCAAACCAGAGAAGTGATATGAAATTTAAGGAAGAGTATACAAAATGCGAAGAGATCACAGTCTATGATGAAATTCTGGGAAAGCCGTAGCATAAAGATCACATCAAGGAATATGAGCCCAGGAAGGAACTAAGATGTGTTAACCATATACTTAAAAAAAGAAAATTACATGTTGGGAGGCTGAGGCGGGCAGATAACTTGAGGTCAGGAGTTCGAGACGAGCCTGGGCAACATAGTGAAACCCTGTCTCTACCAAAATTACGACAATTAGCCAGACATGGTGGTGGGCATCTGTAATCCCAGCTACTTGAGACACGGGGCTGGAGACTTGCTTGAACCCAGAAGGTGCAGGCTGCAGTGAGCTGAGATTATGCCACTGCACTTCACCCTGGGTGCCAGAGTACGACTCTGTCTCAAAAGAAAAGAAAAGAAAAGAAAGGAAAGTTGTTTGTGGCAAAATAAAGCAAATGCATAATAGTAGCATACATAGAGTTCTTGTCTTGTGTTCTCAATTTAGCCAGCATAATTTAATTTATCATTTCAACTAACTATAGCTGTTGATGCTGCAGACTCAGAGAGGAATGTCTACCCAGGTGTCCTCCCGTGAGCTTTCCTCTGACTCATTGCTAGTAACCAAAAATTCAAGATTATGTAAAATAAAGTTACTGTTATTAGACAATAAAAATTCTACTGCCTTCAAATCAGAAAATGTTATTTCTGTTCTCAGTTCAACTCCTGGTGTGTGTGTGTGTGTGTGTGTGTGTGTGTGTGTGTGTGTGTGTGTGTAATTTTGGCCAGATTTTCTCATATCTCTTCAGGTTTTCTCATTGTATATTTGAAGATATGAAAAGACAAAATTTTTGCAAATTTAGCTAAATGATCAAATTGGCTTCTATCTGTGATTCAAAAATAAGAAAATATCTCATCCAAAAATAGAGAGTTTCTGTGCTGGGTATGGGACAAGAGCCAGTTTCTGTAAGGTTTCTTGAACAGGAACAAAGAAACAAAATAATACAACAAACGAAATGGTTAACATCAGGTTACTCTTCTTGCATAGATGAAAGAATAGAGGACTTCCTTATCATGCTGGCTAAAGCTGGCCTGTTTTGGCATTTGGCTATTATGCATCCGTCCTGATTTTTTACTAAGTCAGGTAAACAATGTAATTAAAAACTCAGGGATGCAGAACTTTAGCATGAATAGCTGCATTTTGATTTGGTCTGTTGGGGCACAGTCCAAATAAATGGAATTTTTAAAAATTTGAATTAACAGAATGTTTTTACATTTATCTCATATTTCTATAGTATTTTAGGATTTAATTTTCTATCCTTGATACTCATCTGAGGTTTCCTTAAAATGTCTGAGGACAGTCACCTAATACATACTGGAATTTTATACTTCTAACCTTTCTAACTTTTAGGAATACACATGAGCTTATTTTATAGGGGGAGCTTAAATTCATTACTTTATTACTTGAAAATTTCAGAAAGAAAATATCTTTCTTTCTGAATTTTCTGGGAAGTAGGCAGAATAATCTGGGAGATAGGCAGAAAATCTAGAGACAACTGAGAGAAGAGGGCAATATAATCACAATGTGGAAAAGAGATCAGTGGCAATTTTTTCTTTTAATCCAATCTTGGAAACAGATCATTTATTCACTCACCCATTCTTTAATCCCAGCCACTTGGAATTCCCTTGTGAGTCTCTTCCCTCACCTGTAGTTTATTTCCAAACATATTCGGGAAACATGCACAGAGAACACTACATTACCCTAATCCTATTAATAAAACAATCACTTTAATAGGAAGGAAGAAGCCTGTACGAATCAAAAAGGATGATCAAGACAAATTTCTGTGATTTTTTTTTGTAGCATCGTGCATGGAGGATCCACATGGTTTCCACAGAGCTGGAGTCATTCAGGGAAGCTTCTTATATCGAGAGTGGTCCAGAAGAATTCTACCAAAGATTTAAGAAGTGTTTTTCTACAACTCATATCTTCATAAGTATGAAGGGTAAAGATTCTCAGAATACAGTTCATGGATATCTGATTCTTAACAGGTAAGACAGATACTGTCCAAGAGCATTTCCAACAGGATAATATTGAGTAGTGTATCCTTCCATGCACCTGGAAAGCCAGGAATTAGAGAAAAGTATGAAGATGAGAAAGCAGTGTCATCTGCTATTGTTGCAGTGATGGTACAAGCTCCAGCTTACCAAACTATCAGTGGGCAGCATACTGCCATTACTCAGTGAGGAGCTTTAGAACTAACTAGTAATGATACTCTTGGTGCACAAGGACTGCAGAAAAGATAACGGATTAGAGGAGCCACTCTATTGCTGGTGACGTACACAGTGCACTATCTAGAGACCACTGATGGGCAGAGAATGCTAGCAGCCAGTAACCAGGTTGTGGTACCAGCTGTCACAGAAAATGTGCCATCATCCCAGATTGGCATCCTCTATCAGCATTGTGCCTGGAGCGGGTAGGGCATCTTTCCCAGGTCCAACTGCTCAGCTTTTCAAAAGGCAGTGGAGAAGAGAGAGAGGCTGGCCCAAAAAGAAACAATGAAGCATCATGAGAATATTGTAGAAAGTATAAGGAAAATGGGAACAATTTAGAAAAGAAAATGCAGAACTTGGAAAAGCAAACAACTCTTTCATTAAGGACATAAATTCACTTAAGAGGTTTGTTACGGAAAAAAATAAAATAGATTGTGTTTCAATGTATTTGTTGTGTTTATTTGCATGGCAAGTTTCCTGACATTAGCTTTATTGAAAGAGCTATTTGTTCTGAAGAAAAGCAGCAGGAGTATCTCAGATTAGTACTGAAAAAGCAAGGATACCATAAGGAAGAGTTTGGACTATAATAGGAGCTTCACTTGAATGCTGAGTTATAAAATCTGGTCAGGTAGTGGTGTGCAAGATGTTCTATAGGCAGAAAGAGGCAACGGCTAAGAGAGTAGAATAATTTCCATGGAAAGGAGCCTTGGTTGTTAGTCTAGGATACAAGTAACAGACAGAGAGATGGAAGGAAAAACAATATAGGAACATCTCTAGCCAAATATTTCAGGTATTACCATCTTATCCCTCAAAAGTACTTATCTAGGCCAGGCGCGGTGGCTCACGCCTGTAATCCCAGCACATTGAAAGGCTGAGAGCGGCAGATCACCTGAGGTCATCAGTTCAAGACCAGCCTGGCCAACTGGTGAAACCCCGTCTCTACTAGAAATAAAAATAAAAAATTAGCCGGGCGTGTTGGTGGGTGCCTGTAATCTCAGCCAATTGGGAGGCTAAGGCAGGAGAATTGCTTGAACCGAGGTGGCGGAGGTTGCAGCGAGCCGAGATCGTGCCAGGGCACTCCAGCCTGGGGAACAGGGCAAGAGTCCATCTCACAAGCAAACAAACAAACAAACAAACGAAAAACCAACTTATCTAATGCGGTCCCATCTTCTCCAACCCAGAGAGTGTGAGGCGTGGATTCCTTATTTGGTCCTAAGCATTTGGCTGCATGGCTGAGACAGCTCTTCCTCTCAGTTGTGCTCTATGTCCTTGTTTCTCTGCTGTGATATCAATTGTGGGTGTCAGTTTGAGTGCGGACTTTCATGATTGACACGGGTGGCACTTTGTGGTATGTGTGACGGCAGATCCTCATCAGGACACAGATTCAGAGTTAGTTTCTCAGAAAATGAAGATCTCAGAGGGAAGAGCTGTGCCTAAACTAGCCCCGTAAAATTTGAGAATCAGTCAATTACTCTGCAGAAAAAGAAACACGCCTAAAATTTCACATGGAATTGTCTTCATTGACAAGTGTCTTGCCATATTTTAGTTTAGAAACTGTACATATGAGTAGGTGACTATGAAGTAATGGCAACAGTAACAACAAGTTGATAGTATTCCTAAATATAGAAAACAGCATTTTGCCTTTGTGGAAATAGGAGAGAGGACATTTGCACAGAGGAGCGCCAGGCACCATCGGATGAGGGATGGGTACCAAGACTGGAAATGGTTACAAGGAAATATATAAATAGCAATAGATGATAACCACTTTTAATTTAATTTATTTACCAATCCCCCAATTTAGTGAGGTGTACTTTGTATGTAAGATCTAGTTTTGTGATTCTTATTGTTGAAATCAAAGAAAGTAAATGGTTTTGTATCTGAATTGATGAAAACTCCAGCAGTTGCAGCTAACTTGAGATTGGTGAGAATATCCAGAACCTGAACTGATTCTGTTAAAGCAGGAGGTCATATTGGAGAGGTCACTATAGACTCTGTATACAATCTGGATGGATGTTTTGGGGTCAAATTTTGTATTTCTCAAAAAGCAAAGTGGCCTCAATTAACATCAGAGGATCTGAACATATCTGCTCTGTTTTTGTCCTGTGTGAGATGTTGTGAAGTGGAACAAGGAAGAAAGAAAGAGCACAGCCATGAGCTACCATGGTAAGTAGCGGCCCTGAAACCAGAGTTCTCCAGCACAGGGCTGGTCCTCAACAATGAAATACTAGCTGATACTGGGTGTCTAATTTGCAAGAAGAAGACCAACATACAAAGAAAGAGCCTTTTTACTAAGCATTAGGGGTTATGACAGAAATAAAATTTTTTCTAGAAATGATGAGACAGAAGCTAACCACCAAAATTACTCATGCAGGGAATATTGCCATAATAACCAACGAATGCATGTTTTACATGTTGGGAAGAGTTTTCTTAGGACTTCTTAATTTTCTTAGGACTAGCACCAGAAAAAAGCAAAAACATCTGGAAAAGACTGAATAAAAATTCCTTTCAAGGCCAGACATAGTGCCTTATGCCTTTAATCCCAGCACTTTGGGAGGCTGAGGTAGGAGGAAGGCTTGAATCCAGGAGTTCAAGATGAGCCTGGACAACACTGAGATACTCCATTTCTATAAAAATGTTTTTTTAAAAAATTAGCCAGGCATGGTGGCACACATCTTTGGTTCCAGCTACTTAGGAGGCTGAGGCGGGAGGATCACTTGAGCCCAGGAGTTTGATGCTGCAGTGAACCATGATTGTTCCACTGCATTCCATTCTGGGCAACAGAGCTAGAGCTTTTCTCAACACCAACTAACAAACAAAAAAAGGTATTTTATTTCACTACAATATTTTATTTGTATATATTTACATGTGCACATATATGTGTGTGTGTTGATGTATTTTAGAGTAGAAGACAAACTTTAAGTCACTAGATGGATGACAGTTTGAGCTTACATTCCCAAACTGTAGCATGTGTTAGAATTATCCCCAGGGCTTGCTTTCTAGATATTTCTAAACCCCATCATATAAAGCTTATTGTAACTACAGACATCTAAATAATTATTTATGTTAGCTCTATAAGAGATGCATATCTGAGAGTATATTCTTATAGAAGCAAAGATTTCATTTTCAGTAGAAGCTTATGCTCATTAACAAATGGCCATAAAATGTTTTTTTAAAAGATGATAATTTTAAAAATAATATCAGCAAGCTTTTACCATTAAAATCTCCAAGGGGTTTAGTCCTTTTGATATTTTTCTGTACATGTTTTTGTCTAAATCCACCTTTGTCTATACTTTTTTAGAAATTTTTCTAAAATAAGTCATATTTATTTATTGTATTTTAAAGCTCAAAATGTATTTAAACATTTTATTAATTTAGGTTCTTTTAAGTAATATCTTATTATTTGATATGTTCAGTTAATTACTAGTTGGTAACTTTAGATATAAAGTTTTTAAATGGCAAAAGTCTATTTTATAAATTATGAAGCCTGAGGTTGTCAAACCCTAATTTGATCAATGCACAATTTATACATGTATCAAAATATTATATTGTATGTCATACATATGTGCAATTTTTATATATTGATTAAAAATAAAAATTTAAAAATTATTCAAATAAGTTGTCATTTAAATAAAGGTTTTTTTGATTAGTTTGAATTTAGTAAAAATGCTTTAAATAAAATCACCTGAATATTTTTTATGCACAGTACCTATTTCATTTCCCTGAGTTTAAAATTAAATCAGCCATAGGTGCCAGACATTGAGGCTCTACTTGTCTTTTTCCAAAACCATCCATCATGGTCATTAGCATTTTGATCTTCAAATCTAAAGACTGGTAGAAATTGATCAGTACTGAAGGGATTTACCTGTCGATGAGCCAGGTGAGATGGTAGCAGATCCTAGATTTCAGTGAAGAAAGGGCAGAAATTATCAAAGAATGGAATGATGTATTCAAATATCATATAAAAATACTATCAGACGTGGGAGCAGAAATGAAAGTAGACTTGGGGCCCCAGAAAATCAAACATGAATTTGCCACGTGGGTGTTGTTTAATAATCAATGACAAAAGCCAGGCATGGTGGCTCACACCTGTGATTCCAGCATTTTGGGAGGCCAAGGCGGGCGGATCACCAGAGGTCAGGAGTCCCAGACCAGCCTGGCCAACATGGTGAAACCGTGTCTCTACTAAAACTACAAAATCAGCCGGGCCTGGTGGCACATGCCTGTAATCTGAACAACTCGGGAGGCTGAGACAGGAGAATCCCTTGAACCTGGGAGGCAGAGGTTGCGGTGAGCCGAGATCAGGCCATTGCACTCCAGCCTGGATGACAGAGGGTGACTCCCTCTCAAAATAAATAAATAAATAAATAAATGACAAGATAAACCAGCACTAACCACAACTAGAGGGTGTTTGTAGAGGGCTATTTACAGAGATTAGAAATTGAGCTGATGTAAACAATGGTGGAAGGGTAAATCCTTTCATTGGTCCTCTGTACTGCAGAAACCTAATAAGGGAGGGGCTTTAAGGATCCTATAATACATTGGCCTCCAAAAAGCAAGGCTTATTATTTATAGAGGCATTTGGAATTTGCTAGACTGTGGAAATCTCAGAGAATAACATCTGTTATCCAGAAAGCCCAGAGGACACCCAACTCCTGAGCCAAATGCATGAATTTTCCTGCAAGCACTGTTCAGACCAGTTATAGAATATTCAGGTGAGTATTTCCTTTAATTTTTTTCTTTGGGTATAAAAATTGTGAACTTCTGGACGGAAAGTCCTGGATATTTTACAGTTTTATCTGTAACATGACATCTAGAATTTAATTGGAAACATTTATTGTAGAATATGAAAAGTTCTATGTTGTCCGTAACTTCAGGTTGCATGCAGCCTTGGTCGTCTGCAAAGTTTCCAAAATGCTCAAAGGCACTTTTTTATTTTCCTAATATTCCACTGAAGTTTTTATTTATGTAATGGTATTTTTAATTTACAAAATCTGTTTTGTTGTTTGAATGTTCTTTTCAAAGCCTCTTTTTATTTTTTGATATTTTTACTCTATAAAATAGAAAACATGTGACTTTGTGAAGGTTATACATTTTTATTTATTAATTTATTTTTATTTTTTACTTTTTATGTCACAAAAATTAAAAAATAATAATAAAAATTAAAAATTAAGAATTCATACAGCTTCACAAAGTCACAGGAGTCCATACATTATACTTAAGATCAAAACTTACCCTCAAATGGTTCAAGGATAAAAGGATGTCTTAAACTTCTAAGTATTTTACAAGTGATGATGATAAAAAATAAAAAGTAAACAAATAAAAGATGTATTCTAACACAGAAAAGAGGGCAATCACATACAATTGACAAGGTTAATTTTTTTGAGACAGGGTCTCACTCTGTTGCCTAGTCTGAAGTGCACTGATACAATCAAGGCTCACTGAAGTCTTGCCCTCCTGTGCCCAAGCCATCCTCTCACCTCAGCCTCCAGAGTGGCTGGGACTACAGGCACTACAAGTGTGGGTCTGGCTAAATTTTTGTTTTTCTAGAGATGGGGTCTGTCTATGTTGCCCAGGCTGGTCTCAAACTCCTGAGCTCAAGCAATCTTCCTGCTTCAGCCTCCCAAAGTGTTGAAATTACAGGCGTGAGCCACCGTGCCGGGCCCTGTATAAATTCTTAGTTTTTCCCAGCTTCTTTCTTTCTTTTTTTAAGAGACAGGGGTTTCTCACTTGTTGCCCAGGCTTATCTTGAACTCCTGAGTTCAAGTGATCCTCCCATCTTAGGCTCCTAAAGTGCTGGGATTACAGGCATGAGCCTCCACACCTGGTCGCAGTTTCATCATGGAAGTAATAGAACAGCAAGCATAAAATGACCTCATAGAGATTCAAGGAGAAAAATAAGATATTAATAATAAGTGTAAAACATTCGCGTATTACTTTGCTGGGGCTGCTGTAATAAACTATCACAGATGAAACAATAATTTGCTCTCTCACATACTGAAAACCTAAAATTTAAAATCAACATGTTGACAGAGTTGGTTCCCATTGGGGATTCTGAGTAGAAATCCAGCCCCTCCCTGTCTGCTGGTTTCTGGTGGCTGATGGGAACATTTAGCTTTCATTGGCTTGTGGCAGCATAGCTCCAGTGAGCTCTGTCTCCGCCTCTGTCTCCACATGGCTGTCGATGTGTCTCAGATCTTCCTTTGATTTCTTCTATAATGATACGAGTCATTGGACTTAGGTCCCACCCTAAACCCAGACTAATCTCATTAGGAGATTACCAAGGTAATTACATCTGCAAAGATCCTAGTTTCAAAAGGTCATATTCACAGGTTTCAGGGGTTAGGACTTAGACACATATTTTGGGGGGCCACGCTCTTTAACTGGCAATTTGAAAAAATGTCTGGCTCATAAAAGAGCCACATAACAACAAAAACACAACTGTATTTTTATTTTCGCTGCTTTATACGCATCATCCTAACATTTACAATTGGGAAGACGGTACTTCTTTTCCTAAATTCAGATTCTGAGTATTCCACATCTCTTTTCCCACATCAAGTCTGTGTGACTTCCCCTTTTTCTGAGTTAGAATACATCTTATATTTATTTATGTATTTATTTTTTGTAATCATCACTTACAATATATTTGGAAGTTTGACATCTTTTTATCCCTGAACCATTTCAGAGTATGTTTTGATCTTAAACACAAAGTATGGAATCAAATATTTTTTAATTTTTTTATTTTCCTTTGTGAATGTTACTTTTTTCTTAATTACTCTCCTGTTATATTATTAAGTTTTTTTTTTTTTTAAGGACACTAATGAACTGACTTTTTTTCAGATTTTTGAGGTTAAAAATTCAATAACTTTCAAGTTTACCCTCTTCTAAGTTTTTCACAGTTTATTTTAATGCTTTATTATAAATTTTAATTTTTTATTTACATTTTCATTTATTATGAACAATTTTCCAAAAGTCTTTTTCACATAATAAATTTGATATATGAGCTATTCTTTATTTTATCTTCTACCTCAAATATGGACTTGAATTATTATCCAGTATTTTAAAACATTTTAATCTCTATATTAAGGAATTTGTGTTTTGAGGCATGTGATATTATAACATTCTTCACACTTCTAGTGAATTTTTAACGTCATTCAAAGGCTACATCCTTCTGTACTCTACTGAGAATTAAAAATAGTTCTCAAAAATATTCTCACATATTCTGAAACTCATTCTCAGAATTTCAACCTCCACTGACATCTTAACTCTGTTCTCTTTCCCTTCTAATGCATATTTTCCCCCGAAGGCCCCATGTTACACTCCTTATGCACCCTCTATTTAAGATCTGGTTTAATTTAATGTTGTATGTGTTTGTACACAATTTTACTGAAGTTAGGCTTTGTCTTAGAATAGAAGATTATCCTAAAAAGACAAGTGAAAGAGTTATGAGAATTTGGAGAATTAGTTGGGAAATCATGTCCCAGAGGAATTACTTTAGGCAAAACAAAATTGGTAAAAATAAATAAATAAATAAAATAAGCAGTAGTTATCGGATCTGCCATGTTTTCAAGTTCTATAATGGAAAATGCCAGGTATTTTGGAGGCACTTTCCGGAGGAAGCCAAACTTTCACTGAGGCTTAAAGATGACGAACAGTTAACCAACTGAAATTGAAATGTTTTATAATTGTCATTAAATCCTTGATATTTAAAAGGAGAAGCGGTATGGTTCGCTAGAAAGCATTCATTCCCATGCATGGGTCCTGGAGAATCTTTAATTCAGTCTTTTATCACAGGTTCACATTCCCTCATAAAAAGGTAACAGTTGGATGCATGTCTGGAGGAGCTCTTGGGCTTGTCCTGTTGCATCTTTAACTTCTCATCTGCACCTTTAGCTATGGCTATTTGGGCTGTGCTTAGAAAATGGCGATACTCAGGGCACTGTAGAATGAACAGTCTTTCCGGTTTAGGCATTTCTCCTTCCACTTTAGCTCTTGACTCTGTCTTCAGGGCATTTCTGTTCTATTAAGCTTCTTAAGTGATGAGTGGTCTGGTGTTTGCCTTATGCAACTCAATTTAAGATCGGTTCATGCGAGATCTGGCAGAAAGAAGGCTGGGGTGGGGTGCGGAGATGTTGAATATTGCGCATGTAGCATATGAAAGGCAAATATGGATTTTCATTCAGAAATGGGCTATATTTTATTTATATCCTTAAGAGTAAATTAATTATACAAGGGATATATGGCGAATAGGGTGTAATTTTTTTCATTAATCCCAATGAAGCAGAGTAACTTTCCTTTCTTTCTCCTCAGAAATACAGAATCACACATACTGCAGGACTTCCAGAAAGAAATCATCCACTGACTCTTAAAAGTAAGGAACTCTGTGTTCTTACTCTGGTGTTTGCATAACTGGGATCTTATAAGTAAGCCAAAGACATCAAAATGGCTTTGCCTAGAAGCCAAGGCCATTGGTCCAACGCAGACATCTTGAGGTTACTGGAATGCATGGAGAATAATCTCCCATCTGATGACAACGGCACGTTCAGCTCAACTCAGTCACACATGGACTGGGGAAAAGTAGCTTTTAAAAACTTTTCTGGTGAAATGTGCAGACTCAAATGGTTAGAGATTTCTTGCAGCTTGAGAAAATTCAGCACTTTGAAAAAATTAGTCCTGGAAGCTAAGAAATGTGTTAAAAATACAAACAAAAGCCAAAAAGGCAGGAACCATCCAGACTTTCCAAAGAGGCCCCTTACTGCTTATATCCGCTTCTTCAAGGAGAATTGGCCCCAGTACTCCCAAATGTACCCTGGGATGAGAAGCCAGGAACTGACCAAAATCCTGTCAAAGAAATACAAGGAGCTCCCAGAGCAGATGAAACAGAAATATATTCAGGATTTCCAGAAGGAAAAGCAAGAATTTGAGGAAAAACTTGTTCGATTCAGGGAAGAGCACCCTGATTTAGACCAGAAGGGCAAGAAATCTGATATCTCCAAGAGGATTCAAACCAAAGTGCAAAAGAAAGTTCAGAAAAATATTGAAGAAGTGACGTCTCTTCCAAAAACGGATCAATTTTTCAAGAAGGTAAAATTTCATGGAGAGCCTCAGAAACCCCCCATGAATGGATACCACAAGTTTCACCAAGATTCCTGGTCAAGTAAGGAGCTGCAACATTTGTCCCTGAGGGAGCGCATGGTAGAGATTGGCAGACGCTGGCAGCGCATCCCGCAGAGCCAGAAGGATCATTACAAGAGCCAGGCTGAGTTGCTGCAGAAGGAATACAAAGTGGAATTGGATCTCTGGCTCAAGACTTTGTCACCTGAAGATTATGCTGCGTACAAAGAATCGACCTATGCTAAGGGTAAGAATATGGCGATGATGGGAGGCCCGGCCCCCAGCTTGAAACAAACAGATCCGCAGTCCTCATCAGCAAAGGGTCTGCAAGAAGGGTTTGGGGAGGGGCAGGGGCTCCAGGCTGCAGGAACAGAGGCATCACAGACTATTTGGGTAAACTGTCAGGTCTCCATGGAACCAGAAGAGAACAGGAAGAAAGATGGCGAAGAGGAAGAAAGCAGTAACTCTTTAGACTGCAGCAGTGGGGAAGACATGGAAGTTGATGTCTGAGGGCAGTGACTCTAGTGCAGCTTCCTCAGAGGACTTCTAACTGGGACTCCACCTGACTCAGACTCTGCCTGACTCAGACTCCAGGGTCAGGCAGAGTTTCTCCGCAAAAGCCCATTCATGCCATCCGTGTCAAGGAAAAGGGACTGTCCTTCTGCCTCTTTTTACTTCTTTGCTTTTTTTTTTTCTCTTTTCTTCCTTCCCCGCTCTCCTCCTCTACACAAAGTAGGACAGGTTGGAAAGAAGCAACTTGGTGCAGCACCCTCTTACATCAGGATTACAAACCTGGGAGGGACTCTTTGCGGAGAATAAATATAAGTTTGAGCCAATACCAACCTTATCCTTAAAAAACAGACAAATATCATGCCTTTCCCAGTGAATTTTGTGCAATTAAAGCTTCTGGAATGAAGCGATGATTAGATGTAGGATACACACTGTACTAGACTGAATATTTCTGAAGCAAGAAGCTTTGCTTTACTCATTTTTGTTCTGCTAAAGGCAGTAAGAAGACACCCATGAGCCTGGGACCCCGACCTTCCCTGTGGAAATGTTTTTCAGGACTCCTGCACTTAGTCTAGGCTTGGGGATATTTGATGAAAGGTGGGGTAGGTGTCTTAACAAAATTGTTGTACTCTTGATATCTCACTCCTCCACTCCCTGAAGTAGGGAGTTGGTCACTCGCATGCCTGGGAGTAGGCAGCAATATTTCCGTATATATGTCTGACTCTTAGCTTTCATTGAGACTTTTCTTTCTCATTTCCAAAAAAATGAAAATACAAAATAAAAACTTACCTATTTCATTGGAATGAGCTCCTCCACAGAATCCCTTATGACATCGGGTGCAGCATCTCTAAGTGCCATCTGCATTTATTCTTGAAGCTCCAAATATTTTCTGCTGATTCAGGTGCAAGTGAATCTCACCTTAAGCACTCAGGATTGATAGAAAGATGCACAGAAAGACACATATAGATAAATACACTATTCTGTTTCACTATCTGCTCTATGAATTCATGCACCAATATAACATTGTTTTAATTTTTTTTGGTTTACTAATATGTTTGAAAATCAACCTGAGGTTAGTGCCTTCTCAGTATACCTTCATTCTCTTAAACATTTCTGGCTATTTTCATATTTTGTTCTCATGAATATAAGCATCACAGAAGTAGATGTATACTTTTTGTATGAAAACCACTGACTATCATGTGTTTATTTTGTCCCTAGATATCTTAATAAATTTTTATTTAAAAGTTTTTTCTAGGTAAATAAGTTTCAGAAAATAATGAAAATATTTACCATTTTATACCTCTAAATGTATCAGATTAAAGTATCCAGGAGAATGTTAAGCAATAATAAAGTAATATGTTCTTGGCTTGCTTCTGACTTTCAATCTAATGCTTACAGAATTTAAAATCATGAAAATTATGCTGATGTGTACATTTGAAATAAATTATAAAAAAAGAAAATTGCTATTTACTGTTATTATTATTTGGTTAACTTTATAATGTATATCGATTTTTAAAAATTTATTTTGTTAAATTTATCATATATTTATGTAATTTTTCCTTAGTGTATTAGTCATCATCCTTCAGAGAAACAGTAGCACCAACATAGAGAGAGAAACAGAGTGACAGAGGGAGAGATAGAATAATACAGAGAGGAGACAGAGAGGGACAGATACGGTGTCTTGTCGCCCAGGCTGCAGTGCAGTGGTGCGATCTGGGCTCACTGCAACATCCGCCTCCTAGATTCAAAAGATGCTCCTGCCTCATCCTCCTAAGTAGCTGGAATTACGGACACCCGCCACCACGCCTGACTAATTTTTGTATTTTTAGTAAAGACAGGGCTTCGCCATGTTGGCCAGGCTGGTCTCGAACTCCTGACCTCAAGTGATCCGCCCACCCAGAAAGACCAATTTTATGATGAAGAATTGGCTCACAAAATTGTGGAGGCAAAAAATACCATGATCTGCAATCTGCAAGCTGGTCAGTTAGGAAAGCCAGAGGTGTCATTCAATCTGAGTCTGAAGGCCTGGGGACCAGGGAAGCCAATGGTGTAAACCCCAGGTCAAGGGTAAGAGAAGAGAAGATGAGATGTACTAGCTTAAGAAGTGAGGCAGGAACAAAAGGGTCAAACTCCTCTATCATCTGCCCTTTGTTCTATTCAGGAGCTACTGGGGAGGGAAACCTACTTTACAGAGACCAATTCAAGCTGACACATAAAATTTACTATCACACTTTCATTTTCTTACAGATTCTGGGGATTTAGGCATTTTCACCATTTTTTCATGAATTCTAGATGGCTGATGGGTTGAATTTATTTAGAAAATGTATTTGCATATTATGCCCCTTGTTTCGCTTCTTAACATCAAGTTTGCAAAATTAACTTTAAAGATCTGATTCTTTTTACTTCCAATTTAGAAGATACCATAATTCACATTTGCCACTAAGTGGTAGTAAGGCCTATAGCTCAGGCTAGATGGTGAGATGTACAAATGCAGTTGGGGCTTTGCTTGTGATTTTAAATACAGCGTTTTAAAATTCATTCAGCATCTACTCTTTTTTAAGTCTTGCCCTCCTTATGTGTGACACACAGATGAAAGGTACAATTCTTGACTTCGTGACACTCAGAGTTAAAGATGGTATTATTTGGTTTAAAAAGCAGAAGTACTGACAAATAGAAACTGAACTTCTGAGTTTGCTATTATAATAAAATATCATTGGTTAAAATAATGATCTCTTCGCTTTTGTTACCTCATCTATACATTCATGAAGTGGGAATAAAATTACAGTGAGATTAGGCCAGGCATGGTGGCTCATGCCTATAATCCTAGCACTTTGGGAGGCTGAGTGTGGCAGATCACTTGAGGTCAGGAGTTCGAGACCAGCCTGGCCAACATGGTGAATCCTCCTCTCTACTAAAAATACAAAAATTACCGGGGTGCAGTGACACTTGCCTGTAATCTCAGCTACTCAAGAGGCTGAGGCAAGAGAATTGCTTGAACCTTGGAGGCAGAGGGTGCAATAAGCCCAGATCATGCCACTGCGGGCCACTCTGGGTGACAGAGCGAGACTCCATCTCAAAACAAAACCAAAAAAAAAAAACCAAAAAAATTACAGTGAGATTACATATAGGTAAAGGTTACACTTAATGCTTATAAAGTACCTATCTCACAGTAGATTTACAGAAAATGTTAGGTTGATTTTCACATTTTTTTTCCTTTATTCCTTTCATCATCCATATTTCTCCTTTATTTAATTCCAACAAAACCTTTAAGTAATGCATATTACATAACAAGATATATTACATTCAATAAATAAAAATTCAATGAACGATATTTGTCTGCAATGCATAAAGACCTGCACCCTTGCTAGAATTTGATCCCAACTTTGACCTAAGTACCAGAAATTTTAAAAAATAGTGTTGATTCTATGGGTGTGTGTATATGTATGTGTGTGTATATATATGTATGTGTATATGTATAGGTATACACACTATATATATATTTGTACATAATAATGGGAGATCCTTGAATGCAATGCAATTGATAGAAAGTACAATACAATTTTTTAAATGTAAAAATGTTTCTGCAAGGCAATTAAATCAAAATTTATCCTTGATAAAACAAGTATTAATTCAAAAAAGAAGTATTGGAAGTGGAAGTGACGTCCAGACAGAGGAAACAGCATACCGAAACACTCGAAGAGAAGAAGGCCGTGATGCCTGTGGAGAAGCTACTTCTACAATTCTTTTGTTCTGGTCTTCTGTTACACACAGCTCATGGAACCTGCTAAACACATTGAGATCCAGTTTAGAGGCATTCCTTGTTTGCACATTTTAAAAATTTGCACCTTAAAATTCTGAAAAGTTAGAGAGGTGCAGTATACTTACAGACCATTTCCAAACCTCTAAAGAAAAACAGTAAAATCTAGAATAACAAAATCAAAATTCATGAACAATATCTACAACAACACTGAGTGACAATGTACCCTACAAAAATCCCAAATATGAATAGTCACAGACAAATCAGGTGCAACAGCAATATCCATGAGGAATCAGAATCCTTTCAGGATGAAGCAGAGAGGGTGAACAGAACACATGTAGATTTGAGAACGCCCCAAGTCAGCAACGAGGATTCATTAGAAAGTGTGCAAGGTAATTAAAAAAGAGCTGCTGAAACTGAGTAGGGTGGGAGTTTGCACACATCAATAAGCAAGAGTGCAGGATAAGATAAAAAGCGGCTGGGACCATATGGCTTCTACAGCTCTTAAAATAACCAGCCCAAATTCTCTTCCAGGATCAAATTCCATACTGAGAAGAATATACTGGGAGTAAACTACATATTAAACAAGGCTGACACAATAGGATCAAAAAAAGCGAAGGCCCCCATAAAGTAAGTGGAGACAGAAGCAGAACCAGGACAGAGCAAAAAGTCGACGCTCTTATTATTGAATACCTTATGGAATCAACAGGAGAGCTCTAGAGTCAGGATGCTAGGAAAGCTATCTTGACCGATCTTTACCTTATAAAAGTTCAAGTTTCGTTCCATACAAATAGCATCAATAGGACATGCTGTTGTTGTTATTGTTCTTTGTTTCTTATTTAAGGAGAGGGCAGAGGGAAGAAAATGCCTTTCCAAAAATAGTATGCCTTGATATGACTGTTCATGAAGTAACAACTAGCGTTCTTAAAAGAACCTTAGTGCCAGGGATACAGTGAGCTTATACTCTTTGGCTGCAACCTTGACAGAAGTGTCTCTGGGCAGTCCTCTTGGTTTCCAGCCCAGCAGAAATCTCCGCCCCACCTCACTGGATCCAGCTCCATCACTGTGCCTGGCCACCTCCAGCTATTCCTGAAGGTCAATTTCTGCAGTATGTCCTGATCCTCTCCTCCTCCAAGCACTGCTCCTGGTCCCTGCAGTATCCCTCCAGGACCCTACCTAGCAGCCTTTTTGCCCATCCTTGCTCCAAAACACCTCATCCAGGAATGTATTATAAGCCTGGTGTGGTGGCTCACACTTGTAATCCCAGCACTTTTGGTGCCCCAGGCAGACAGATCACTTGAGGTAAGAAGTTCGAGATCAGCCTAGCCAACAAGGTGAAACCCCCTCTCTACTAAAAATACAAAGATTAGCAGAGTGTGGTGACGCATGCCTGTACTCCCAGCTACTTAGGAGGCGGAGGCATGCGAATAGCTTGAACCTGGGGGGCAAAATTTGAAGTGAGTGAGATAGCAGCACTGCACTCCAGCCTGAGCAACAGTGACGACGAGTCAGAAAGAAATACCATAGGTAGAGCTAGAGGTACATATCTATCTACATATCTATGTATCTATGTCTTTAGCTATATATAATATATATATGTATATTATACATATACATGAATATATGTGTTATATATTGTTTAATATGTAGTTTACTTCCAGTATCATATATAATACATTACATATATATATTGCATATACGAGAGAGAGATCTGAAATGTATAGAATCCCTAATAACAAGCAGCTACCACCCCCATCTTTCACAATGGCTAATTACCTGACTGTGTGGTTTACTCTCAGATATGGTACTGTGGACCATGAGGTGTCTCCAGCAAACTATCAGCAAATTCAAGTGCAAGTTTTTGGCTTTAGAAAATGTTTCAATTAAGTCAGCTACACTTGGGAAAGGAGGTTAGAAAAAGGCACCCAAAGGGTTGATCTTGACCATTCCTTATTAGTAGTGGGAAAATTCTGGAGATGAACGGATGTTTGGGGTGGCTGTCTTGCTCTGACAGGAGTAGGGATGGGGGATGGATTTCTCCTCTATTCCTCTTGTGTTAATAATGGCGGGAGATTTTGGTTACTGGGAATAGTATCTACATGAGCTGGATAAAGTGTGAGCACTAAAGGTCTTGGGAGGGTAAAGAGAGGGGCTGCAGGGAGTGCAGGGAGGAGGAACTAAGGCTTTTTCAGAGAGTGTGCAGAGAGAAAGCAGTCAGCTTCTCTGTCCATCATCCACAGCTCCAGGATGAAAGAAAACTCTGCTTCCTCCCTGCACATTCTTTGTATGTGTAAGTGAAAGTGGGTGGGTTAAATTAGTGATCTGAAATGATTATTTTCCAGAAAGACAATTGAACCGCTACCAAAATATGTAAAGGCAGCTGGGGCTTTGCGAGGCCACCCAACCCAACCTCCATATGGGGGAATGAAAGGGGAACCAGCTGTCCCCAGTTCTGGAGCTTTCAGGTTAATCAGGAAAGTGCCAAGGAGGCAGTGGAGGGGTGGGGTTAAATAAAACACCTTCTGTAATCCATGTATTAATGGGCCAGGCTAGGAAAGAAAAACTGGTAAACATGAGTTGATAGAAGAAAAATATGAGAGAAGGTTTTATTTTATTTTTAAAAATAATTTTCAGAAACCAAGTTTGTATGAGTTTTACAGAAGAAAGGACTAGAAATAATGGGAATCAAAATATGTGGGTTTAGCAAAGGAAGTTCGTGGTCAGATAAAGAATGTAGTTCAAAGGATATTGGTGGTGAGATGAAGAACATGGTTTGTGTAAACTGTTGGGTATGAAAGATTTCATTGAGTTGAAGAAAGATGGAAAGTTTCACAAATGAGTACAGCGAACATACTCATGTGGTCAGGAATATGCTTTGTTATGGACAAAGGAGATAGCACAAAAATCAAGTGAAGATATTGGGTCAATGTAGCTATTTAGTTTTATTTCGAAACAGTGGGAGTAAATAAAGTAGGTTTTAAAATTGAGAGAAAATAACAAAGAGAAGGCGAGAACAAGAAAGTGAGAGAGGAAATTAATATTGGAAGGCGATTGTCTGTTGAATAATGTCTCTGAGAATAGCATGGAAGTCAGCTTCTACGTGTAGGGCAAAGCCTTAGAAAAGAAGAAGCAAGTTGCACTAATGGGGTCAGGCTCTGGTTAGCAGGTAGTTTTTGAATTGCTAAAAGAAAAAATTTTGGAAACATCTTATGTCATTCTATGAAGTAATATTCGCTACTGTTTTTGAGAATAAAGAATCAGCGTACAGGTAAAATATTTGAGAATAAAGAAACTAAACGGATTTAGTAATGAGGTTTTTGTGTATTATAAGATAATTAATTATCAAATCATAAGCTACCATTTTTAAATCAAGTGTAGATACTTGAGGGCAAAGAGTTGAAGGCCAGATTTTGACTTCTGGTGCAAATACATATATACATACATACACAGAAAAGAAGGAAAGAAAAGGAAGAAACGAAAGAGAAACCAGTCTCTAATTTTTGGTTCATTCATTGCAACAAATTGCTAAATATCTTAAGATAAAACAAGAAATAAAAAGGCATGAATAAAAGTAGACTATGTGTTCCAATGATTTCATTATTACTTCAGGGTCATGTGAATCTACAGAGGAAGATGATTCATGCTGTGTATTGCAGAGTTTGTCATTTGCTTTATGAGGAAGAGGAATGTCACTTGGAGAGACTGGAATAGGAAAGCAAAGAGAAGTAAAGACAGTAAAGACAGAATGAAATGAAAGGAGAAAGCCGTAGGAGGAATGTATAAGAAACTGAAGGAAATGTACCATAAACCAGACCTGGAGCTGCTCCAGATTAGGACTGAGAACAAGAGAGTCCACTGGGAAAAATGACCTCATTCTCTTTGCCTTCTGTGATGTGTTTGGAATGATGCTTTCATGATGCTTGAAAGTGAATTGCTTGTCTAGTAACAAAAGAGACAAAGTCAGTTTTTCTTGATCCAGGAGCAAAACACAAACAAACAAAAACAGTAGAAAACACCCCAGAAAAAAATTTCCTTTCAAAATTCATTCAATTGCTGAAAAACTGCAGTAAAAAAGTTTATTTGAAGCTTTTTGAATTTGTATTTAAATATATTCAGATATTTAGAAATTTGGGAATCCATGCAATATATTTCCTCGATGGCCATTTCCTGGATACCAATTGCTATAAACTTTGGGCTCACCCATCCTCAGGAATCTAATAAATTAAGCCTTCACTATGAATTTTGTGATGAATGCTAAGACTTTCTCTATTCTTTCTTACCTAATTTTAGAAATGTGTTAGAAAGGTAAATTTCTTCCTATATTCAAGTTTTGAGAACTGTAACAGTGATCAGTCTCATACTGAAGTGGGAACATAGTTTCTTATGAAAATGTACCCTCCTTCATAGTATATTTAGTCTTCCCCTTCTTAAAGGGTAGAAAGATTTTGTTTGTTTGTTTGTTAGGCAGGGCTATTATTTTCAAGGAACTATAGAGAAATCACGTAGAGAAAATTACCATTTCCAATTTTAATTGTCAAAGTGTATAAAGAAATTGACATAACAGCCCCAAATTACGCCAGGACTTATGGGGGAAGGGTAAGTATTTCTGACAGTGTATGGTGAAAGCAGGGTGTAAAGAAGCAAAAGAAAAGACCCTCAAGGATTTGGGGCTTTTGTAGGTAGCAGATGGTGGATTCCAACTTCAAATGGAAAGGCTGTAGGGTGCCCTTAGGGAAGCTGGGTCTGAGGAAGCAGGATGCCTGCCTCAGGTAAGCTTGTCAAGCCCCAGCTTGTGGTTACTGACACTCAGTATTACAGTGGTGTATAACAATACACAAAATAGTTTGTATAATCATCCACGATATTAAAATCATTAGAGGAATATTTATAACAACAGCCACAAAGTCAACTGGCAACTAATTTCACTGGATTTATCCCTTTCTCAAGAGATACTCTGGCAGAGAATTCTCACAAAGAAATCTTTCAAAAGCATATGTGGATTTTCTTTTACTTTATTATACCTATGCATGCTTCAGTGAAAAATCCGTAAATCGGAGACAAAGTGGTTATTTAAAATAAGAGTTATTATTTACATTATTTTTCTGAGAATAAGAGCAAGCTGCTTTTGCTACTCACTTCGAATTATTAAAAATTCTACAAATTTAAATGTTCTAGGGCATGTGAGCTTAGCAATAATTTCTGTTCTTTATAGATTCCAAAAAATATTGTAATTTTTCCCCATTTTTCTGGTTCAGGATTTGCTTGTTATGAATATGGAGTAACCCTTGAACATCAGTAAACTTCACGAGTATTCCTGCTGTCCTGACCCATATTTCCAGTGACAACCTGACATATGTAGACACTATGCAAAGCCCACCTCCATTAGAAGTTTATAACACTGTGTTTTCATGTGACTGTTTTCTTATTCCTGCAGCACATATTTCCCGGGATAATAAAATAACCACTTCTTGCATCCCCCTCGTTTGAAGTTCTGAGACAGCTACTCTTTGGTTCTGATGATCTCAGCATTGCCCCAGCTCCAACAAAATCTGTTTTCTTGATGGCAAGCCCTGCCATTCACTTTTGAAGATATTACTGAGAGGTGGATGTTGGGCAGTGTTGGAACTGGGCTGTTGGATTTTGCAACGATTCTTGGACAATAAGAAATGACATGCTGGTTAACTCCAAGAATTTTTTTCTACATTTCGTGTCAAGAAGGCTACTGGTGTCATCTCAAGACCTCTTCCTCACTATTACCTCAGTATACAGAAAGGCCTCTAGGACAGATAGGGATGTTTCTAGATTATGAATCTGGTATGGTAAGCTTTGTTAATGTGGCCAACAGGTTTCTCATTTGTAGCCTCTCAGGTTCTTTCCCTTACACTCTTAGACGTTTGCACTCACAGAATCAGGGATAGGTCAGTAACATGACTAAAGGTATCAGAAACACCATCTTCTGAAAATGCTAACCTACTGACTACTTGATTTTCTTTATCTGTTTCTATAAAATTTGTACCATTTTTAAATTGCGGAGGTATACATTTGTTTTGATTTTCATTAAACTACTCTCTCTTAGAATACTGTGCATGTCTTTTCTTTTATGCTGTATCTTTTTTTTCCCCTAGATTTCCAAGCCAGCCCAGGTAAATGAATACCTGCGTGTGTTTATCCAAACTGATGGGTTAATGCAAGAGCACGGGGTTCTTCCCCTTGAACCGGAATTTCCTTTTCTCTGTTCCACATCTGCTAAGTCACATTTCATCAAGTGTAAGTTCCAATATTTCTTCAGGGAATTCTTTCTTTAGCTCCTGGGCTAGATTAGGCTATTTGTTTTAAAGACTCAGAAAACCTTATACTTTTCTTTGTAAAACTCACAATGTAATAGTAGGCTTATTTTCTGCTTTTCAAATTACAAGAAAAGGATTGTGTTTGTACTACATACAGTTATATTCCAAGAAAGTAGACAATGGTTAAGATATAACTGATATTCAATAATTGTCTGTTTGAATAAAAGAATAAATGCACAAACTAATTGATGAAAACATATGATACAACTATTTAAAAGGCTACCAAATTTACCCCTGTATTACTATTGATTTTGGCTACTGAATGTAACCAAAATCAACAGGGATACTGAGAAATATTATTTAATGAAGATATAAATTGGATGCTTATCAAATTGATAGGCTCAGTCAATTTTCTTTAGCTCAGGAACAAACTATTGATGGACACAGATCTTAACAGAATGACAATGATACAGATAAAAGACTGAAAACCTGTTAGGTTTTAGTAATTTCACCGATGGCATCCTACAGACAGTTACCTGGGAACATGTCATTACCAGAATAGAAAGTAAGACTCACTTTTTGCTTCAGAAAATACAGAATACTCAGAAGCCTCATTACACTTTAATAAAATTCCAAATTTATTAAGGTCTTTGAAATTTTTAAGACACATGTGCAGTAAAATATCCTTATTATCAGAAATATGTATATTTTGGTCATGTTAACTTGGTATGAAGCCTTTCCTTAAGTATCGACTGGAAATTGATTCCAGGACTCCCCACAGATACCAAAATCTTGGATGCTAATAATCCTCAGATGTCCTTACATAAGATGGTGAAGTATTTGCATGTAGCCTAAGCACATCCTCCAATGTACTTTAATTATCTCTAGATTACTTAAAATACTTAATGCAGTGTAAATGCTATGTAAGTAGTTGTTACACTATATGACTTAGGGAATAATGACAAGCAAAAAAAAGTCTGCACATGTTCAGTGAAAACGTAATCATTCAATTCTTTTCCTGAAATTTTTAAATCCATGATGAGTTGAATCCATGGATGCAGAACCCTATCATATGGAGGGCCAACTGTATATCAAATATCATATTTAATGGTGTATTTTCTAGTATTTAATTTAATTACTGACAATATGGCACACAACAAACATATCAAAAGTTTCTGATATGTGTTTTTTGAATTTATTTAAAGCAAGAAAATAATGCCTCCTTTAATGAGGATTGCTGAGGACAAAGTCTAAAAAAGGCTGACTCCATCTATAAGGAGTAACTCTGATCTACAAGTTTAATGACAGAGAGGATCTCTGAGTTGTTAGTCCACTGAATGTGGGACATAATTGTCAACTTCCTGATCTGTGAAAACAGTCTCCAAGCCACACACGCATTGAATGGTAAAGGATAAAAATCTAACTAACTAGGAAGGCTTAGGCACAACTTTTCAAATACAGATTTAGGTAGAAATAGAGAAAAATAGACATGAATATTGCTGAGTTTCATGTTTAGCTGAATTCATAGTAAATATTTATCATCATGAATATGTTCATCTCAGAAGCCAAAAGCGTACCTACTGTCACTGGAAGGTTGCATATATATGCATATATATGTGTGTGTGTATATAGATATGTATATATATAAAATACATATATTTCAAAGCGGTCATTCATATATATTTTTTCAAGCAGTAAGCTAATTTTCCAAGGACTATTATTATAGATACAGAAAATATACATATATACATGTATATTATATATATATATAGTCCCAGCACTTTTAGAGGCTGAGGTGGGAGGATCACTTGAGCCAGGAGTTGGAGAGAAGCCTGGGCAACAGGGTGAGACCCTGTCTCTCCAACAACAGCAACAACAAAATTACTCAGGCATGACAATTCAGCCTGTAGTCCAGCTATTTGCGAGGCTGAGGTTGGAGGACTGCTTGATCTGGGGAGATCGACTCTGCAGTGAGCTGTGATCTCACCACTGCACTCCAACCTGGGTGACAGAGTGAGAGCCTGTCTCAAAGAAAAACAAAACAAAACAAAACAAAAACAAAAACCTGATTATTTATCCATTCTTCCTTATTGCTCTAATAGCTGTATTCTAACATACAATGAGATTATATACAAGATGAGGATGGTTAAAAGAGTATAATGCTATTAAAATATAAGTGGCTACAGAATTGTATGTTTGCATTACTGCTGTCATTGGAATACAGATCCTGTCACCTTGGTAGTCAGCATAGTACCCAATAGGTAGTTTTTAAAAAATATATTATCATCATTATTATCATTTATTAATGTGGAGAATAGCCTTCCAAAGACAGCTGCAAATGTCCTTGTCACACAGAGGTAGCAGTCATCAGGAACTCTGCTGACCGATGCTTTAGGTGCCTGTTTACAAGGAAGACATTCTGGAAAAAAAAAGTCAGGAAACTTCAGGGTAAAAAAAAACAACAACAACAACAAAAAACACACCTTTCTTCCAAAGTAAGTATTTTCTGACACTCACACCTTCAGGCTGTTGCCCCTGTTGGAAGTGAGAGAGTGACTAGTTACTGGCAGTGTGACACCATGAGCACGCTCCTAGGCTAATGGAGCTGACTGAAGAGCTCCCTCCAAGACAGGTTCCCTGCAGCCCTCCCCTTTCTTTCTTCTGAAAATGTGTATCTTTCTTTTCAAGCCACGACTTAAAGTCTTATTTTGTTCCTACTCTTAGAAGCAGTCAAAAAGAGCCCCATACCAGCCATTTTATCAATCAATGAATTTTAAAGCAGAGGGATAGTAAGGCATTATTTGTCTCTCTGGTCTTGGTTCCTTTTCTGCATACTGCAATCATTCAACTACATCTCACACTCTACCATGTCCACGACACCACTTATGACTAGCGCCTAGAAGACTGAACATCACTTGTGCCTACGTGCAGATAGAGAGAAAGTCGTCTGGTCACGTTACCACTTTGGTGGAAGGCACTCTTAAAAAATTCAACGGCCAGGTCTGCTATTATAAACACTGGGTCAAAACTGTGGTTGACTTCAAAGTGTTCTCAGAAAGTTTGATAATACACTATTAAAAGACAGTTTTCCACCTGAAAACCTCACTGGTGGCAACCTTCAATTGGCCTCTGCATTTCCTCTGAGCAGAAGCATCCAAGAGACGGAATCGTTTGCATGAGGAGTTCTTACTGCCACTATGGTTGTTAGAAAACATGGAATGATCCCTCTGCCCTCCAGGTGATTGAAAGCTATGCAAAACAAGGTTGTTTCTTCCTGAAAGGAAGGAAGGAATGGGTAAGAAAACTTTTAAGGCATAAATAATATAAAAGGGCTCACACTTTAAGACACATTGACATGACATTATGCTACAAAAAAAAAAAAAATAGTCATTTTCTCTGATTTGAATTAAGGTCCTTCAAACAGTTCACTCCCAGGCCTGTTTTGTGCAGTTAGTTACAGGATTGAAGTTGGAACATGACTGGTTGTTTGCACATCCTCCAGTTTCCTGGAGCTGCTGGAGGACCCCTGAGGGGCTGTGCAAAGGAACACCAGGCGGAGGCCATGTTGTCTCTTCAGCACAGTCCTCTGAGATAGGTGGCAGAATAAGAGGATTCCAACGTAAAATGTTGCTGTCTGTTTCTGAATAGACACAGCTGTCTCCTCTGCTGAACTCTTCTGGATTTTCTGCACGATCACAGCTGACATCGTTTCTATTATCCTGACAGCACTTTTTCCTCCTCTGTAATAACATACTTTGTGGATGAACCAAAATCACCAAAAACTGCCACGGATACTGTTACAGGGCCACTCAAAATAATACCAACGCTATTGTTGGCAATGGATTGGTAGAAACCCAAAAGAGAGAAGTTCAGAGAAAGCATTGTCAAAGTCCCCTGATGAAGCTTTGTATGTTCCATATTTCTATCCTTTTTTCCATTATGCAACCATGAGCTATGAGTGGTCACAGGTTTGGCAGAACAATGTAGTTCTACAGGTCCACCACCTTTCTGGACGGTAGAGGTGGCTCAGAAGTAAAATAAGGTGCCAAGTCTGAGCTCATGGAAGAGCAGAGAATCATGACAGTAACATATAGCAGTGTCCATATAGATCCAAGATTCACATGCAGAGCGCCAGATTACAGAAGCAGGCAAGGCAGGCTTCCAGAACAAAACTCAAGCCTTGGTTCACTTTCCAAGGTACTACAGTTCAGGGTAATCAGACGCATTCCTTAACCTTGACTCCTTCCTGCTTACTAAGACTTTGATCAGGGACAGGCTTCATGCTGTCCACAGGGGGTCTCCGAAACTCAGAGTAACAGTTGGCTTACATCTTCAGTGATTCAAGTCTGCAAGGTGTATACGATTGTGCTTCTGGGGGAAAGCAGAGATGCCACTTTCTGTACTTACAATGGAGTTCACTTCAGTGCTAAAAGCACATCATAGCAGTTCTGCTTGTAATAAACTCCGAACTGGCAATCTGCCTTTGAGTTGAGCTGTTCTCCTCCAAGATAAGCTGTTAAGTCATGCCTTGACTTTAGAGCTCTCGGCCGGGCGGGCTAAGCATCCAGAGGTCCTGTGTGGCAGCCGGCTGGGAAAGCCACTCTCAGGTCCTTCCCACTGACGCCTGCCTCAGCGACTATGGTGGCGGCTATGGTGGCAGCGGCTGCGATCGATCCGAAGGGGCCCCTCCACGCACCACGCAGAGCAGAGGAGGGCGTGGTGTCTTGCAGGCCGGGGCGCAGGCGCTGGGTAGGTCAGGCCGGCGCTGGGTTCTTGTTCTTCTGGCATCTTGACGCTGGAGCTGGGCATCAGGGCTCAGGGTAGGGGACCTGGGGCGCGCCCCCGCGGCAGCACTCCTCCAGGCAGAGGCGAGTGGGCATGCAACCGGGCGGGCTCATGGCTGCCAGGAGCATGCCAGGAGCAGGAGGAGGGATCCTGTGAGAGACAAGCGGGGCTGGCTGTAGAGGCCGCCCCAAGTTAAGTAGTTTTTTTAACCCATCCCTCTCCCTCCACTCTCAAGTAGATCACAGAGTCTATTTTTCCCATACTGATGTCTCTGTGTGTTCAATGCTTAGCTCCCAATTATAAGTGAGAACATACAGCATTTAATTTTCTGATTCTGCATTAATTTGCTTAGGATCACAGCCTCCAGCTCCATCCCCATTGCTGTAAGAGAGTTGGTGTGCCCAGAGTAAAGCCCTCCATTTAAGCTCCCATTCACAACTACACTGACTCCACACAACTACACTGACTCCATTCACAACTACACTGAGGACAGACCTTATGGTGAAGGTGGGAACAGCCACTGCTGAAGCCTCCATTGCTCAGTAAGCCTCCATGAACATTTCCATTTATCTCATTTGCTCCTGAGAGAGTGGTGCATTACATCATCTGCCCATTACTATCTGATCCTTGTTAGAGGTATCCTGGAGGGTCATATTTCTCTGTGATACTCTGCTGGTGATTCTTCCACAGGCACATTTCAATGAAAACCATAAGAATGAGAGCAGCTCACCGGGCAGGAATGCCCTCCCCTCAGCTAGGCCCCTGTGGTCCAGCTCAGAGCAGCAGGAGTCAGGGCGCAGGAATCCTCTCCAACCAGTGCCAGGGCCCTGGAGTGGCTGCCTTCCTGACAGCTGTTCTTGGGGAAGTGCCAAGGAAAAAACCCAGGCCCAGGGCTTTTCAGCAGACTCAGGATTGGCTTTTGTTCTTTGTGGCCTTGGAATGCCAGCGGTTCCTGCTGTGGGCACAAACCACGGAACAGGGCCTATCCTCCCCAGCTCCTGGCAGTGCCCAGGGACCGTTGAAGGGACCAGGGACTCTGCAGGTTTGAGTGGGGCAAGGGAATGAGGTTGAGGCATAGAGAAGATTCAAGAGATCTAACTGGCCTTTTGCTTACCCCAGGAGGGCTTCTGGCACATTCTGAGTGGAGCAAACTTGGGTGCTTCACCCACTCCTTCATGGGGCTAGGCTCACTACAGGGCTGTGTCCTCTTGTGTCATGTTGTGGACCACACAGCGCCTGCCTTCCCTGCATCTGAAGGAGCAGCCTGGAGGGCTTAGGGATCTGGAACCCCATTTTCCTCTCTATGCTTCAGTGGCTATCCTTGCTGCTTGTGGCCCCCACACCAGGGTGGACATACCATTACCCCGAGGGAATGCTAAGCATGGTATTTCCTTCTAACAACAACAGCTACTACTACTGTAATTTACTAAGTATTACTTAATGCCAGGAACTGTGGAGTGCCTTCTACACAGCCCCATTTATCTTTCACAACACCCAGTGAAGCCAGGGCTTTGAGGCAACTGTGCCGCAGAGGGTGCTCTGGGTCACCCATTTGCTGAGCAGCAGAACCAGGATCTGAACTCAGGTCCATCTAACACCTGAACCAGCATTCTCTTCACTACCCCATGGAGTAGCTCCAAGGCATGGACAACTGTAATAACTCCAAGGAAGCATTAGAATAAACTAGAAAATAAACTTAAAAACAGTGTCAGTGTTAGGGGCCACTAGTGGACTGTTGAGAAGAAGCTTGACCCCAGTAACGAGATGTATGATTTTTAGGCCCACAGAGTGGGTAGGTAACTGCAAGAATGTAAAGGAATCAAAGGCTGGTGTCATGGTGAATCCCATCGCTCTCCGACTGAACTCCTACTGGGCTTGCAAAGCACAGACACAGAACACACTTGTGGCAAGAATGAGTGAGTCATCCATTTACACATTTTCTAAACTTGTTTTAAAATTCTTTCTATTTTTAGGCCTACCATATTTTATGTCATGTAGCGTTTCCTTTTATTTGTTCCAAACACCACTCCTTTGAACCTCCTGGAGTGTGCTGTGTCTCTGGTAATTTCTGTCCACTTTGTCCACATTCCCTGCACTTTATAGATTTTGATCCCATCTGCTCTGAGATTTTATTTTTTAAGTAGAATCACTTGCTCCAGTGAAGATGGCCTAGAGTCTTGAGAGAATGATTTTTTTCCTATTTGGGGTCTGGTACCCTTTATTCCATAATGCAGAGAGACCATAGGGCTCACACTGCTGGGCTGGGAATCTGGTGGCCAAAGCCAGAACCCTGGCACATTCTCATACTGGCTGTGTGACCTTGTGCCAATCACTCAACTTCTCTGAGCCAAAGTTTCTATGTCTGAAGACTGAGACAAATAATGGCACTTCTCTTGTACGATATTATGATGTTTAAGGCAGACAAAGTGTTTGGAGCACAGTGAGTGCTCAATAAATGTTAGTGGCTGAAAGTCAAACTAGCCACAAGAAAGATGGCAGAGAAGCATTGCGCATGGACCTTGGTGAGGTGTCACAGTCGTTATACCAGGGATACCGAGAGACAGAGAGAGGTCCCAAAAATGGCAGTGGGGCAAGGCGGCTGGGGAGAAGGAGCAATGAGGACAAACTGAGGAGGTGGTCTCTCAGGTGTGAGTGACCTTATTCCTCCCTTCCATCCTAGATCTGACTGTGCACTCTCTGGGGCTCAGGAGTCTTCTCTTACGGCGTCCAAGACTACAGTCACAGACTAGAGCCTACTCCAGCAGCTCAATGGGCTGCCAAGTTCTACTGTCTGAGAACTCTCTGAGTTCTGAGAGAGTGTTCCATGCTACCAGGGACCTGTGACTCTGGAGAGCAGAATCCAGAATAGAAGATACCATTCCCATGGCTTCCAGAGCCATGGCGTTCCAGGCTCAGTTTCTCCATGAACCCAGGAGTTGGAGGTTGCAGTGAGCCAAGATAGTGTACTCCACAAAAAAAGATTGTTCTGTAATGAACTGTATGTATAAATATTTTCCTGGAGAGATGAGAAGTGACAAAGGGAACAGTGGGAGTACATGTTGGGCACCTTTAGAATGAATATGGACAAGTTAGCTTCCCATAAACCTAGTCTGTCTTGTCTTTTTGCAGCTTTTGAATATCCCTTTAAAGACTAAAGGTAAGCAGGTAGGGAAGCGTAAGGGAGTACCTGGAGAGATTCCCCAGTCCAGGGCCATTGCCATTTTCCAGGCAGTGACCAAGGTGTACAGAAGCTTAGGATGCACGTCCTGACTGGGTAATGCTCCTGATCCTGAAAGCAGCCTTGACTGCCCACAGGTAACCAGGAAATAAAGAGAGGGTACACGCTGACCCCCTGAGATCCTCAAGCCACTTTGACAAGTCAAATTAGGTGACTGAGTTCAGTCTTATGGTCTCTTGTTCAGGATTCAAGAGATAGCTGTACTGCCATGTTTGAAACTTAGTCTCTCCATTCTAGAGCCCAAGGAGTTGTGAGTTGTGGAAAGCACCCTGGACTCAAAGTCAGAGAGACCTGGGTTCGTGATACCGCTCTGCTGTGAGCATTGACCTCAAATTCTCGGGTTTCTCACACTTAGTAAAACTATACATGTAACAGCCACATCTTATTAGCAGGGTGACGTGAAAATGATTTGTAAGCTATTAAGAAATGGAGAAAAGTAAGGGATGAGGCAATTATGATGATCAATATAATGCCATGGTTCCCTCACCAGGACAGCCCTTTCTATTTTCCGATCTTCCTCCCCTTTGACGTATTTAGCTGTACAAGCATTTACTGAGCATCTAGTAAGTGCTGGACTATCTGCTAGGACCTGGGAACACAGTGGCGACTGAAACAAGAACCATGTCCTCATGGAACCAATAAGCAGGTCCTGGTAGGGAGGTGTGCTTCGTGCTGTAATGTGGCTAGAGTGTAGAGGCGGAGGTGTGGGGAGCAGTGAGGGTAACCCACAGAGCCTTGGCTGTCCAGAAAAAGAGACCTCTAAGCAGAGACTAGAAAGAAAAGTTGGAATCCACCAGGCAAATGTGAGAATGTGAAGGGTAAAGGTGGAATGTTTTGGTACTGGCAGAAAAAGGTCCAGAATCCAGACAGGGCCAGGTACATTTAGGGAACTAAGTTCAGTGTAGTGGGAAATAAAGTACAGTAATAGAGTGCATGTTTGTATGTGTGTGTGTGTGTGTGTGTGTGTGTGTGTGTTATCTGTAGTGAGAGCTGAGAGATGGGTCTGGGAAAGTGTGCTGGGTTAGATCACAAAAATCTTTGTAGGCATGTTGCGAAATGTGGACTTTATACTAAAAAGCAAAGGGATCTTAGTTGGGGAAAGTGAAGGAACAGACATGTTTTGGAAAGCTTTTTCTGGCTACAGTGTGGCGAATGGATTGCAGGAGGCCAGGTTGTAGGCAGGGTGGGGTGTTGGTGGGGCACTGTGTTCCCATAATTCTAAGGGATGATGGCAGCCCTGAGGATAGAGGGAAGTGGTGATGGGGATGGGTGGGGAAATATTGTCATAGTCAGCTTTCGACTCTCAATTCTATCCTTGACTGCTGGTGATGGGCTGCAGCCCTGTGAAGACCAGAATGAGTGTAAGCCCCATCCTATCTTCCCATGTCCTTTGGTGAGCTTCAGCTTCCCCAAGCCCAGTAGTCACTGCAAGCAGATATGGCTCCTCCCACCTCAAAATCTTCCAGTGGCCCAGGGGAAGTTTCTGTCTGATGACAGTCAGATCAGAGAAGTGAGGAGGGGATGCTGGTCTAGGACCAATACTGCCATAGATGGGCTGATGAGATGCTTGAGCCCTCACCTCCAAGTCTTGGCTCCAAGATAGCTTCTCAGGGAACTCTTCTCCAATCCCCCTATTGCAAACCAACGCTGCCTCCCCCACCACGCCGCCACCGGCTTTATCCCTTTCACTCTGCTTTATTTCTCTTCACCATTTGACATATTGTCTACTTCACTTATTTATTTATCATCTGTCTCTCCCCAGTAGAAGGTAAGTTACATGAGGGCAGGAATTCTTGGTAGTTTTGCTTACTGCTGTATCCCCAGTGCCTAGAACAGTGTCTGGCACAGAGACAATGCTCAGTAAAAGCTTGTGCTTACATGAGTGTTCGATGGAATGACTGAGTGGCAAGGGTTACACAATGGCCTCATTGTGATGGTGTGGTGCTGGGTGCTGGGCACACAGCAGTTAATAAGATAAACACTGGACTGAAGTCTTAGCTGTGCCTGCCGCTCTTTGGTTCTTGGCAGCTAGTGGCAGAAGCAGAAACTCAGTAGCCTTTTATTGTTTACCTGGGCATGCTGCCTGCCTCTCTCTTTTTTCTGGATAGCTGAGGACCCTCTGAGTAGAATATGGGTGAGAATTGGGCACAGGCCATGGGCAGGGTCAGGGAGTGACCTTCCCCAGATCCCAAGGGCAGTGGGAGACAGCCAGGCCGCTCTCCTCCTCGTCGGCACTCAGTCTCACCACCGAAGGCTCCAAATCTCTGGGCAAAGGTTATAGCACCTGCTGCCCAGGGAACATGTGACCACTTGAGCGCTGCTGGGTTGGAACAATCCACACAATCACGCCATTGTACTAAACATGCAGGTCTCCTTGCCAAGCCACACCTCATTCCAGCACTGCCAGACCCTTTTGGGGCCCTGATTTACAGGTGCCCCAAAGGGGGAGGTATTGTTCTAATGGCCCTGGGGGAGGATGAGGTCAATTCTGTGGGGCTCACTTACTCTGGCCTGCGCTGAGATCCAGGGAGAAGTAGATGGGAGAAGGAGTAAATAACCGCGTTCTAGCTTCAGGCCCTATGAGGAGTGGTAGACAAGATCATTACTGTTTGACTCCTGATGACATTGGCATTGACTATTGTCCTCCAACATTTGCTTTGCTTGGTGAAGACTGTTGAGCACTTGCTGATTTTTCAGAAGTCCAAAAGGTTCCCTTCTGTCATGACTGGGTCCAGAAATTCCCATCAAGTCACTATCCATTCTTGAAGATCTTCCTTCCCAGAACTGGTTCTCAGCAGACCATTAGACAAGGATTTGGTGCTACTGAACTCTTGGTCTGTACAAGATTGTGTTTGTTATTGTCCTTCTAGGAGCAAGGAGTTCTACAGGGCTTTGTACCCTGTTGACACTCAGGCCAAGGTCACTGGTAGGTTTCACTCCACAGGACCATTCAGTGACTGCAAGGAAGTCCCTGCTTAGGCTGTTTATTTTTTTCATTATTAGTAACCGCACAGGAGATGGCATGATGAGGTAGAATCCAATTTGAATAAAGCAACCTTTTTTTTGAGACAGGGTCTCATTCTGTCACCCAGGCTGGAGTGCAGTGGTTTGATCACAGCTCACTGCAGTCTGAAGCCTCAACCTCCTGGGCTCAGGCAATCTGTCTGTCTTAGCCTCCTGAGTATCTGGGATCACTGGCGTACACCACCATACCCAGCAAATTTATTTTATTTTATTTTATTTTAGTAGAAATCAGTCCCGTCATGTTGCCCAGGCTGATCTCGAACTCCTGGGCTCAAGCCATCCTCCTGCCTTGGTCTCCCAAGTTGCTGGGATTACAGGTGTGAGCCACTGTGCCTGGTGTCCACAGGAACCTTGGTTCTAAAAGGCAAGTGAATAAGGATATACCTTTGCTTGGCACATTGCAAGATACTTGAGTGCCTGGCATGTAGTGAGTGCTAAAAAAAGGTGAATCTGAATCAAGAAGCTTAAAGCCAACCAGGGCCATTTTGGGTTCTGGATATTAGTTACAGGTTCAGAGATATCAGTTCTGCTTTATCCCCAATCCTCATCATACCTTTCCACAAAGAGAGAGGAAGAGACTGCGCCAGCACTCACCCTTTCCCATCTTCACTTGCAGAAAAGACCCTGGTTTAGAGGTCAGGACCCAGGCATCTGAGATGCCTTTGCCCCTGACCCTGGCTCTTGGGGGCCAGCAGGTGGTCCCTGTGTCCCATGTTTTGTCTCTCCAGAGTCATCCTCCAGGGGAACACACACACCCTGACCATGGGAAGGGAGGTCTGGCTAAAGGAGGAGGCCACTGCAATGACTGAACACCTACTTTATGAGCAAGCACCAACTATGTGTCAGATGCTGTCCAAAGCGTGGCGTGTCCAACATTTTCACCATTCTTGGTGCCTTATCTCTAAGGAAAAAGGTCTGCAACCTTGAACTTCTGAGTTGGACTGTCTTGGAGACTCCTCTATGCAAGTTACTGTGGGACCTTAACAGGTGATTTAGCCCTTCTGAACCCCCAGTGACCTCACCTGTGGAATGGGGATCATGAGAACACCTTCATTTCAGGAGTTGTGTGAGGATTAAATGAGATGATGAAGCGCATGGCACAGGGCTTGTTAAGAGCTCTGCAAATTTTAGTCATGCCGGTGATGATGAAGAAGAAATGCGAGTGCTCTAAAGGCTCCCCAAGGTGTTATCCTTGGCTTCACTGCTGCCTAGAATTTGCAGCAGGGCAGCAAGAAGGCCCTGATGCTGGCAGTCCTGGGAAGCCTGAGTGTTTCTCACTTGCCTAGTGGCCTGGGGACAATCACTTTCTCCTTCCGCACCTTCAGATCGGGGTCTGAGGGTTGAGTCCCCAGGGCTCTGGGTCAGAGACACAATGTCAGAGTTGTTCCAAAGGACAGAAAGTCCCCTCTCCTCCAGGCGCCCAAGCCTCACCCTTAACTCCTCTGGGTCAGGCCACCTCCTGTCCCCTCTGCCTGCTGAAGGTGGGAGGAGTAGGGAGGAGGGGTGGGGTAGCAGAGGAGAAGGGCCCTGGAGGAATGGCGAGCCCCTCCAGGGCCAGGGTGTCTCTCCCCATCCCCGCCCAGAGCACAGCGGACTTTCTCTAGTTCACTCCTCCCAGCGGCTGGGTCTCCAGGTGCCTTCCTTTAATTAAAAGTATTTAGCCTTCCGCTACACTGGCCTTCATTTGTATGGGATCCTTCTTTTTATGCAGCCTCAGTATCAGAACGAGCCAGGAGGTTAACGGAGCGTCGTCCTGCAGCGTCCCGGGACACCAGGGCCCAGCGCGCGCTCTGCTTCCCCGCGCTGCCCTGTGGGATTCCGCAGGTGGCGGCCCTCACAGGTCGGGAGCTGTCAGGTTTCCAGCCCCTCCGCCCCGCAGGGCTGGGCCTCCAGGCGCCAGGAGAGGCGCAGCAGGTTCCCCATCCCCCCCGGCAAAGCGCATTCACAGCCCGCCTCTCCGTGGGCTGAATGAAGGAGGAAGACAGCTGTTTTCTGATCACCTACGTGTGCCAGACACTGGACTGAGTTCCGTGGGTATTCCAGGGAAGGACAGTCACAACTCCTGCCTGGAACTCATAGCTCCTCAGGAGGAATCTGTCTTGGTGACTACACAAAGAACTATGACATCAGGTAGCAGGTGGTTAAAAACTGCAGGAATGTTTCACCCGAAGTGGCACTGATTATTAGAGAAAAGCAGGACACGAACTGTCAGCGGCAGATCCTTACGAATGTTTTTTGTTTGTTTTCTCAGATGAACATTCTGATGCTTAAGATAATCAGGCAAATTCACCAAGGCCATGTAGATGGTGACAGGCGGGCCTGGGGTTTAAACCCCAGCCAGCTGGTCTCCCAGGTCCATCGTTTCCCATTCAGGAGAGGAAGCTGACTGCTTGAGACCAGACTCCTTTCCCTCCACGTACTTGTGCTCTGATGGAGGCTCAGACACAGACCTGGGAGACTCCAGATCATGGCGTTTGTTTCTGACTCCAGTCGCCTCTGTCTCATGGTTCTGGCTTCCTCAACCTACCTGAGGTTTTGTCTGTAAACTGCTCCTGGCCTGCTCACTGTCCCACTCAAGTCCCTCTCCATCCCCAGGCCAACATCCACCCCTTCCAGCTGCCCCAGGGTCTTAGGAGCCAAGGGACAAGAGCAGGAAGGAGGCCTGATTCTTACAGATAAGGAAAGGGAGATGCAGGACGGGCTTCTCCAGTTCTGCTTAAGTTTTTACTCGTTATCCCAGACTGACTCAGGAGTCCCACCCCCTCCCCCTCACTTCTGCAAGCTAGTTCGGATGGTCCTTTCCTACAAATTTCTCTTCCTTGGACTAGGAGACAGGCATTATGGGGGTGGGGGGTGGTAATGGGAGTTGCTGTGTTTCATTTCCATGCAGAGTGTCTGATGCAGAGTAGACAACCAATACATAGTGAATGAATGAATGCATGGGTCATAGATTGGGCTCAGAAGTAGACGTAGATGCCCATGTAAAAGACAGAGGAGGAAACAATGTGGACGAAAAGGTGGAAGGGGTGTGGAATCCCTTAGCCACCAGCATTCTGTAGTCTTCCAGAGAGTACACACCAGGGGTCATGCCACAGCCCCTCCCATGATACTCCCGAGGAAAGCAGGCAACATTTCCTTTCACTTTGCTCTGTGGAGCCTCTGGAACTGGGAGCCTAATGGATCACCATTGCTGTCTGGAGTCAGCCCAGAAAGACAGTCAGTTAATACTATTCTAGGTTCAGGGTAGACCTAGGTCCAGGGACAAGAAAGGGAATGATGAGCTTAGGATTTATTTTACAGGTGTGCTTTCAGCACGTTTTTAGTCACTCCTTCCCCTTCCCTGCCCGCTGGTGAAGGACCTAGAAGATAAAAGTGTTTCATTAGCACTTTCTCAGCCATGCACCCAGAGTGGGTTGAGCTCTCCTGTCTCACATCTCCTTTGCCACGGGTGCTGTGCTGAGTTGGGGGAAGGCGGAGAGACTGCTTGAAATAATGGCAGCATTCGTATCCCAGAGTAATTTAATAGCATTATCTCATATCATTTTCATGAGCAGTTGATAAGGTTACTGTTGATCTGTTTTACGGATGAGCAAAGTGAAGCTCTGATGAGCTAAACACCATACTCAAGGTCAGGTCATTTAATGACTGTGTGCAGAAATCAGGACTTGGACCCAGGCCTTCCAATTCCAGAGTCTGTCTCTGGGACTAGGGAACACCATCAGGAAGGGAACTGGAATCTGGACAAGATCCTTGAATCCCCAGGCTTTGCCCAGGAAAAGTGGAATCTTCATGAAGAGGTCACTTGGAAGAATAAGACAAGCATCTTGATTGAAATGATATTCAATAGGTCAGGTCTCTTCTCTATTTCAGGCACTATGACTTTAGAGATGTGTTAAAACACAAATATTTTTGTTGGGAGTAGTGTGATGATATTAAGCCAAAGGCTCAGCAGAGTTATTAGCAGACACTGGACCATTCAATGAGCTTGCCATCACTCAGAAACCAGAGAGCAAGACCGTCAGGGAATAGATCTTTAGGTGCAATTTGATGGAGATGCAGGCAGGCTGGGAATGGGAAGGGGATGAGGACAAGTATCTGAGCAGTGAGCTCTGTGAGTGGTGGGATTTGGAAGGCTGCAAGGAGGGCATTCTTAGAAGCTCTCTGAGGCCAGAACCTGGGACTGCCTTATCCTCTCTGTGTCCCCACTGACCTACACAGCTCCTGGTACACGTAGGTTCTCAATATTGAGAAGCAGTAAGTAGTAATTGAGTGTTCCAAGAAGAAATAGTTGAGAGAGAAGGTATGGAAGTAGGAGAGCAGACTGGAAGGCAGCTTTCATGTAGGTGAATTTCACTTTAGGGTTGGAGCCGTGTGAGAGGGAGTGAGGTGGTGTGAACATGTCAGTGTGAGCTGAAGCTCCAGTTTTCTCATAGTGCTTTCTTCACCCCAAAACGGACATTTCCAAAAAGTTTTTAAAAGGTTTTGAATATAAAATTGGGCTTACCCTGGAGTGAGCTGTGATGGGGTGGGAAAGGTGCTGGCTTAATGGAGTGCAGACAGGTCCTCAACTGATTTAGGTGAAAAGAAAGGTCTTGATGGGTCTAGAGGCCCAAGGAATAAATATCAACCCTGCACAAGGGAGGCTTGTTTCCACCCAATGCAGACATAATAGCACAAGCAGTGCCAAAGGTCTTCTGGAAATTGTATTCTATTCACTGACACTCTTTAGTTGAAAAAATGGCAAACAATTAGGCCCGATTAGGCAAAAAATATAGGAGATGGGTTATAGAGATGCAGAGATGGGTTATGGAACCCAAGGTCAATGATGCAGCTGAGTTTCAGAAATGACCAGAACCAGGACCCAGAAGGTCACTCACTGGGCTGCTGACCATCTGTTTCCCTCCCTCCCTCCCTCCCTCTCTCTCTCTTTCTTTCTCTCTCTTTCTCTCTCTCCCTCCATCTCTTCCACCTCCTCCCCCCTCTGTTTCTATTGGAGCATTGGCTTCTCTTTCTGTATCTCTGCAGGGAAGTTCTCTTTTCCATCAGGCAAAAGGCAGGTCCTGAGATTACTCATTAGATCCTCATGAAGAGAGTGACCACTCCTCTTTCATCAAAGAGAATCTCCTCATCCCAGCCTGTGTTGCTTGACACCCTGGTCCAGTCCACTCTCACTGAGGCTATTGGGGGTTCATTTTTGTGAATAAAGATTGCAGTTCTCAGAGAATAGGAAGTCAAGATCTTTTGGGCTGCTTAGACATCTCGAAGATACTCATTGAGGGTGCTTTCTCAGATGGCTTGGGAGTTTTCTAAATATCTATTTGTCATAATTTCCTATCCAGTGTGCTGGGACTGACTGAAAGGTTGTTATATTCTTAGGTGGGACCAATAGGAAAAGCACATCCAAGATAAAAGTGCTATATTTCCTCTATACTTCTTTGAGTTGCACCACACTTGGGTTAATAGCTCCATTCTAACCATTACCTACAAAGAAGGAGACTGAGAAAGAGAAACAGAGAGGACTAGGAACCATGAGAACAGTGTATACCATGCCCACTGAGGATGAATTACAGGAACAAAGGATATTTTGCCTAAAAAATAGAAGACTGAGGGTGAAATAAAAGTCCTTTTTAGAAAACTAGACAGTGGTTATGAGGAGAGAGAATCCATAGGCTTGGTGAGCAATGTGTGAACATCGTGGACAAGTCAGTTTTGCTTAAGTCCGAGTAGCACGTTTGAGGCAGTTGATCTGCCCACACTGTAATGGGCATTGCCTTAGGAGGGAGTTAATGGCCTATTGCTATGCTACAAGTCTTCTTTAAAAAAAAAATTCAATAGGTTTTTGGGGAACAGGTGGTGTTTGGTTACATGAATAAGTTCTTTAGTGGTGATTTCTGAGATTCTGGTGCCCCCATTACCCAAGGAGTGTACACTGTACCCATTGTGTAGTCTTATCCCTCACCCCTCCTCCCACCCTTTCCCCCGAGTCCCAAGGTCCATTGTATCATTCCTATGCCTTAGCATCCTCATAGCTTAGTTTCCACTTATGAGTGAGAACATATGATGTTTGCTTTTTTATTCCTGAGATACTTCACTTAGAATAATGATCTCCAGTTCTATCCAGGTTGCTGCGAATGCCATTATTTCATTCCTTTTTATGGCTGAGTAGTATTCTATGGTATATACATACACCACAATTTGCTAAGAGTCTTCTTTAAGAGGAGGGTTGATGCTGAGGATGCTAAGCAGAGGAGACTTTGGGGTTGGGGATTTCCAAACCTGATTGATCATGAAATTGGCTAGAGGAGTTTAAAAAATCATAGACTCTTGAGTTGGGGTGGGGAAGAGTCTCCCACAGGTGATTCTAATGGTCATCTGGACTTGGAAACCATTGAATCAGAAGACCTTTAAGGTATGTTCAAATTCGAAATTTTGACAGACTTATCTACAACAAGTGTGGCCCCCAGACTAGCAGCATCAGCATTATCTGGAAACTTACTTGAAATTCCAGTTCTTCAACCCCACCTAAGACCTACTGAATCACAAACTCTAGGGGTGGATTCTAGCTATCTGTGTATTGCTAAATACACAGGTGATTCTGATGCCTGCTCAAATCTGAGCACCACCAATCTTCAGTATTTATTAGTCATTCTATTTTTATTCTATATATTGGAGTCATGAATTCCATTGCATTTACCACCTAATATGTTGTAGCCAGCCTTAAAGGTGGCCACTAGAGAATCCCAAAGGCAAAGCATTCCCTGCCTCCCACTATTTAGGCCCTTGTGTATTTCTTTCTCACATGTTATCAGAGTTAGTCTATACGACCAGTAGAGTACAGCAGATTGATGGTATATCAATCCTGAGTCTAGATTTTGACAGACAAGGCTTCTGTCCTGCTCTTTCTTGGATCACATGTCCACTACTATGTCATGAGAACACTCAGGTATCCCCATGGAGAAGCCCATGTGGAGAGAAACTGAAGCTTCCTGCCAACAGCCATTAGGAACCCAAGGCCTCCAGTCAGAAATTAGGCGACATTGTGGATGTGGATCCTTCAGCCTCAGTCAAGATTTCATATGACTGTAGGACTGGTTGACAGCTTGACTGTAACCTCATGAAAAACCCTGAGCCAGAATCACCCAGCTGTGCAGCTCTTGGATTGCTGACCCTCAGGAATAGATGTCTGAGATAATAAATATTTGTTGTTCTAAACTTCTAAGTTTTGGGTAATTTGTTACATGGCAATAGAGAACTAACACTAAACTCTTATTCTCACATCTGCTCTGATAAATTCCACTCTTGGTCATATAGGTGTTCTGACAGGAGACTCCTCAGAGAATATTTTCACAGCTAGAGAATAAAGTGAAATTTCTTCTTCTTTTTTTTTAAACCGACTTCATTTGAGCCATAAATCTGCCTCTAGCACTGACACTGAAATTTGGTGACACATTGATTCATTCTTGGCATTTTAAATGTGTCTATGATAAAATCCCCTCAGGGAATCCTTTCAGAACCCAGTTGGGAGATATCAGGGGCACTCTTTTAGGTCCAGTAGATGCTTTATTCTGCTTTGGCTGGACATTCTGGCTGGGACAATGCGTCAGCCTGAGGGAGAGGTCACATGGCCTTTTCTAGAGACAAGTCAGAAAGAATGGCAGTTGCAGGGGATGGGGAGTAGTAGTTCAGGCCGGTGATACTTCCCTTCCTGTAAAAGAAACAGAGAGAGAGGCTAATTGGGTCTTAGTCTTTGCATTTTGTATATGTATATGTATGTGCATGCATGTGGGTTGTTCTTTCCATTTACCATCTTGGAAGTCTTCAAAGAATTAGCGTCCACGACCACTGGTCAAACATTATACCTTTTGTTCGTTGCTTTCCCCCTGGTTGGTATTTTCTTGTATGAAAAGGGAGCTACAGAGGAGGGATCACAGAACTGGAGAGAGGGGCAGCAAACATTCTGAGTCTCTGAGGACCAAGGCTAGTCCATGAGAAGCTGGCCTGGGTCTGTGAAGGAGGCCTCAGGTCTCAGCTCTTAAGATTTTCTTCTGGGATTCCAAGACAGTGTCCTCTGCTGCTTCTTTCCACTGGCTGGACTCTGCCTGTCATTCAGGCAGGAGCCACCAGGTGGAGAAATGTGTAGATGACATCCTGGGGACACACACACACACACACACACACACACACACACACACACACACACACAGAGGTTCATTCACAACAAACATTGTACATTTATGAAAGTTAGTTACCATTAATTCTCTCCCGGCCTTTGTTGTCTCATCTTTAAAGTGAAAAGGTTAAAGAAAGTGTTGTGTAATGTCTGCTCTGAATTTCTAGTATTCTACAGTATTGCAGTAATAACAAGGCTTCTTTTACTTTTTAAAAACATATTGCAGGTCCTTAAGGTTTTGGGGTCATAGCCATGTTCCCCATTCCTTCCTTTCTCACAGTTTACTTGAGATCTCTCTGAACATCACCTACCACTCAAAGTCAGTTTCCTCAACTTCTTTTTATTTTAAAAATGTCTCTATATTTTCACTTACCTGTTTTTCTTTTTTTATCTCTCTCTTAATTTTGGACACAAACTTTGTGTGCTTTCTTGGATTTCCTCAACTGCCTCTATTTTCTCTCGTTAGGTGCCCAGACAATTCTGAGTTTTCCCTCCTTTTCCAGGCTGGATCACACCATGGGATTTGGTGTTGTGGTGAATGGGGACTGGATGATGCAATCCAGAAGCCCAGGGGGATTTGCTCACTGTTGGGTAAATCTTGATTGGTGGGAAATGGAAGACTGGAGGAAGATGGTCAGATAAATCCTCCTCCTCCTTCCTGCGAATACTTTAAGGTATGATTTCTCCTTGCAAATCCTACAGAGAAGCCCAGCATGTCAAGCAAGCATGTCTCATGAGTGTCCTGCTGTATGTCTGTGATGGTTAATTTTATGTATCAACTTGACTAGACCATGGGGTGCCCAGGTGTCTGGCTAAACATTATTTCTCAGGTGTTTCTGTGGGTGTGTTTCTGGATGAGATGTGCATTTGAATCAGCTGACTGAATAAAGTAGATTGCCCTCCCTAATGTAGAAGTGCCAATCAATTGAGGGCCTGAATAGAACAAAAAGGCAGAGGAAAAGTGAATTTGCCCTCTGTCTAACTGCTTGAGCTGGGACATCAGTCTTCTACCTTTGAACTGGAACTTACAGCATTGGAATTCCTAGTGGTCAGGCCTTTGGACTTGGACTGTAGAACTGTATTGCTGGCTTTCCCGGTTCTTCAGCTTGCAGATGGCAGATCTTGGGAATTCTCAGCTCCATAATCACATGAACTAACTCCTTATAATAAATCTGTCTCTCAATGTGTCTCTCTCTGTGCCCCTGTCCCCACTCTGTTCCTCTCTCTCTCTCCATGTATAGATATATAGGTCTGTATGTGAGAGATCTATCTCTATATCTATGTATATATCTCTATCTCTATGTTGTATTAATTCTGTTTCTCTGGAGAACTCTGACTAATACAGCATCTTTGCAGCTTGGTGTGAAGTTGCCACTAGGATAGCAATGCGTTTCATCACAGGGCCTTCCATCTGCCTCCATTTATTCCTCACTTTCATTGTCCTGAACTTGCACCCTTCCCCCACATAAAATGTCAGCACTTCAATCCTTGCCTCAGGCTCTACTTTCTATAGGATCTAGGCCAAGACACCTGGCCCGGGATGACAAAGTGTCCCTCACCTTTTTAGGCCAATTATGCCACTTGAGTTCTCCTTTTAATCTTTTTCTTCCTCCTCCATATTTTATTAACCATCCTTCCATTGTTTTGAATCTTCAACTTCTCTCTCTCTCTCTCTCTCTAGATTCTTTCCTCTTAGTCGGTAAACATTCTCAAGTATGTCCATGAAAAGCAAACATTCTCTTTATTAAAAGCATTTAACTCCATCTCTTCATGAACACATTTCTCATAAAAGTGCCCTTACTGCCTCTATTAGTTTTCTAGGGGTGCCATAACTAAATCCCACAAATTGGGTTGCTTCAGACAACAGAAGTTCATTCTCCTGCAATCTTGGAGACCTGGCTTACAAAATCAAGATATGGCAGGGCCTTGCTCCCTCTGAAGGCTCTAGGGGAGGATACTTCTTTGTCTATTCCAGCTTTTGGTAACCCAGGAGTTCCTTGACTTGTGGCTGTATCACTTCAGCCTCCACCTCCATCTTCTGTCTTCTCTCTGAATGTCTGTGTCTTCACTTGGCACCTTTCTCTCTCTTACGAGGACACAAGTCATACTGGCTTAAGGACCAATCCTAATGACCTCATCTTAACTTGATTACACCTGCAAAGACTTTATTTTCAAATAAGATTCTATTTCTAGGTACTGGGATGAGAATTTTGACATATTTTTGGTGTGTATGATTTAACCCATAAGACCGCCTTAATGTCCTTACTGCTAACTAATTCCTTGGCTTTGTGTAGTTAGGTTTCATTCCACAGGTTTCTCCTTGTATGGTTCCCATGAAGCTCATCAATGCCAAACTCAATGGCTTTTACTCATTCCCTGTCTTTGTTACTGTCCTGCAGTGTTTGTCATGAATGCCTTTTCCCTCCTTCCTGAAGCTCTCTACTAACCTCACATCCCGGTTACTGTGCACACCTGTGGCTCTTCCTGTCTTTCAGATTACTCCACATATGCCCTCTTCTCTGACTTTTTCTTCATTCCCCATCTCCAATTCAAGGTTCATTTTTAATGCTGGGGCCTTGGTCACATTTTCTTCTTTCAACACACTATTTTCTGGCCTCCTCCCGACCATGCATCAGTGCTCTTTTCTAAGTAGGGAACAGATATATCTCTCTGGCCTGACTGTCTCCTGAGCTCAGGGCAAGCATTGCCACCGAAGAGCCTCAAAAACAATATATCCCCATGTATCCCAAGTACAAGACATCCTCTTTACTTACACACACACACACACTCACACACCACCCCCAATCCCGTACTACCATCTAACCATTTTCTATTTTGCCTGTATCTATGTCAGTCTTTGTGACACTGCTCAGAGACTTCTACAAGTACTTGTGGTACTTTGAATGTGGATAGGTGAGATTAATCCAGTGAATTGTGGCTTATTGCCATTATTGTGACCCAATCTTTAGATTCACCCTATTGAGGCCTAGAGAAGTTTGATCTACACTCGATTCTGTCGTCTGAGATACTCAAAGCAGCACCAGAACAAGCATACATATGCAGACAACTTAGGGGTATTTGTTTTGTGGACTGCATATTTGTATACTCCCAAATGTGTAGGTTGAAACCCTAACTACCAGTGGGGTGGTATTTGGAGATGGGGCCTTTGGGAGGCTATTGGGTCATGAGGATGGAGCCCTCATGATGGGATTAGTGCCCTTATAAGATATAATATGAAACTGCTTGCTTCCTCTCATTCTCATTCTTTCTCTCTGTCTCTCTCTCTGCCATGTGATGACACAGCAAGAAGATGGCCACCTCCAAGCCAGGAAGAGGGCCCTCACCATGCTCCTGACCATGGTTGTTCCCTTCAGCAGCATGTGAAATAGACGTTTGTTGTTTAAGCCACCCAGTCTATAGTATTTTTGTTATAGAAGCCTGAACTGACTTGACAATTAGGTAGCTCCAGGCCTAGTTTTAGATCAAATGAGGCCTAGGGGCATCCTTGGATATCTTTTCTCTCATAGGTAAATATGTGATCTTTACATTAATTCTGCATTTTTTTCCCCAAAGCCTCTGGTAGAGAGCCTCCCAAATAGCCAGCTTCCTGTAAATGTAGCTGAATGGTGGAATTTGCCTGGCTGCTTCTCTTAGTCAGGAAGCCTGAAAAACTGGCACTAGAGGATCTGTAAATGGGAAGCTGCTGCAGCTTCCTGCAACTCGGCTCCCAGATCCTTCATTCCCTGCCTAGCCAGATAGCGTCCTAACGGTGATGTTTAGGATTCAGCATTGAGGTCAACTCAGGAATGAGCTGCTTTGAATCCTTCATTTCATTGATGGAGGCAGATGTTCTGAGACATTAAGGAAAATTCCCATAGTCCCCCAAGGTCTTCTTATATGGCACCTGCCTTTATTTACTTTCTTTTTAGAAAAGATCGCATCATTCTTAGATGGCCATTCCTGGGATGGGCAGAGGGGGCACTCTGTGTGCCCCTTGCCTGCAGTGTGTTGGTGGGAGATACAGTCCCATGGCACATTTTCATCCTGTGACTTTCACCCACAGCTCTGTGGAAATGCTGCCTGGAAGAAAAGCATATCAGGGTACCTTTGGAGAGGTTGTCCTGGGTGGATCCTTGGGCTCTAGAGGTCTCAGCAGAGAGACGAGGGAAAGAAGGAGTGTTCAGGGGTAGTCATGTATTGGGAAATCCAAGCTTTTGTGTGGGTATCTCCTGTGTTCCTATGGAACCCAAGAATTCTCAACTATTCTCGAGGACTCTGCTTGGACCTTGTAAGGATCCATGCCTTCCTGGAGAGCTGAAAATCGGTGTCAGTCACATTTTCAACAGCTTTTATTGGGTACCTGCCTCTGCGTCTTGTATTGCCATAGCAGTTTACACACAGCAAGCCAGACCAGGAGTGAAGAATTTATGTCATTTGTTATTTTCTTTTATTTGTGAATATGTGTGGGGTTGGGAGACTGGGTGCTAGACATGGGCTGAGGTCCAGGCTAGGCACAGGGAGCTGACAGCTGCAGGACATGCTAATTGGTCTGGGAAGGCCTTTGGAATCTAGGGAATTGGCTTTCTGAGCTGAGGCGGGGTCCAGGCAAGGAGGCAACAGGCTGCAGGAATCACAAAGGGACCGGGGACCTCCATGTACCCAATATCTAGGTCTTATCACTCGGAGAAACATTCTCAGCTCTTGGTGACCTTGTCCTCCCTCAACACAATACTCACTGCATATGGACTCATTTGACAATTGCCACAAAGGTTTTGGCCTCAGAGGCACTTTAAGGATATAATAGTAGGAAAGGGAGGCTTGGGGAGCCAGAGAGTCACCCACACAAAGCCCCACACGTGTTCCTAGCAGAACCAGGATACACCCCCAGGCTTCCTGAGGCCACATGTCCTCCCTGTGGCTGCCTGGTCATTCCCCTTCACCTAGCAGCTGTCTTGCTCCCATGTAGAACAGCAGGGCCCAGCGGCCACCTGCACCTCGCCATTTCCTCCAGCTCTGTGCTAGAAATGATGCAAGCAGGAAAACCATTTGCTTGTGGACCTACTATGTGTCAGGCACCTGCTGAACAGTAGCATTTGATGCTCTCGACGGCCTTAACAGGTCGGCACTGATCTGTTGATGCTGCAGTTGAGGAGCTTTAGCTTAGAGAGGTTAAATAGCATCCTCAAAGTCACCCAGGTCATGCTCTGCTTCTGGAGAGGCTGGGATGCAGCATGGGAGTGTGACCTCCTGAGCACGGACTGCACGGGCCGCCTCGCAGCCGGCATGGTGAGGTGAGATGAGTTGAGGTAAGCTCGCAGCTCCTTGGTGCCAGCCCTTCCACAACCAGAGTTGGGCTGCAGCAGGCTCTGCCCCAGCTTACCTGGGCAAGAGAGTGAGGACTGCACGGCTGGCGAGTGATACATGGAGAGTGTTGCCGCCAGCCTGACAGGCAGAAGATAAACAGCTCCCCGTTAAATCTCGCTTAATGCTGATATTTATAAATTTATTCAGCTTGTGTTTACTGAATCAAGAGAATGCCTAATAACATAACGTGCTTCATCTCACATGTTCCTACTAATGAGAATGCAAGTATTGCTTAATTTTTTTTTAACATTTCATTTGCTTTCCACTCACTCCACCCTGTTCTGTTGTTGTTGGCTTAGAGTTTAATCTGTTGCTAAACACGGGGAAGTTTGGGCTTCTTGGGTGTTAGTGAGGAGAGAGCCAAGGTGGGTCTGGGGCAGTGGCTGGACCAAGGCCTCCAAACTGTGCCCTGTCCTACATGCAGTGCTTGGTGGACATGGAGTTGGCATACCCAAAGGATGGGCCATACTGAGGGAAAATGAAAGTCCTGGTGTCCTCTGCTGTATTTTGGGGTGGCTTCATGTATTGGGTCAGGGTTGCAGTATTTGGGGGCTTCGGGACAAAAAATTTAGAGTAGAGCAGTGTCCTTGGCTTTGGACAGACAGGAGGATGGACAGAATGACCAAGGAAACATAAGCAACATTTGTGGGGTGTGGTATAGCTGGGTGTGAGGATGAGTGTGTGTGTGAGAGGGGTGGAGGGCTCTGTCTCTACCTTTGTTTAATCTGCTTACTGAGTTATTGTTTTTTGTTTTTTTTTTTAAGAAAGCCTTTCCCTGGCTGCTTATCGCCCCAAGGTCAGCTGTGCTGGCTGCTGCAGGTTCAGTTCTGGGGTACCCAGGGCAGTCTTCACCAGGCAGGAGGAGCCCTCGGAGTAGGGCAGGGAGAGATGGCAAAGAGATCAGCAAAGCTCATGAGGGTGTTTGGAAATGCATTTGGTAAAGAAGTGAGGGTGGAGTGAGCTGAGATGGTCTGTGCTGGGCTTCCTTGGGTGGGGTGGGTGGGAGAGGGGAATGAGGGTGCCTGGCCTCAGAGGCCAGGTGGACAATGAGTCGAGTGGGGTTGGGGGGTACCAGGTAGAATTCTGGAGCAGGGAGGAGGAAGGCCGCGGAGAGGCTGTCCAGTGAGGCAGGACCAGGATGGGGGCACACAGGGGACGGGAGAATGGAGGGAGACTAAGTCTGATTCAGGAAAACAAAAACAGAATCTGGGACGAAGCAGTGGAGGAACTGAGACGGGGTGCAGGCCTTCCACAACCTTTCCTTCCCCATCCCACCACATCCTCTGTTTTCCCAGCTCCACATCCTCATACTCTATATCCAGCCAGCACTAATTTTCTTTTTGATGTCTTCTTTTTCTTCTCCTCTCCAACCAACCATATTGTGGGACTGAAGCATTCTTTCTAGTTCTAAAAAACATACAACCTTAAATATAAAAGTTGGGTAGAATAATTCATACTTTCGCATCAAATGTCCTGACATATCCAAACTTGCAGATAAACTATAAATGCTTTCTTATAATTCAGCTGATGGTCCACCTACCCATGCCTGTGTCCCGTCCTTGTGTGCTGGCTGGAGGAGAGACTGTGATGAGCGAGACCAGAGTTCCTGCCCTGACCCCTCAACCTTGGATGAGCTATGGGCCTCCTGGGGCCTCATGACCAAAAGATCCGCGCCTTCTAGCCCTGCTCTGGAGGGCAGCACACTGTGGTCTGGGTATCTTCTGCTGGGCTGGCAGAGCAGGAGGCAGACCAGGCTGCTGGAAGCGGCAGCTCTAGGGCAGTGCTCTCTGCCTTTATCTGGTTTGAGAGGCAGGACAAAGCTGTCTTCCATGGGGCCTGGCATCTTAGGAAAGGGACTCATGCCTTTTGACATTATCCAAGAAGGTGGGATAGGCCTGGGTAGGGCAAGGATGGAGGCTCCAGCCAAACACCAGAGGTCCAGTTTTTCTCAAGGGCAGGGAACAGATAATGTACCAAGTTTCAGTTCCGCCCATTGCTGGGTTTGTGCCCTTGATAGAGTCCTCTCCCTGTCTGGGCATCAGATTCCCTGTCTCATTAAAGGCAGATTGGCACTGAATAACTAACGCAACCTTTGCAATTCCATCTATGGCCAAATTTCCACGACCACCCGCCCAGACAAGCCTAAACCATGGTGTCTTCGCCAGCACCATCCAGACCTGCAGGGGCTGACACGGGCAGCCTCGGGAAGAAGGGCACCTTTCTTTACCAGGATCAACATATTGGGGTCCCTCTAGTTTGCTTCTCTGAGGGTTGGGGCACAGGCAGATGTCACGGACATCAGAGGGCTTGAGAAGCAAACACCTATTTAAGGAGTGAGTTGAGAAGCCCCAAGCGCAACCTCTGCTGCCGCCTCCTGTTTCCCGTCCCCCACCTCCCCCCCCCACCAACTCATTCAGTCCTCTCCACGTGCAGCCTGTATCCCTATCCACGCTGATACCTCCAAGGCCTATCAGGATGGTCAGCCATCCCAGCTGCTTCTGTCCCGCTGCAGCAGCAAGAACTTCCTCTGAAAGCGCCTCTGCATGCCTCCCTCTGGGCGCAGCTCTGTTTGGGGCTCCTTCAGGGGAGGGGGACGGGGGTTCATCCCTTTCTTTTGTGCTGCCTTTCCCTCCCACTTCCGCTCCCCTCGCTGCTCCAGTGACCTTTCACCCCTCCCTTGGACGTCCCTCAAAGGCAGCTCCCGTGGTTAATAACTTCGGCTGGCAGCCCCACATAAAGCCAGGGCCGGAAATCATTGTCCCGGGGACAATGGCCGAGCAGCCCAATAATGAGGTGGCCATAGTGTTGTCTGACATCCCACGTTGCCCTGGCAAAGGGGGAGGGGCAGCGGGGCTCGCCATGCCCTCGCCTCCTGGAGTTGAATTCTTCCGCTCGCACATGGTGGTTCCTCTTTCTGAGGCAGCACCACGCACCTGTGCCCTCCAGTGGCTGCATTTCCCTGGGACTGCATGCTGAGGGGATGTCACCCAGAGACCCCGACCCCCCTCAACACACAGCACCGTTGTTACTTTGCCTCATTTTCCTGCTCCCATGTCCCAGGGAGCCAGTCAGTACCGCATAGTAGGGCAATTGATCGGTTCTGGCTAATCCATAAGGGAGGGGAGATCTCAGCCTGCCGCCCAATGGGGAGCATGTGGCACTCTGGAAAGAGCATGTGCTCTAGAGCCAGAGGGCATGGGTTCAAGGTCTCCCTTCTACCTTTCTAGCTGTGTGACTTTGGGGAAGCTGCTTGACTTCTCTGAGTCTCCACTTACTAATCTATAAAAGCAGAAGTCGGATGGGAGCTGAGAGGAGGACTCTCACAAGCAACCTCAGAGGTGAATAACTGTGACCTCCAAGAAGTCACCATGTCCTTGCCACTCTGGTGGGTCTGGGCATCTTCTGCTGGGCTGGCAGAGTAGGAGGCAGACCAGGCTGCTGGAAGCAGCAGCTCCAGGGCAGTGCTCTCTGCCTTTATCTGGTTTGAGAAGCAGGATGTAGCTGTCTTCCATGGGGCCTGCCATAATATGAAAGGGACTCATGCCTTTTGACATTATCCAAGATGCTGGGATAGGCCTGGGTAGGGCGAGGATGGAGGCTCCAGCCAAACACCAGAGACTCAAACTCTTTGTGAGAGTGGCCCTGCCTCAGTAGTAACTTCATGCTTTTTGGGTAGGTCCAGCCTTGTATATTCCAAACCAGACCATCAGTGACTGAGAGACGTAGTGTGTTTCCTGCTTTCCTCTCTCTCTCCACCTTTTGCCCTCTGCACAATGCTGGGCACTCGGAAAGATCCCAATGCAGCGGTATGGTAAGGATTGACTGCTAACATCTGCAAGAGGCATTCAAGCAGTTCTCAGCCCTGCTGCCCATTGGAATTTCCTGGAGAGGCTTAAAAGATACCCAGAAATTTTGCCCTAATTGGTATAGGCTGTGGCATCAGGTAAAGAAACATTTATTTATATCCTTAGAAAATGAGCCAACTCAGACTTATTCCTGAGCACAGCCCCTTCCTTGGGGGAGAAATACAGTATATTTCAAGGCAGTCTTGATATTCTTAAATATAGTATTCTTTATTACAGCCTTATTCTAAGTAATGATTTAAGTTTAGGGATAGTTTTTTTTAAATTAATTTTATTGAGGCATAGTTTGCACATACTACAATATCCCCATTGAAAGGGTACAGTTCATGAGTTTCGACAAATGTATACATTTATGTAACCACCACCCCGGTGAAGATGTAGAATAATCCACCATCCCAGAAAGTTCTCTTGTGGGCGTGGGATTTTCGAAGCTCTCCAGGCGATTCTATGGTGCAGCGGACTCTGAGCATCATGGAGGCTCACTCAACAATCTCTGCTTTAGAATCTCAGAGAGGTTGTCCAGGACAGCACTTCTCACACTTTAGCATGCATCTCCTTGGATCTGGCTGAATGCCCATTCCATCCCAGAGTGGGGCCCGGAACCCTGCATTCCTAACAAGCCCAAACCACACTTTGAGGCTCTGCTACAAGTCTCTCATTTTGGAGGTGAAGGAAACGGAGGCTGAGAGTGTTGATGTGAGTGGCTTGCAAATCCTGATTCTGAAGCTCCTGGACTAATGACAATCATATCCCTTGCCCTTCAATCTCTTTTTCGACAGCCACCCTAACCCAGAATCCTAAACAAGAGGCGTAGCCATGATAGGATCTCTCTCCTATTTCCCTTCTGAGTGTTGTCCATTGCTTCTAGCCTATTCCCATCTTTCTTGTCCTGACCCAAGTCACCTTCCTGGGGAAGGGCCCCCTCCTCTGCCTGTTTCTGTACCAGCACCTACCTTTTCCCTATCAACAGCTCGCTTTCCTGGTTCATTCCATTCCTTAATATGTATCAACTCAATTTAATAAGCAAGTGTTTATTTAGCAATAGAACTGGGTCAGACCCTATCGTGCCCTTGAGGAGGAAGGCAAACTAGAAGCTGTGATTAAGTTAACAGATAAGACAAATAAATAACAGGATATATAAGGTGAGGAGAGACCTTAGTGACTGCCCAGCTCAGTTCCTCATTTTATAAGTAATGTTTAAGAGCAATGACCCACTCCTACTTTCAGCAAAGAGGTGCACATAGCATAGACCCATAGAAGAGGAAGGATCTGAGAAGGAGTTTGAAAAAAGTGTAGGAGAGGCTGCGAGAAAACAAGGCAGGTGTCCTGGCTGAGGGCAGGAAGGAGACATTGCGATGGAAATTGTGCCCCATTTTCTTGGAGGATTGGGAAGAGGACCTGTGGACTGGGCGGCCCACACAACTGCTGTAACCTCAGGCAGTTTTCAAGCAGATTGACCTTCCTGCTGGAACACGGCACATGAGGTGAAGTTCTCCTCTACCCAGGTCTGTCCTTAGCACCTTATGCAGGGTTTAACCCCCATGGGCATAAACAGGGTGTGTATCTGGGGTGGTTTGGGGATTAGGTCCCATGAGCACTGGGACCTGAAGATGCTTGGTCTAGAGAAGGGACGGTGTTTGGTCTGGGAAACATGGGGGTCATGTTTAATATTATATAGACAGTCACATGGGATATTTAATTAGCAATGTGGAATTTAGAGAGAGGCAGGTTTCACTTCACCTTTGGGAAGTACTAGGTTCTAACACACCTCCCTCGCCTGGAAAGAGATTGAACTACCACAGATTGAATCCCTTGGGAGGAAGGAATTTCAGTCCCTGAATGTGGACAGCTGAGGCTGGATGAGAACAGAGAGATGTCAGATGTCCAAGCTTCTGTGTCCACTCCCTGAGAGTCCACTAGGGGAAGCCAGTCATCATGGTAGCCTCATGTTCATCTTCATGTCTGAGGTTCAGCCCCAGAGCAATTTCCCTGTGGCCATCTGGCCGGGAGACATGTTTCATTTCTCTCCCAGAGGAACAGGCACTTCATTTCCCTCCCAGAATAGATCCACATCCAGAAGAATGTAATGGAGACAGGCAAGAACACAGAAGATTGCATAGGTTTAGGAAAGAAGAAGGCAACAAGGTTCTGTTGGGTTGCATCTGAGGAATCTTAGGTACCTAAAAAAATAGGTCTGGAATTAAAATAAGATGTTAGTGTTGAAGGTATAGAAATGTGAGTTAAAATGATGGCATGAAGCTTATCTAGGGAGATCACGCAGCTCCAGATGATTGTGGACTGAATGTCTTGTAGGGTTTTGGGTAGGATGAAATGTGAGTGGAATTTGGCCATAATCAGCCCTTAGAGTTGGCTTGAGCCCTGCCCTGGCCAGCTGTGTGTCCTTGGGTATGCCAACGTGCTTTCCTTTTCTGCATAACGGTGAGATTGTCCACAAGATATTTAAGGTTCTTCTAGCTTAGACACTGTAGAATTTACATTTTAAGGTTTTCGGGATTCAATTCAAATTCCAATCCAGAAGCAGATATCAGGGCCGATCTGGACCACCTCAGGAGAATAGCAGGGTCAGTGTCCAGAGGGGCTGGTCATGATGGGAGGGTCTTGAGGAAGGGAGACAGAAGAGAAGGATAAATGTGACTTGAGGTGGGAAAGAAAAACTTGGACTGTCCTCAGTCCCTTCAGTCAAGCATTGCAGAAGCTGTGTCTGCCTGCCAATTGCCTGCCAGTCAGACTGAGAATGTCCCCACAGGACCTCACAGGGGTTGCCTGGTCCATGTTCCACAAAGCAGGAACAACTGCTGGTTAATTATGCAGACACAAGGTGAGGAGTGCAGCTGTCTCTGGAGTTAACTCTCAAGGAGCTGCAACTTTAACAGTTAGCTCCCAGCCAAATGTGGGGGACAGGCTTTTCATGGTCCTAGGAGAAATAGGTCTACTGGGCTTGTCCAACCCAAAGCCGGTTGCCTCTATCGCCCCCAGGGTTGCTTGGCCTTGCCTCCACCATGCCTGACACTGGCGCTCTGCTGGGAGGAAAAAGCTTGCTCTGTTGCTGGCTGTGTGGAACAGAGAGGGAAGTGGCAGACAGTCTGGGCCCAGCACTTGGGTATCGTGCTCTAGCCATGCGACTCATCTCTCCAGTTCAGACCTGCCCCTGGAAAAAAGAGCCCAGACCTCATCATGAATGCTTTCCTAGGAGAAAATGAACAGCTGGACAATGCTCCTGGTCAGTAGGCCTGAAGGATGCTGGGATGCAGCCCTCAAGATGGAACAGCCAGGATGCCAAGTATCCCTCTTGCCCAGATCCTAAGGCACTTTTTCTACTGATCCATATTGGCCTCAGGAGATGTCTCAACACAGCACCCCAGCCAATGGAGCTGCCACATAAGATGAACTCTTGATCATCTCTAAACTAGAGAGTTAAACTCAACACTAGCAAACGACTTTGGGTTTATGCATATGTCATGTTTTCTCTGGCAACTGCACAGAATCATCTCTAAATATCACATCTATGGTTGGCAGGAGTGGCATGTATAATACAAAATGTCTGGTGGCCCTACTGTCACAAAACCTGTATAAAAGTAAATTCACAAATGGCTTTTTAGAACTGATGACAAAAAGTTACTCGTTATCACTTTTCTAATTAATTTCCTAAAAGGGCAATTTGAAATCATACTGGGATTCTCACAATTTTGGTTGACAGTCAAGTAAATTGCAGCTACTTATCAAGCACTTTTGAATGAATACATGAAGAATGAATAAAATGAAAGCTCTCCTGTTGCCCTCAGCATCACCAGTGTTCTGTATTTCTTCCTGTAACCTTTCCATTGGTTTAAAAACCTTTCTCAAGTGAAAGCAATCTCTTTAAAAACTGCAACATACTGCTGATGAGTTTTTGCTGTGGAAACATTCTCTATGCCTGCAAACCAAATCACCCTCTCTCTTTTCCTGGGAAGCACATCTTTCTCAGAGCAGAGCTTTGCAAAAAGGGGAAACCAAAGCTTCCACGAGGTGATAGTTACAGCTGCTCTCTCTTCCTGTTGCCCCAGGTGCCAAGGTGCAGAGGGGCAAGGCGGCAAGGCCTAGCCTGGGCAGAACTTGTCTGTCGTTAACTTTGCAAACTGACTTTCTGAACAACTGTGGTTTATTTCACTTTGATGTATATCTACTCAACTACTCTCTAGTACGTTTTCCTTCCTAACTGTGTTTGCTGTGACTTATGGTAAGATCTGAGTGTAGTTCCTGAGATGCTCTATAGGGTCAACAATGGGGTGTGTTGTGATGCTTGATATAAATGCATAACCAGGCAGCACGTGGCATGGTGCACACTCAGACCTGCCTGTGAAGGCTTGGCATTTAGGTAAGCAGCATTCATACATCCTCCTGAAAAGAGCCACCAGTGTGGGCTTATTGTTGTCCAAGTGTACCAGGGACTCTAGGTGACCTTTGGTTTGCTAGTAATCCTGTCCCTTCCTTTTCTGCTTCCTGCTTGGGTTGCAAAGCCATCACTCCCCACCACCCCTGCCCCTGGCCCCCAACAGAGAGAAGGGTGGAGCTAGCAAGTTGGTGTAATGAATTCATGCTGAAGTCTGAGATTGAGGAGTAGGGTGGAGGAGGAGAAACACTTTCTGAAGAAGCCACCAGGCATCACAGAATTCTACGTGCCTGAGATGGAAGGAGCACTAAGGGGCATCCAGTCCAACTTCCTCATTTCAATAAAGACAAAACAAGAGCCAGAAGGGGGAGGTGGCTTATAAAGTTCACAGAGCTCATTTTTGAGAAAACTAGGACTGTGCAGTTTGGGTCTTCTGACATCCAATCTCCTGCATGTCCATGTCCCATGCTGCTCCAGGGTGGACTGTGAACATTAGTCAGACGGTCCCCTGAGAGCATCAGTAGTCTGTGAAACCTGAGTCTCAAGGCTGAGAAGCTGGTGGAAGTAGCCTTGGGTTTCTGGATAAACACACTTTTATCCCCGCCTTTTCTAGGCTCTGCATTCCCATTGAACGGGAAGATTTTATGCATTTCAAGATAGTTTAAAAATATTTATCATGTCATTTAATTCTAAAACCAATTTTGGAGCAGGACTATTATTTCCATTTTATAGATAAGAAAACTGAAGCCCATCCAGAGATGGTGAGTAGCTTATTTAAAGTCATAGTAGAGCTGAGAGTTTTAAGTGGCTTGTAAGAACCCCATGGCTGGGTTCTTGGGCTTCTCTTGCTGGCTGTCCAGCTGGGCTCTGCTGCACTTGTTAGTTACATGAGACAGTCTGCATAGATGGTTAGGGACAGCTTCGCAGTAGGAGAAGGGACTAAGTGCTATAATCTGTTTTAAACTATGAGAACTTATCTCATTTGGATGTTTACTGGTCTGAAGTATGCATCCTACTACTTCCAGGGAATTTTAGAGTTTGAGTCATTGAATTCCTAACGAGAGATTTCATCTTGTGCACTGAAAATGACAGTCTTGTTGTCATACAACCTTGGGTCTGAGCCCAGCTCTATCACTTAAAAGCTGCATGACCTAGGGAAAGCTACTTAATTTCTCTGAGCCTCTGTTTCTTCATATGGAAATAAGTGTGCAGGAAGTTTATTGTGGAGTGTTTCTGGTAGCAGAATCTGCTGGGGAAGAGAAGGAAGTAGAGTAGGAAAGAGGAAGAAGCTGAGCAGCAATGTAGGTTATGCAGAGCCCTGAAGCTGGATGGTTCTGCAGAGTGGTACTGACTTGGGGTGAGGGGGACCAGGCCTTTAGAGCCCCATAATGACCATCATTGGATGTGGGGCTTGACCTTGGGTGAGTTGGCTCTCTTTATAAAGGGTAGTTCAGAGAGGTCCAAGAGCTGGGAAATGAGTCCTTTAATCTTGATGGGGGATCAGGGTGAAGCAGGACAGCATCCACCTAGTATTTGCAGTGCTGTTTCAGGATTAAGTGAAATGATTGGAATGCACATACAGCACAGAGACTAAGGCAGAGAACGTGCCTAGTTGACAGTAGGGCATGTTCCTACTGTCAGTGTGGCCTCCTCCCCATTCTTCATGCCACTTCTTGTTCTCTGGTAAGGAACCTCTGCTTGATCTTTCAGATAAATCTAGAGGGGCCACAATCCACAGACCTCACGGAGAGCTCAGAGGACCAAAGGGAAGAAAACCCCACCAGAGAATTTGCCTCTGTTCAACAACCTAGCCTGACCATCTTGCTGCAAGGGCATGGAATTGTGTGTTTATGCCGGGGGTGGTGAGAGGGGTTTGGGTGTCTCTGCTAAATCACTAACGAGCTTTTTCAGACAGAAAGCATGTCTAATATTCCATTCTCATTTCCCAGACAGTGCTTTGGCTTAGTGTTGCAGGTCACAATGGATATTTGTTAACCTGATTTAAACCTAACCATATGGAAGAGATTATTTTGTGTCTGTGAGGCTGACACAGTAGTAGTCATAGTTCCCTCGTGCCAGGTGGCCTGTACACAATTTTCTGTAATCCTGAGAATCCTTCATGGTAACTGCCGCTCCTGTCTACCTTTTACAGATTAGAAACCTGTGGCTCAGAGCAGCCAGGTCACAAGGCCAAGCTGATTCCGCTGATAAGTGGCAAAGCTGGAACCCCCTCCCAGGAGTCTGACTTGTGCCATTCCTATGCCCCAATGCCTTGCTCTGTGTCCTGTAGTTCTCTCTTTTCAGGAAAAAGAAGGTAGACCTGGGTGTCCTGTGTTAGAAGAAAAAGCAGAATTATGAAATTCATATGGCTTGCTGGCCTACAAAGGAACTATAGGGGATAGTGACCCAGCCTGTTCATCTTAAGGGTGGTGGTGGGAGATTGGCAGCAGAGGAGAAGCCTCAGCCTGGAAGGAGAGGAGCTGAAATGAATTTGTGAAGAAGCTTATGGATCTTCCTCCCCTGAGACCACTACAAATAGGACACAGCAGCCATCAGTGGCAATAATCAGTGGTTCGCTGCTCATCAGAAACCAAGGTGGGCTGATAAAATATCAGCTAGGGTCAGCCCAGCTGTCCCACTTCAGGAAGACCTGCTTTGGGAGAACACGAGCTTGCAGGCCAGGACAGGTGGGGTGGCTCCTTATTTAGTCGTCTTAAATTAGCTCCCTATTTAGTTGTCTTAAATTTCTTTACTTTTCTTAGAGACCTTTTAACAAGTGCATTTCCCTGGTGCATTGAAAATTGGACTTGGTCCATGTGTAATATATAACATTGCAAAGCCCCACCTACTGCCTAAGGTGTGTGTGCTCACATGCTCTGCAAGTGATTGCTCCATTTCTGGCACTTTGGTGTCCCTGTTGCCTTGAAATCCATGACATGTCTGAACAGGTGTGCATTGTGGAGCCCTAATCTTCCCCAAGGACCCTACCCTGAGTCTTGGACCTGGGGATGCCTGCTCTTACTGCTCCTCTTTTCAGGCCCATTGCTCTGCTCCCTCTCCCCTTACCCCTCTGATTGGATCTCGGTTGCTTTTCTCTAGGGCTCACCTTGGTTTCTGTATGCATCTCACACTTGCAATTTGGGTTTTGTCTACTGTGTATAAAGTGACTCCTTGGATCAGGAACCCAGACACACTCATGTCAGCTCCTAGGACTGAGAATGGACAGGGGATGCAGGGGCTTAGAGGAAAGAGGGCTGCCAGAGATATTCAGACCTCAGCTTCCTGACCCAATCTCTGTCATTTAGCTTGAATCCTCTCATCTGCAAGTTGTTTGGCAGTGTTTGCAAAGGGTGTGGCACACACTTGGAGATGCTCCATGAAAGATGGCTGCTGTTGTTGCTGCTGCTGTGATGTTTATGATCTTATGACTGCAGGCCCCCTTGACGGCTGGATGGTGAGAGAGGAAAAGCACAGCTGTACCAGAAAGACAGGCAGAAAGAGGTCCCAGGCACAGCAGATCCCTTCAGGGTGGTGGAAATGGAGTTCTGCAAAGTATTGCTGCTATTGCTGCTGCAGACTTTGCATGAATTTCATTTACCCTGGATCCTGGGGCCCATGCTGCTGAGAGCTTGTTCCAGGTCAAATGTCTGGGAGTTCCATCTAGATCCTAAAGCAAAGACCTGGCATTCTCAGGCCATTGCCAGCATTTTTTAAAATTTGGGTGGTCTTATCTCCAATGGAAAGATCTTTCTCCATGATTACCAGATTGCTTGCAACTCTCAGAAGCAAGGATAAAAATTACAAAGGACCTCAGGAGTCCAGAACTTTTGCATAGAAACAATAATATAAATTGTCCTTAGATTTCCCTAATCAGCCACTCACAGTATAGCTAAGAACCTGCACATCTGTGCATTCAATGAGATGAACAAGCATATAATATTGTTGCTGTGTGAGTAATTAAACAACGCATCTGAAAATTGAATATACTAGTTTTTGCATGTACCCTGAATGCTGACCTCTTGAAGAAAGGGAATCAGTTAAGGGATGTTGAAGGGGTAGACTTTTGAAGGGACTCTGGAGAAGGATGTGGCATGTTCAAGGACTTTTTAGGTTGGTGGCACCATTTCTTTATGACATCTAATTCCACCTTCCTTCTCATTGATTCAGACAGATCACTTGAGAACTGCTCTTGCATTTATCAGTCATTATTAGGCTCACAAATAGAATGGATAGAGGGAAAAGATGGTGAGAGAGAAAGAGAGAGGAATAATGAGAGGGGAAGGGTAAAGTGAGAGGGAAGGAAGAAAATGCACAGATTTCCTTAAAGATACTAACCAGTAGCTGATTTGTTAAATAAAATGGTTTAGGGTTTTCTGATGATTCTGAAATAGAGAGGCAAAGAGAGAAGAAGGACAAGATGTTCATTTGGGGAAAAAAGGAAGCAGTGGAGAATAAGCATGGAGGCAGATGGTTACCTGTGCCTGCCATTAAGGGTGCTATTCACTCAGGACACCCTGGGTCAGTAGATCAGTGGTGGGCGGTGGGCAGCTGACAGCTGGCAGAAGGAATGAGACACTTGTAAGATCAGGTGTTTATGATTCGAGATGGTATGTTCCTGAAGGTCAGGGTCATGTAATGGGGGAGGGTGCAGCAAGGGTGGGAGTCAGCTATTCTTTTCTTATGGTGATGATGATTCAGATGGATGTCATCCTGTTTCATATCAACTGATTGATTAATGTTGTCCCTTCACCCATGATACAAGAATTGAGCTCCCACTATGGTGTGGTTCCTGGGGTATGGTGGTGAGTATAAACAGACACAGTGTCTCTTCTCGGAAACCTGTAGTCCACTGGTGGAGATAAACATGAATGAAATCATCACACAAATGCACAGAAATCTGCATCAGTGATAAATGCCACGAAATGCGAACAATGATGGAAGGATTTGACTTGATCCTTTCTACACTGAGGCTTCTCGAAAAAGCTGATGCTTGCACTGAGACATGAAGGGTGACAGGAGCTGTGTGGGCTAAAAAGGGAGAACAGTGAGCCAGGCAGAATGAGCAACAGGCTCAGAGGCTACATGGTGGGAGGTAGCCTGGTGAGGAAGTGGCTCTCCAAGAAGGGAGCAAAGCATGGGAAGGGCGGGGCTTCAAGGGTAGGTCTCCTTCAGAAGGTACAGATGGGGAAACCGAGGCTCAGAGAGGTGAAGCAATTTAAGCAATAACCCACAACTCAAAAGAACCAGAGCTGGATTCAGTCCTCATAGCTTGGGAAGCCTGTGACTCCTAGTTAAGGTTTCTCGCATATTACGGACTTTGTTCGGTGTGAGTGCTCGGGAAAGACCATGGTATTATCCTTCATTAAAACATTAACAATATTATGTATTGTTAATCAAGCATTGAGAATAGGCATATAACACCATATTATGTCTTACACAAATAGGAGTGTTAATTAAATATGTACATAATAACCAGTCATGTCCTCTTTTAACTTGCTAACATATGTTTCTGGTTAGTGATATCACAACAGCAAGAATGACTACTGACTGCTATACCAAGTTGAAAAGAAACTTCCAGTAGCATGGGCAGGTGATCACAGTGTGGCTGCCTGCAATGCTTTCTAGGGTTGTATACCTGCAAATCATCATCACTTTACACAATAGATGCATTCTAGAAAACTCATGTCTAAGTTCAGGTTACCTACAGGTAATCTGAAGAATCCTTTCCTCTGGAACAAAGTATGTTGCATTTATACATTTGTATAACACGTTTTCTCAAAGCAGAGCCTCCTTATAATATGTTGACAAGTTATTTACTTATCTATTTTTTTTTTTTGAGATGGGGGTCTCACAATGTTGCCTAGGCTAGTTTCAAACTCCTGAACTCAAGCAATCCTCCCACCTTAGACTCCGAAGTAGCTAGGACTACAGGTGCACTCCACCACTGCTGACTTCAACTCACATTTGAGGGCTGACTTTTGGAACATTATGGCAATTGTTTTGCAGTCTTCATAAGTGAGAAGCTGGTAGGTGTATAGATTGTAAGTTTACATGTATACTTTGGTATTTTTTAACCTGGTAGTTAATATACAGCGTCTACAGCTCTAACTAGAGTGACTTTGGCTTTCTATACTGGCCTGGAAACCTTCTTGGCACAGATGATACAGAATGATGGAAGCTGGGTGGCTGACCTTCAAGGATTCCGCCTGTCCAGCCACATGCAGCATCTGTAATGGACTTCTTTCTCTCTGGCAGGATGTGCCTTGTGCTAAAAGCCACTTCTCACTGCAGGCTCATATGTCCTGCATTGGTTTATCAGGTTTTTTGCTCTCACCTGCACTGTGTCTGGCTCCTTTTACCTCCCTGACTCCCAAACTCATCGTTTGTCTCCTCTTAGCTTTTGCCTATGGTCTCTGTCTTTCTGCTCAAATGCAAATCATCTGCTGGCATGTCCTTAATGCTTCTCCCTTCACTTCTTCCTTCCACTCTCCCTCCCATCTTCCTTCCGGCCCTTCTTCCTCTCTTCCTCTCCTCTATTCTTCTTTACCTCCTCTTTTCTTTCTCCCTTTGTCTCTTTCCCTTCCTTCTTTCTTCCCCTCCTCAAACACTTATTGAGCACCTAATCTGTAGGTTTTATGGATTAGGACAAGGTCAGGTCAGCTTTCAACCCCCACTTTGCTCTTGTCAACATTTTGTTGCTCCTCTTGGACAAGGTGAAGTTACTAATAATTCACATTGTGACTATCTAATTCTTCTCTGAGGGGTGCTAGGTAGACCTGGCCCAGGGGCTGAATGGGGTACGGGTCTAGATGTTAGAAAAAGAGCTTTGGATGCAAGCAGACCTGGGTTTCAATCCTGGCTCCCCTAATTACCGGTGTATGACCTCGGCAAGTTATCTAAACTCTCTGAGCCTCAGATTCCTTTAGTATAAAATTTTGGTGAGAAAAATTCCAATCTCCTAGAATTGTTGGAAGCATTTACTGAGAAAAAGCACAACAATCATCTGGCACATAGTAGGTGGTACACTTGATAACTCTTATTATGAATAGCGTGGCATAAAAATAGAAAGATCTTGAGAGTGAGCCTAAAAGATCAGCAGAATTCTATCAAATCCAAGGGGAAAGTGGAGAATCAGGAACAAGAGATGATCCCCAAATCTGAGATGAGACAAATAATGAGCAGATTAAACTTGAGAAAGGATGGGAGGCTCCAGCCCTGATTCACTGACCACAGGTTGCCTGGGTTCCAATGTGGTTATGATGGAGGTGCTTTAAGGGGAGAAGAACATAGTTCTGGATTTCATTTATACCAGTCCTTACCCCAAGAAGCCCCCACAGTCTGATTGACCTGTGTTCTTCCAACCCCAAGCTTGTTTTATGTGCCACTCAGTTTCTCCATCAGTTGTTTTCATTTCAACCAGAATAAGTTTGAGTCTATGTCACTTTGACTAATATGACACTGGGGTTACTAGTCAGCAATTTCGTTTCTAAGGCTGAACTTCCACTTGGCTTACCAGTAGTGTTGATCTCAGCAGGTCTCAGGTTTCATGCTATAAAATTGTGATGTTTTATTGACCAATTAACATAGGTTAATGATGATTGTTTTTATGAAAGTTGGTGGGTCACCCTCTGGACAGTGGGCTGAACAATGTCATCTCAGTCTTAATCATAGATCATAAAATGTTAGCTCTGGAAGGGTCTCAGAAGCCACGTAGTCCAACCCTCTCGGTTAACAGAGGAGAAAACTGAGGCCTGGAGAGGCTAAACCCTGGATTCAAATGGCCAGCAGGATTGGGAGAGACATGGAAACACCCAGAAGAACAGGCATTTCTCTTAAATAATTCCATCAAGAAGCTCTGATCTCTTTCCATAACCACAAAACTTAGGCCTTCCAAATGCTAGGTGCAAAGATGATGCTGTGATGGAATTTGTAAGGCCACCTTGAGGAAGTGGATATTTTAAAGGCTAGATGACCTCTAAAATTTTGATCAACTTTGACATTCATTGTAGGGCATTATGTGTATGAACTACAGGACACTATACTATAATACTTTACTTGTTCATTTAAATTGTTTCTCCTGGAAAAAAACTCCTTAAAGAAAGAAACTGTGTGACCCATCTTTGTTTCTCCTGTAGCCTTGCATATAGCATGTTCTTGATAAAGGATCCTCTGACTGAGTGAATGGCTGGAGATTTTTTGGAAGCCTGTGATGAAGAGTAACCAGGTCATTGACACAGAGGGCAGAGTGACTTTCAGACCAGAGGAGACTCTCATGTGGTTAGCGACACTTAAGGAAAGATCAGATGTATGTGGAGAGGGAGAAGGATTTGTATTGAATAGAAATAACGAGAGCTGCAGTCTAAGATTTTTTCTAGAAAAAAAAAAAAACTTTCCAAATCCCATTTAGAAAAACTGCGACATGGTACCGCCTTGAGCGGGAAAAATAGGTTTTACAGATTAGGACAAGGTCAGGCAAACAAACAGCCCAAAGCCATGCCATCAGCTCGAAGCAGCTCTGCCCCAGCCCACTGCTCTTCCTGGGCCTGGCTCACCCCTGCACGTGGGACAAATCCTTACCCTGCTACAAAGAAACCAGCATGGGAATCCAAAGTCCACTATGTCTCAGAAAAAGGAAGAGAAATGTGAGAATACATTTCCATTTGGTTCACACTTCAGTAGACTGCATTTTTCCTGCCCCATATGCAAGGCGCAAAGCCCCTGGACCTCCCAGCCATCACCATGTGTCTGCCATCTGGCGGTTGTGTTCTCACCTGGAAGCTCCAGTTGCACCTGGGCCAGAGGACCCTGGCTGCTGGCACTTCCCCTCTGCCTGGCAACCTCCTGCTCTGAAAGGGGGTAGTGGTGCTGATGGATTTTTTTAATTTTACTGGATCCTGCTCAAGGTTGGTGATCTGAGCCATCTTAATCATCCTAATGAGTTTGCAGCTGTTACTTCTCATTGGAAACATATTCAGTGCTATCCATAAAGTGTTGGTTTCCACACAGGGTGCTTAGGAGACAGGGGCTCTATCCCCAGGATGATAATAGAAAATTAAATCTGTTCCCAGGGCCCCTTGTTGGCACTGAAAGAGCACGGAGAAGAGCCCCTGCATTTATAGGGGAATGCTTCCACCTGCGGGCATTTCCTTAATGCTCCTCCCTTCACTTCTTCCTTCCATTCTCCCTCCCATCTTCCTTCCAGCCTTTCTTCCTCTCTTCCTCCCCTCTACTCTCCTCTATCTCCTCTTTTCTTTCTTCCTTTCTCTCTTTCCCTTCCTTCTTTCTTCCCCTCCTCAAACATTTATTGAGCACCTACTTAGTATGAGGCATGACATTCAGGGGATGTTGTGGAGGGAGGGGATACAAAAGTTGATAGAATCTGGCCTCTTTTCAGGAAGAATTCACCAAATTGATTCATAAATAGAGAAAGCAAAGTTGTGCACAAATTTAACTGTCCCAAACTCCCATAGAGAATCCACTAAGTGTCACAAAATGAGTCCGGGGAAACTGGGGTGTTTCCTCAGAAGCTCAAGTGCAGTTGGGGGATCAGAGAAGCTGTCCTGACGGGCATAGCATTTGAGCTGGTCCTTAAGGATGGGTGCATCCCTGGATTCTCCACATCCAGAAATGGATTTTTCCTTCCCTAATGTCCACAGCACTTCATCTCTTCCTCCAATGACATCTGCGTGGCTTTGGCGGCTCTGTGGGTGCCTTTCCTCTCCTCCCGAAGGCAGCCCTGGCTGCCCCCTCCTGCTATGGCCTCTGGGCCTTGATACACTGAGACTCACACATAACTGAGATCCCTACCTCTAGGGGTTTCAAATGCAATACAATATGGCTGGCATGGACTTTTATATTCAGGAAACACGGATAAGATAGTATACATTTTGAAAATGGACTTTAAAATGTCAGCCATATATATTATATATATTATATCAACAGAGAGAGAGAGGTGCAGTTTTTAAAAGGAGATAAAAATACCTCATGCATATAGCTTCCAAAGAGGAATGGTGCCCTTTGGGAGGATCTGGGAAGCAGCCTTGAATCAGTCAGCCAATCTGGGAGGGCTTCATGGAGGAAGGTGGGCTTCAGGGACTGACAGGGCAGCTTGAGCTGCAACGTTAGGATGGGAGTCTAACTGGGCATGTGGCACCCACTAGACTGGGGTTCTCTGAGGGCAAAGACTGTGCCTCAGACTCTCCTCTTCCCCCAGTAGTCAGTCTGAGGCCTGGTACATGCATGAACAAGCTCTGAAGGAATCATATGGGAGAAAGCTTCCTGGCAGAGCAAGACAGTCAAGGAAGTAGAGTGACAGTAATCGGAAGGGGCTGGAAAGATGTGCTGGAATAGAGCATGGGCAGAGGGAGGCCAGGCCACGAAGCCACCCTGGCAAAGGGCTTTGAGAAAAGGCATTCACGAAGGCAGCCAGTCTTGGGCTTTAAGGAATTCGATTCCCTGTCGGGGCTTTGTGTGGGGACAATCCAAATGATTGGCCTCATGAGCCTAGAAGCGGCTCTGCCCATGTAGCACCCCTGTGACTTTGGGCAGGTCCCCTCCCCTCATCTGCATTCCCTCCTCCTCATGTGGTCTGGCTCCCTGGGAACCCATGGTGGTGATAAGGTCAGAACACAGTGCGGTGGGTGACTTGGGGGCCAGAAAAGGAGGCTGTGGTCATCACTGAAGGAGGACAAAACAAGGACATGCACCAAGGAACTGACACTGGGGCCATCGAGAGAGAGGTGACAAGCTATGAAGTCTGACAACTGATTCATTTTTCAAGAGTCGAGACTAAAATAAGAGGAGATAACAATAGAAGCCATTTATTGAGTATTTAATATGTCCCTAGTGCTACATATACATTATCTACTTGATAAGACAGGAATGCTACATATACATTATCTACCTGATAAGACAGGTATTATTATTATCCCACTTTATAGATGGGGAAACTGAGGCTTAGAGAGGTAAAATGATTGTTCAAAGTTAACACTGTTAGTAAGTGGAAGAGCTAAAAATTGGAGACTTGATTTTTTACTCTTGCTAGAGCTCTTAGTCATTGCTTTATTCTGTCTCCTGTAAGTAGATTCACTCGTGAGGCTTTATTTGGATTTTATATGGTGACATATCATGGTTCTTCATGAAGCGAAGGTGGACAGGCACCTGCAGTGCTCAGGGTACATTGTGCGGGGAGAGCAAGAACCTTGGGAAGGAGACCTGGGGATCTGCCATCAGAAGAAAGTGAAAAATAGGAGGCTTTCTCATTTGTAAAGCACTTTCACAGCTTTTGCCTTAATCCATTCTCATGACAGCCTTGGGAGTTAGGCATGGATTTTTTTAAAAATCCCCATTTTCCAGTTGAGAAACTGAGTCCTGGAGAGGTGAAAGAATTGCCCAGAGTCATCTAACTGGTACATGGCAGGAGAGCAGAACCTGATTCTCTTTTCCCTGGGCTCTGCTGCTTGTCAGGGTTGGACATGAGGTCCCCAGAGGAAGCCCACGTTGCTGGGGGGTTAGACGGGAGGGGGACAGAGCAGGTATGGCTGGGGTCCTAAGAGCTGAGGTGAGAGAAGTTCTGAGGCACGTGTCCTCATCTTCAAAGTTCCAAGTAGGGAAGGGGGCCAGGGCTGAGGGTCTGAGAGTGGCATAGCCTGAAGTCCAGAGCTAGAGGACAATGCCAATGGCAAGAGCCCAGAAATGAAGGGACCACCTCAAATGGAGTGCTCTATGGGGTGCCCTCTCCAGAATCTAAGGGGAAGGAGAAGGTCCAGCAGGAATCACGGGTTTGGGTCTCTGCCATTCCTAACTCCCTGGTGCCTCAGGCATCGACGGGCAGGATGCTTGGAGGCCATGGGCTGCAGCGGAAGGAACACATGCTTTGGAGACAGATTGCTCTGGATTCAACCCCTGGTTTGATCACTTCCTTCCTGTGATTTTGTGTCTCAGTTGCCCTTTCCATAAAATGGAATAACAGCTTTTTTTTTAGTCATAAGGTGTGAATAAGTGAATGCATATTCACAATATCAAATGACTCATTCATTTCATGAACCAACATGTGCCAGCACTGTGCTAGGATAGTTCTGTGGGCCATGCAGACAAGGTCCCTGTCCTCATGCAGTTTACTTTGGTGCCCAGCACAACATAGGCCCCTACAAGCACCACTTCATTCCTCCCATCTGTAAAGTTACCTGATTTCTGTCCTGCAGTGCCTGGCTCCATGCCAGTAATCAGGAAGGAGAAAGGGGTGAATCAGAGAAGCAGAACCTCAAACTTTGTTCTGAGCCCACAGTTCCTGAGCTAAGCAGGAGCCAGAGGTCAGCAGGGTGAGGCTGGGGGCTGGGGACCAAAGAGGAGGGTTGGCACGTCATATTCCTCCTTATCTGACTGCCCTTGCACCAGAGCCCAGAGAGTTTGACAATGATGATCTCACTAGTGTTCAAAGCTTCCCGAGGGAGGCCAACAGCAAAGCAGAAAGCACTGGAGTGTGCTTGTGTTGACAGCTGCCGGATCAGAGGGCCTGGCTTGGGATCACAGGCTGCGGGGGTGGTGAAGCAGTGTGCAGATTCTGAAGCCTGGCACTCCCACGTGGGGCCCCAGGAGCCAGGTTCACCCACACAGAAACTCAAGGGAGGCTGCGTTTCCTAACCAACAGCCTTCACCTTGTGGTAGATTCTTTTCCTGTGGGTCATCTCTTTCAATTCTCCCAAGACTGCAAAGAGAGATTATTGTTCCCATTTTCTAGATCAGAAAACTGAGGCTCAGAAGAGTGAAGTAGCCTGCTTAAGGACGCATGTCTTCATCATAATAGTTGGTATGCAGGTTCCCCTCCCTGTCTCCATCACACACACACACACACACACACACACACACACACACACACACACACACACACACACACTGCAATGACTGTCTCCTAGGCTGGCTAACAGTGGACCAAGATGAGCCCATCCTTATCTGCATCCTGCATCAGTCCACGGAGAGCAGGCAGCAGGGATAAGGATGGGGAAGACAGGGTCAAGGAGTCAGACTACAGGCACCCCTGTGGCTCAGGGCATAGAGGGGGCTCAGGACACATGGAGCACCCCCTTGCCCACGTTCCTTTTCCGGGTCTGCCTCTCTACCAGACCTCTCTCCTTCCTCCTTTTTCGCATCCTCTTTGGATTCATTTTCTCCTCTCATTTCCCCTTCTCTGCTTCCTGATTCACCCTTTGCTATCTTTTCCAGTCTTTTCCGTTCCTCTCTTCAGTCTCTCCCTCTCCCTTTGCTTCCTTTCCCTGGACTCCCCTGGCTCCTTCTCCCTTTCTCATCCTCCCTCGTGTTTTCCTGTTTGTCTCTTCGATCTCCTTCCCTCCTTTTCCGTTTGTCTCTCCCCGGCCTGCGCCCCTCCCCGCCGCTCGCACCCTCCCTCGCGCTACTCCCTCTGCGCAGCCAACCCTCCCTCCGCCCCCTCGGGCCCGCCCTCCCCTCGCCAGTCTTCCCCGTTCTCTCTCCGCTCTCGCTCTCCGTGGTTTAGTGCTTGCCCTCCTGCTTCTGACAAACTATTTGTAGGAAAATGAGATTTGGTCCGCGCTGGACGGCTCCTCTGGGAAGCAGGCGTGGGGGTCGGGTGTCGGAGGCCCCGTGCGTCCCCCCACCCCGTACCAGAGCCCACGGCGCTTACGGAGCTCTTTAAGATAAATGAGTAAAATTAAGAGACTCGCCGGGGGAAGAAAACACTGGAAGGGAGCGAGCGAGAGCGGATGGTACTTGGTTTCCTCCCAGAAATGCATCCACGTGCGCCCCACTGGGGCCTCCCCCATCTGCTGCAGACTCCAGGGAACTTCCTCCCCTCAAAGACAAACTTCCAGCCCTGGAGCATGTTTCTTCCTTCCCTGGGATGTGGCGCTGAAAAGGGTAGAAACCTCTAGTAAGGCACAAGCAACAGATTGGGGGTGGAGCAGCAGGTCTCTTTGGAGGTGGCCTGGAAGAAACCTGACAGAGAGGATGGGAAGGGGAGAAACAGAAGAGTGTGACGAGGTGGGTGTCCAAGGGCAGTGGGACAGGCTGTCCGGGTGGGAGAGTGGACTTGAGGAAGTAGCTGCAGGCCCAGACTACTTCAGCCACACCCTGATCCCCTGGGACCCTCAGGGCACAGAAGGCAGTGCTGGCTCCAACCTCAGTCCAAGGAGCTGTGGAAGCCTCAGAGGCCCTTGGCAGAGGTGAGCCCTCATTTCTCACCTCAAAGGCAGGGATTGAATCCTTGTCACCCAGACAAGGATTTTCTCTTGTCTGGGTGGCAGAACTATAAGTTGTCAGAGGGCAAGTAGTGGGTCTTTGGTTTTTCTGCAGTACCACAGGGCTAGCTTACCTTAGGCCATAAGTATTATTTGTTGAGATGCGTGAATACAAGAATGTCTTAAAAGCTCTAGGCTCAATTTTCAACTCCCACAGATGTGCAATGAAAACAATTTTCCAGACTACTTTTTTTCCCTCTTATTTTGAAAGCAATACACTTATTTTTTCCAACAAACATTGAGACAACAGAGATAAGCAACATAGAAGAAAATAATAATCACCTGTTATTCTACTATAAACAATTTGGAATTTATCCTAAATCTCAAAATATACATGTATTAAAACACAAGGTCATATTATAAACATTGTTTTGACCTGCTTTATTTCATTCGATGTTAAATTGCAAATACCTTTTTATATCATATTAAATATTTCTTCTAAAACTAAATTTTAAGTTGTTACAGTGTTTTATTATAGGTTTGTATGCTCTGTGGATGATTTTTTTTTAACAAGGCACATATTTTTGTTCATTTTGATTGTTTCTAAATTTTTGCTATTATCAAGATTTCCTAACTTTTGCATTATTCAGAGTTTTGTTTTTTTTTTGACAGAGTCTTGCACTGTTGCCCAGGCTGGAGTGCAGTGGTGCGATCTCCTGTCACTGCAAGCTCTACCTCCTGGGTTCACGCCATTCTCCTGCCTCAGCCTCCTGAGTAGCTGGGACCACAGGCGCCTGCCACCACACCCAGCTAAAGTTTTGTATTTTTAGTAGAGACGGGGTTTCACCGTGTTAGCCAGGATGGTCTTGATCTCCTTACCTTATGATCCGCCAGCCGTGGCCTCCCAAAGTGCTGGGATTACAGGTGTGAGCCACTGTACCCAGCCCAGATCATCCCATTTTTATCATAGTCAGTGTCTTAGTCTGTTTTGTGTTGCTGTAACAGAATACCACAGCCTAAGTAATTTATAAAGAAAAGATTTTTTTTGTTCTTACTGTTCTGGAGGCTGGGAAATCCAAGGTTGGGGGGCTGCATCTGGTGAGGACCTTCTTGCTGCATCATCCTACCAGGGAAGGAGGAAGGGGAAAAGAGCAGGAAGGAGCAAGAGAGAAAGCAGGGCAGACTCACCCCTTTTATCAGAAACCTGCTCCTTCAATAACTAACTCCCATGATAACATCATTAATCCATTAATGAGGACAGGCCCAATAACCCTTAAATATCCATCCTCTTAACACTGTTGCATTGGAGATTAAGTTACCAACATTTGAACTCTGGGGGACACATTCAGACCATAGCAGTCAGTTATAAAAGTGTGATTTATGTTTTTTCCTAGTTTCATAAGCATAAGATGTGACATATTTTAATAGTTGACAATTCTACAGGGCCTGCTCTGAGTTCCTAGCCTAGATCAGCCTTTCTAGAACTTTGTAGATTTTCAAAGATGACCAGTGCTGCAAGCCAGGGTAATCTGGAATGTTCTGGAAGCAAAGGAAGTGGATATGCCTTCAGCCATAAGAATCAAAAAATATATGGTATTTAAAGAAAAAGATTATTCAGCTCAAATCTTCCTAAAACATTTACAAAACAAATGTGCGTCAAGTTATAATACTGGGTGAAGTTACCTCTGATTGGTGTTAACTATGTTATGTGAGGATAACAATTTCAAAGTATATTAAAATGTAAAACTTGAAAATGGTGGAGTCATCCTAAGTATTATTTCATAAAATACCAGTAGAGAAGAAAAGGAGGATTTGACGTATAAAGATACGAGAGAAAAACATTCAAAATTATGTGACCTCACACAGGTAACCCTTTCAAGTGACAGGGCACTTTTCAAGTGGAAGCTTTCCTCCCTGCCTTGAAAACAAGGATGTGTGACTGGTGTCCATTTGTATGTCTGTCTGTCAGTCTGGAGTGTGTAGTCTCAGGAAGGCTGGAAGGTGATGCAAAACACTTTGATCATTTGTTCTTTGCGTTTGTGCTGCTATTAGCACTTGCATATGCTGTACTGAGACTTCTACTGACACGACCCCTCCAATCAATGTATTTCTTGGAGGACTCCTTACTCACTTGTTCTAAACTTCAGTATCCTGGGTCTCTGAGTGGCTCTCTAGGGCAGTAATGGTAGGAGGGCAGAGTTCACAAACTATGTTCAATATTTGGAAAGGACTGATTACCTACAGTAAAGTGACTTGGCTGGTAAAATGTCAGGTTTCTTTGCTTTGGGTTGATTTATAACAACTCAATTTGGGAATACATACTATCTCGATAGATTGCTCTGACTGGCATTTTTCTAGGTCTTTGATTTATAAATGAAAGGGAGAACTGATTATTCATTAAATACAGTCTATTTTTCCTAATTATGTAGGAAATCATATCTTTGTAATAAAAGGAGTGTTTGATAGAATGAGCTCATGAAGAAGAGTGTAGTGTTCAACTGTAGTTCTTTCTACTCCCCAGATGCCATTGGGGTAAAAGTTACCCAAATGAGAGAAGATTCTGTTGACCCTGAAGTTGAAGTATGGTGGAGATTTTCTAGAAAAATCCATTCAAATCTTTTTCTCTCCCAGATCATGAAGGAAAGAGGAGACATCTACTGAATGTAAGGTGGAGCCAAAGGCATCTATTGATGACTGAAGAGGAGGCATGAATATGACAAAAACAGGAACCTAGGCCAAAAAAGATGATTCATAGATGATTCAACCTGGAGGCCCCCACCTTATTTTATTAGTAAAAAAAGATGTGGTGGCAAGTGTATGGGGAGAGAAAAGAAATTAAAACACCATGATCCTTTTAATACAGTCCAAGATTTACTCTGCATAATCCAGTCATATTTTTGACAGTTCATACCTCCTCTGTCCCCAGTAACAGAATGGTGATCTTTATGGGGCTGGCGTGAGGAAGCTGGCAGGCACGGCCCCCGTCACATTAAACTGTCTCAGTGAAGAGGCAATTTGTTTGATATTAAGAGTTATAAAAATATCAGCACAGAGCGGTTATGCCATGGATATTGCACAAGCCAATCTGAATTTTAATGTAGTGTGAGCAATAAGCACCGCATTCCTGAACTCCTGCCATACTCCCTCTGCAAATATTTGAAGAGAAAAAGAGGTTTTGAGTGTTTTGCTCTTTTCCACTTGTGCTTCATGCAGGGTTGCTCCTCACCAGATGTGTGGGAGCTGGCAAGGGTTTCCAGGTGCCTGGAAGGGGGGTTCTCAGGAAGCCCCACACAGGAGATCCAATGGCATCCCTGGCATCGTGTGCAGAGAGAATGGGGTTGGCTTCCTAGCACCTCTGTTCATGCCCCTCACTCACAGAAGGAGTCATCCAGCAGCCAGGACTCAGCTCCTCCACCCAGTGTCTCCTGATTTTCATCCCAAGTATTCTTTAGTGTCTTAGTCCAATGGAATGCCATTGCCCAAGCATCCCACTCCCCTCCTCATCCTCTAAGTCCACCTTAAAATGCCCTTCTTCTTACTGTGCCCCGATCACACCCCGTCTCTTTAGCCCATAGGTGTACACTCTGACTTCTCCCCTCAGGCCCCTTCCATCGGTTTTCTCATTATTTCCCTTTACCGCCATTCCTCTCCCTTCACCTCCCAGTCACCTCTTCCCAGCCTCTTCTCCCATAAATATCCATTTAACCTTACAGATAGATCTTTCTGAAACATGCTAACCAATTAATTTCACTTCCACAGAGTGCCTACTCTGTGTCAGGTGTTGTGCTAGTGGCTGGAGGAGACACAAACATGAACAAGACCTGGTGGTCTCTGCTCTTCAGGGACTCACAGTCCAGTTGGGAGGGGGAAGAGGGGGTGCCAGAGGTGGTGGGGGTGCCAGACAAGGATTCTGGTCATTTTTACTCTGAGGGCAGAGTGATATAAGATCCCCAGTAGAGGTCCAAACACAGGCAGTAAAGGGCCTAAGAAGGAGAGATGTGTCTGAAGAGGGGAAAGAGAGAACATATCACGGTGGCTACTGGCTATGCCTTCAAGAAGGGGTACAGTTGGCAGGTGGCAGTTGGAGAACTGGGCAGAGAAGAGTCTATCTTAGGCAAAGCAGAGAAATGCTCTGATGGGGGAATTCATGGGGAATTGTTAAGAAATAGTGAGTTATCCAGCTTGTCTGACAGGGCTCAGAGAAGTTCAGGGACATGCCCAAGCTAATGAAAAGGTGAGTCCGATATAGCATGCTGTTTTTCTGATTCCCAGTTCAGAACGCTCTTCGTTACACCACAGCAGTAATTCTCAAGGTGTTAGCCTGAGACTCCTGGACTCCTTGAGATCCTTTCAGGGTGTCTGAGAGGTCAATGCTGTTTCAAGGTCGTTTGCCTTTGCTTTCTTATTTACCTCCGGGTGTACAGTGGGGCTTTTTACTGTGCATTTGGAAGATCTTTGTAACTCAGTGAACCAACATCTTCCAAGTGACCAGTGCATGATGTTACAAATCATGCATGGGTGAATCATCTGCTCAAGGCCTCTCTCTCTCTCTTCCTCTCTTTGTGTGTGTGTGTCTCTCTCTCTCTCTTTCCTGGCTGTTGCTCTCATTCTCAGGCTTATCCTTGAATCCTTTCATCTGGAAGTTTCCTTCCTTCCCATTTTACCCAACTTCCTTTCTGCAGCACCTTCCACTATACTCCCTCACTCCCTTCCTTCCCAGATTCCAGATCTAGGCTACTTACATTTCTCAAGCCAGCCTCCATTTCTCCATGTTCTGTTATCCCTGAAACTCCCTCTCTAATGTTTCATAATTCTTTCACAGGCATGGTCTCCGTTTCTTCTAGAGTTTTTGGAGGCTATCTATGCTTCTCAACTTTGGTCACCAGCTTCTCAAAAGTTCTTATTTGCTGCTGCAATGATAGATAAGTGTTCACATTTGTGAATTATGCTCATCACTTTTGAAGTTATGAGAGACTCTTCTGAACCTCCCAGCCCAGCCCTGGGTCCAACTTCGTGCAAAGGAGGAGGGGTGTTCTGGCTCTGATGGAGGGAGCACAGTCTTGGAGACAGGCAGACCTGTTGCAGAGCCAGCTTTGCCACAATCTAACAATGTCGGTTTAACCAAGTCACTCCATCTCTCTGAGCATTAGGCCCTGTTTTTATTGAGTGAAGATAATAATACTAACCCTGCAAAGTTCTTATGAAAATTCAATCAGAATTTACACATATGGCAGAGAGTAAGTGCTCATGTGGATTCACTATTATTATCAGAGAGACATGATGGCAATCAGTGAATGTGAGTGTTTCTTACAAGGCAGTTAATTATTTGTCTTGATTATTACAAATTAAACTACAACCTAAACCACTAGTTCTCCAACTTTCACACACAGCAGAATCACTTGGGCAGCTTGTTGAATATAAGGAGGCCCCAGAAATTCTGATTCAGTAGTTTATGAGTAGAGTCTTCACATCTATAATTTTAATGAACTGATGTACACCAAACACTGGCCCATATATTTTCTGAGTTTTCTGGAATCTTAAATTTTCCCACTATTTAATGAGATTATTCAATTCTTAAAAACCTACACAGCTTGTGTTTGATGATCTTTATGAATATCTCACAGGTTTTCATTCATTCTTTCATTCATTCACTCACATGCATTCTTTGTATTGAATTAATGGTTGCAATATCTCACCGAGCTGTCCTCTGCATAACCCACTAGCCCCCGCCTCCCATACCTTCCGTCTTTCACAGAGCATGGTGTGCAGGGGAGCCAAGAGACCTTGGGCACTTTCTTTAATATTATCAAACCTCCTATTTCTCTGCTTTTGCAGTGAGGACAGCACAATCTCTTGGGGACATTGTGAGAATCATCCAGGCTAATGTGTGTGGGGGCCTTCTGTGATGTGCCACCCAAATGCTACTTCTAACCATTTTCTTTTGTGGAAAGCCCAGGTGCTTATTCATGTAAAAGAGGGATTGGACTTGCCAGTCTCTGAGGCTTCCAGTGTTTTTGTACTTCCTCAAACCCTCCATCACTCCAAGGACAGTGCTGGCTCAGGACGGGCTGAGTGGACACCAAAGTCTGGCCTCTCCTCCCCCTCCCATTCAATCCTGACCAAACAGCACCTGCACTGTCTATAGTCAGCTTTTGCAAATATGCTCAATGCTTTGCAAGCCTGTTGTCTTTTTTATTCTTCCTACATAATTGTTTGGACTTACTTGATGTACCTTGAATGGCGGATTCTTTATATAATCTAAATGCTTCTTCAGCTCTCTACCTGTGGGTACAATGAGGTCACAAGGGACTGTGTGTTTGGCTCCTGGGACTGGAGAGGTGCGGCTAGGAGCTTGAGACCACCACCCTCTGCCATCCTCCCATGGCTCCTCCTAGCCATCTCAGGTGGTACTCTGGGGTTGCCATGATGCTTTCATGAATCTCTTTGCTGTGCCTCTTGCTTCTTTTCTGTGTCGCCATCATCACTCTGCTCAGGCGCCCCTTGAAGGGTGGCCACCACCACTTTCTCTGGACAGCTATTAGCTGAACATCTACAGAATGGGAAGGGAAAGGCTTCTCTCTTTCTTTGTGACTCCTTTACAGGGATGCCTGAGCTCCAAGATGTTCCAGCTCTTTTCACTTTGCATATACACAACCTTTTCTCTGCAAGGAGGCTCAAGCAGTGTTGTCCTCATTCTATGCAGAAACATTTCCATTTACTGCTCAGGTCCTGTTTCCAGATTGGTTCATAATGGTGGCTTCTTTCCCTCAGGATCTATCTCCTGAAGTTCCTCACTGCAATTTGGCTTTCATGAAGGCATTGCCAATGTCATCACACATGTCTGTATATGTCCAAATCCCAAATTGTTTGTTTTTTGGAAGCTTCCCAGCCCTGCATAAATCAGTTGGTACAAATAGACTGAGGAGTGTGGGGTGCAGGGAGCCCAAAAGCTTATCCGGGACATAGCGTTATACCCAGAAAGCATGCTAAGGTGGGCAAAATCCTCTCTGTCATTCTTCATGTGAGAAGCACCTATAGGTAGGATCAGGTAATTAGAGTTTGCAATGGAGGTGGATGGTGAAGAAAATGGCCTGCCCTGCCTATGTGAAGAGTTATTGTTTCTTTCTTTGTCATTTATTTATTTCGGAAATAGGGTCAGCATTGAAAGAGCAGGAAGCTTTGAAGTGTTTTCCAGAGAGTGATGAAGGAGAAGCCAGGGAGCACAGAATCAGGAGAAGCCAGTAGGTGGGTGAGGCCAGGACCCTCTGCCTCCTGCAGGCAGGCTGTGGAGCTCAACAGTGATTCCTGTCATGGGTGCTTCCCCAGCTGTTGTGTGGAAGCCACTCAGTGAATGGCTGTGGCCCAGAATCAGGAGAAAGGGAGAAGCAGTGAGGGTGTAAAGGTAGTGGAGAGGGGTAAAATTTCTAGATTGGTTTCGGGGATGCAATAAACTTGATGAATTGAGAAAAGCCTACAGTCTGTCCTCAGAATTATTGTATTAATTGCAAAGGTACGATAGACACAGAGGATCCTTCTCCTCAAGGAAAAGGAAATGTGGCATCCTTTACTCATCTCTCATCCCTTTACTCATCTCACTGCGTGCTCTCTGTGACATTCACTTTCGAGGCCCTCTCTGTCAGGGGACTGGCAGGACCTGCACTTGACTGGTGTTGGTGCAAAGTGGGAAGGAAGACTGCCGGCTGGTGCTTCCAGTGCAGAGTCCAAGCCTGGATCAGGAACTGCTGTGAGAAAAGAGAGCACAGAGACTGGGAGACCTTGCTGAGAAAGAACAGACAGGAGTCAAAGAGGGAGTGAACGCCAAGCAAAGAGAAAAAATGAAGAGCAATGACCTCGCGGTCCTAAGGCTAATTGTGCTGCTAGCAATAACTGGGAAGTTGGGAATGGGCTCTGGCTTGGAAGGAAAGATAAACAAGCTCTGCTTCGGACAAGTTTTGTTGCAGGGGTTGGAAGGCCAACCAAATAGAGATCTTTCATAGACAATAAGAAATATGAGATAGGAGAAGGATAAGGGGTCAGTGTTTGAGAGTAGGCCGAGCAGCTGTCAGATAATGAGAGCAGTGCCGGGTTGGTGAGATAATTCATTTGTCTACTTAAGAAATATTCATTGAGTGCCTACTGTGTGCCAAGCATGGATCTGAGCCCTGGGAATACTGCAGTGAATCAGACAGGGAAGGCATCTTGAATGATTTGTACAGAGGAAGAGAATAAGTGCTGTCAAGTCACGAATGGGGCCGGGGGAAGGAGACAGCATCAGTGTGGGAGGTCAGCCCGGGATGCAGGAGGCCAGGAGAGGAATAATAGCATGATGGATCAGCTGGGGCCTGAGCAGACCTACATATAACAGATAATCCAAACAGTGGAAGCCTAAACAAAGCAGGGCTCTATAAGGATTTCACAAAGCAAGAGATGTGGAGGCAACCATCCAGCTCTGGTTCAGGAACGCCATCAAGTAGAGGACCAGGCATTCTGCCCTCCAGAGCTGCATAGGCAACTGCCTGCATCGTGTGATCAGAGAGTCAACCATGGTCCTCCTGTCCCCAACTTCAGAACCTTGCATTTCTTCCTTCTCTGGTTTGAGGTTATGGTTTTCAAAGTGTACTCTGTGGTGCCCTAACAAACTGTGGAGATATCTCAGGGGTAGCCATGGGGACTAAAAGGCCAGCCAAGGGGGCTGGTCCTCAGGCACAGTTGGCCACATTTTAAACAGAGCCTTTATCATAGTTATATTATATATGATTATATGCATATATTAACCCCAATTGCTCTTTCTCAGAAGAGTCCCTAAAAATGAATGTTTCCTAGAGGAACAGTTTGCCTGAATAGCTTTCTAGAGTGAGCAGGGGCTCATTTGTGAAGACTACCCACTGCTGCCAGAGGTGTGGTCTACCAAGGCACTGGATAATGTGTACATATGTGTGTGTATGTGTGTGCATGTGTGTGCATGTGCTGCATATGCACTCATCTGTGTGTCTTTCAGTGCCATGTACCTTTCCTCCCCTCAGTGACCTGAGCCCTTCCCTCCCTAACGATGTCTGCATCCTATCCCCCAAAACATCCCTTATCCATTCCAAATCTGGGGTCTTCTTTCCAATTCTTGTCCTAAAGCACAGTACCGTGTTGTAAATTTATTTTAGAATTTGTAGCTTTGGGGCATTTGAGGTGGGGACAGAGGAGAAGAAACAGGCAGGGAGAAAGGGAGTCTAGAGAAGAAGCACAGGATGCCAAGTCATGCTTGCTTCCAGGGAGGAAGCCTGGGCTGCTGGAATTACAGTTGTGAGACCATGCATTGTCCAGTCTCCATGTCAGTGCCATCACTCTCCTAGACTTGAGAAGGGACCTCACATTTGGTAAGAGTAAACTGTGTGCCTGACATTGTCCTAGGGGCTCTCCTATGATCATTTACTCTTCATACCAACCCTGCAAGACAGGCAATTTTACCCTCATTTTATAGATGAGGAAGACTTCCTTCATTTATGTTTGAAGGCTGCTGTGAAGGCCAAAAGAAAATGTGTGGAAGAAAAATTTACAACAGGGGAGGTGTTGTCCACGTGCATGAGTTGATATCCCTGGCTGACTTTCCACTTGACCCATGGGACAATTTAGTACCAAAGAAAATTCATCTACCCTCTTTCTGTCCCTAGCCTACTGATGACAAAAATGGAACATAGAAGGAGAAGGTCCAGGAAGATTCTGTATTTCAAGGACTTGCCATAAAAGCCTGCCATAAAAGTCCTGCCATAAAAGCCTCCAGAGAAGCAGGTAGAAAAATAGCCAGTCTTGTGGGTGAACTGAAGGTGCACAATAGAAGCTCTGGCTGGTGACTTTATCTCTCCAAGCCTTAGCTTCTTTATCTGTATAATGGGATCAATAATAGGACCTGCCTCATCAGGCTGCCATGAGGAGTGAGTAAGTGAATGCACATAAAGAAATTGGCAATGTCTGCCGTGGTGATGGCTTAGTAGCTGTTAGCTTCAGTCATTACGGTTTACAGATGAGGAAACTGAGGGACACTTTCCCTAAATCCCAAGGCAGGAGAGTTCAGACTGATCTCTCTCTCCCACTCCTGCTCAGAGCCTGGCTCCCTGGAGCCCTTTCTGTTGTTTACACATGTGTGTGGGAAGTGCTGCTGGGGAGGTTGTGGGAACAAGGCTTTATGGCTGAGGAGGGATTGGAGTCGTGTTTCCCTGTGGGTCTCATTTCCCAATCTGGCAAGGCTTATTCAACTCCCCACTTTCCTCACTGCCCCTCACTGCCGTCCTCCCTGTCGCTCCCTTTGTGAAGGGCCTGTTTCGACTCCTAGCTAGGAGAGTAGCAGTTGGGAATCCCTTCTTATTCCAAATTTTTTATTTTATTATAGTCATTTATAACTGTCTCAAGGGTCATCCTCAGGGATGATATTTCCCCTATTTTGTCACAGACTCAAACTAAGATTCTTTTTTTTTTTTTTTTTTTTTTTTTTGAGACGGAGTCTCGCGTCTCGCTCTGTCGCCCAGGCTGGAGTGCAGTGGCGGGATCTCGGCTCACTGCAAGCTCCGCCTCCCGGGTTCACGCCATTCTCCTGCCTCAGCCTCCCAAGTAGCTGGGACTACAGGCGCCCGCCACTACGCCCGGCTAATTTTTTGTATTTTTAGTAGAGACGGGGTTTCACCGTTTTAGCCGGGATGGTCTCGATCTCCTGACCTCGTGATCCGCCCGCCTCGGCCTCCCAAAGTGCTGGGATTACAGGCGTGAGCCACCGCGCCCGGCCTAAGATTCTTAAAAGTCTCTTTAACTTTGAAAAAAGACCCATGGAATTATTTTAAAGGAAGGTGAGTATGAATGAGAAAATGTGAAAGAAAGAGTTAGGGATGGGGAGAGAGAGAGACAGAAGTTTCTACACTGGTTGATGTAAGATCAACAAGACCCTATGGAATTGAGCCATCTGTGGAGATCCTCAGGAGGGAGAGATGGCCCAGGACAGTGCAGGAAGTGTAAGGTAGGTGGGGTGTGTGACCGGGGTCCTAGGTCTTCCAGTAGTTTGACCCTGGTACTTTCCACAGAACTGAAATGTGGGTGTCTCAGGAACCTTCTAATATGAAGGGTTTGAGTGGAAATCTCCTGCCATAGTGGCTTGAGAAGGCTCCAGGGAAAGGTAACCCATTTACTCACAGCAGCCATTAACGTTCAGACCCAGAGGAGTTTAGCAGATTAGCTCTAGATTTATAAGACCCAGGAAAGTGGATACTGGGCTGACCAGGAAGGGATGGAGCTGAGGGAAAAGAGGAGACCAAGCCTGCTGGACCGGATTTGGAGGCATCAGTGACCCAGTGACCTGGGGGAGAGGCAGATTTTGTAGGGTCTTCATTTTCTTCTGGGGCCAGTCCAATTATCTTGGATGGTGGGCCTGCTAGTGGAGATGGGTTGGCTTGTGGAGGACATGAGAAGGGAGAGAGATCAGGATATTATATTTAGGGAATTATGTTAAAGGGTAAAATCTAGAAGCCATAGTCTGAAAGAATTTATATTTAGTGGGGGAAAATCAAAGGATGCAGAAAAGAAAATAAGACAAGGAAATTCTGGCTGTGACTAAATCCTAGGAACAGGTGCTCAGACCTAAAGAGCTGCTGCCAACCAGAGGTCTTGGTGGACTGACTGATGGCAAGGTGTCCGACTTCTCAGGGTCTCTTGAAATCCCTTTCTTTTGGTGCCACACAGAGGCTCTAAGGGAGGAGGTCCTTGTTCTGACAGCCTGAGGGTGGGCTTTGAACTCTCCCTCCCCTTCATCATCTCATCCTTGGGAGCAACCCAGGATTCCTGGACTCTCAGAGGGTAAAGCCAAGATTCCCAGGTGGGACCTCTCATCTTTGGGGAATGCCTGTCCCACACACTGAGCCTGAACTTAGAGCACACAACTGTAGGGTGTCATGAGTTGATCTAAGGTATGAGCATCTGCCAGGGTTATTTTATTATCTCCCCTGGCCTGAATGATTACTCTCTGTATTTAAACAAACATAAAAAGGTAAAACAAAAATAACAAAACAATGTATTCTCAGTCTTGCATCTCACCAGTCTGTAGGTTCAGATAATGACATCTGAATCATAGCTTTGAGCCTTGCTACCTTTGAGCTCCCACCTGCTTCACAGTGTCTTACTGAGTTCCCTCCTCCCAAATATTCTTGGACTACCCATGGGGTAGTTGCTGCAGTCTGAGCTACCATTTGATGCTGGCTTCTGTTACTTTGGCCTGTAACCTCTGCTATTGAGCAAGAGTCTTTGTTTGTCCCAGGATTGCCACGATAAGGGGCTCGCTCTGTCATCCCAAATTGCTGCCAACTGGCTCCGCCACTAATGTTCATAGGAAGTGAGAACATTGTGTCCCCAGTGCTTCATTGAGGAAGATCTCAATATGTGGTTGTCTGTATCTCAAAGGGTCACAATTTAGTGGGACAAAATTTAGTCAATTTACAAACACACAGACGTTTCTTCTCTTTGTGACTTTATGATAGCTGAATTGGGACAAGTTCCTAATGTTACTCAAATGCTGCACACAGAGCCACCATCACTCTAAGCCCCAGTCCTGCTGCTGCGTCTGGTTCACCTTGGCAGACTTTCTTACTTTTGGTGAATTATCTCACACGGTTCAGATCATTCCTTTCTGCAAATGGGCTTCCATAAGGAAACACGAAGTAGCTCACCAGACATGTCTAGTTATGTGCAAACTCCTATAGAATCAGTTTAAGATTTTTTTGAGCGATATCTCATTTCTGCTGTAATCAAGGGATCACACAGATTTTTGAGAGAAAGGTATTTCCCAGCTCCATCTAGGAGAGTGTTCCAGGGGCTCCCTTCTGGCCCAGCTGGGACACCTAGTTATTCCAATTAGCAGCGATACCTAGGCAGAACTTTCCTGAGGACCGAATCTGCCAAGAGTTAGTCCAACACATCCACTACCACCACAAAGCTCAGGACCACCTTCCCACCCCACTATGGCTGAATAAACCATACTCCTGGGGCAAGACATGCTCCCAGATCCCTGCACTGAATTATCTCATCAGGCAAGACCTCCACTATTTTGGGAAATAGTTACTGTCTTCTGTCTTACTCAACAGGGCACACTAAGGACCCAGAAGGGAGAGAACATTTACTTTAATTAGTATGGACTATAATGCAGAGAACCTGTAGCCATGAATCAAGTGTATTCATACCAGAGTGGATGTGTCTGAGAGAAGGCAAAGATCTCCTTTTTTGGACTCATGAAGCTTCATGAAGTGTCTTCTCTTGGTCACTTATCTATGGGCCAGGTGAATGTGCCATATTGGATCCTTGTCATAACACCTCCACTGCCCATAATATCTTCTCCCTTTTCTTTCCTTTGTTTCTTTTCTGTATCCCTTCCTCCTTTCCTCCCTTTCCTTCTGTACCTTCCCTCTCTCCTTCCTTCTTCCTATACACCTCACACGCAGCTGGGTACTAAAGGGATGAGGGATGGGTAAGACATTGTCCTTGCCCTTGAAGGGCAAGCACATCATATGGTGGGGAAGGCAGATGTGTACACAATTAACTATAATAAAATATGGTGAGCAATATAATGGAGATCTGCCCAAAGTGTCCTGGGAGCACGGAGGAGGGAGCAAAGAAGCTGCCTTAGAGGTCATCAGGAAAAGCTCCACTGAGAAGGTGATTTCTGAGCTGCCTTTTGAAGACCAAATAGGAATGTCCAGGTGTGTAAGAATGGGAAGGGCTTTCCAGGCAGGGAAACTGTGAAAATAGTGCATGGCATATAGTCTGATTTGGCCAGTGATAGAGTAAGGAATGCAGGAACATTTGAACAGGTAGCTCAGGATCAGTATGGGCTGGGGTCTGAGTGTCATGCTTAGGAACTGCATTTTGTTCAGTATATGATGGAGAGCCACACACAGAATTTTTCTTTGGGCAACACTTCTTGACTGGCAAGGCTCACACGGCAATACTCAAGGTGGGCAGTGAACTTTGTGTGTAACTGTGTTTAATCAACCAACGCATCGAGTTTTTATTAATGGCCAGTGTTTGCAAGGTTCTATGTTAGCTACAGTGAGACTGCAAAAGACGCATTATGATTCGTATACTATAGGAGGTCAGATTCATCCTCACTTAGAAAAAGTTAAGGGTAAGGAAGGGGAGTACAGTACAAGATTGTGTGGTTGAAGGGCTGAGCGAAGATAGCAGACAGCAGAGGAGTCTGAGTAGGTCTCCTGGAGGAGGGGGTCTGAAGGATTAGCAAGAGGCCATTCTTCATAGGGAAGCCACATGGGCAAAGACTTGCATGGAATGTGTTTGGACAGTGAGGAATCTGGCCTGCCTGGACATACACTGGGATGCTGGGAAAAAAGAGGAATACAGAGGGATGGCCAGATGAAGGAAGTTCTTGAAGCGAGGTGCAGCATCACAGTACCTCTGGGTGGGGAGGAACTTTAAAACCCTTCTAGAAAAACTATGTATGCCTCACCAGTCCTACATGTGGGTTTCCTCTGTAATATCCCTATATGTGATCATCAGTCTTTGTTGGGAAATATTTCAAGATGGGAAAGATCATTTCACCTTTAAATGCCTCTGTTGGAAAGTCCTGTGGAGCCTAGCTCATGGTTTCTGCTGTTCACTGATTTCAGATATCTCTCTGTGTGTCATCAGCATCTCTCCCTGTTTGCTGCAGAGCAGTTCTTCTGATTTTCTAAACAAGCTCAGCAACTTTTTAACTTCCCCTTTTCCAGGTTGGAAACTCAGTTTCTCCAACTGTTGTTCCACAGGTTCAGCTGGTGAAAGCGCTCCCTTTGATTCTCCTTTGAAGCAGGATCTGCTCAGGGCTGTGTAGTCTGGACACAGTTCAGTGGGTGGTGACTAGCCTCTGTAAAATGACGCGTTTTAAATGGTATTTTGTGAAAATGAGGTTGGGCTCAGAGTTCAGGATAGACTGGGATGATTCAACTGCAGGAAGGTAAAATTTGGGGGACCTTGGCAGGAGTTTAGGCCTAGGACTTGGATCGGGGTGATGGGGGTCAGGGGATAAGTAGGAAAGATGGAAGCCACAGGTCATTTCAAAATTTTAATAAAAGAAAAGCGAGACAATGATGACTTTAAGTTTTCTAATCTGAAAGCCATGGCAATAGCATGGGCAGAAGTGGGGTGGTGGGGAAGGGAGCTGACTGGGGAACGGTTCTGAATTTGCTGCTAGAGGAGGCTGTGGACATACTCTGGGAGCCCAGGTTCATGGTTAGATTGGAAACATGGGCTTTGGATTCATGAAAAACAGGGAACCTGTATAGGGAGTGAAAATATACAGAGGAGAGAGCCATCAAGAAAGACTCCTATAGGAAATCCTCAGCTCGCAGACTAGAAGAGCCCAAGACCCCCACAAAGGAGATAGGGACTCACAGAGTTTTCCGGAGAGCAGCATCGACAACGCCTAAGTAGAGGGCTTCCAAAAGGAGAGAGTGGTTAGTGATAGCAAACGCTCAGGAGGATAACGAAAGTGAGGCCACTGGGTTTACCTAGGGGGAAGTCAGTTTCTGCAGACTCAAGGGGGTCAAAGCGACCCTGGTGGAGATTCAGAAGGGACTGTGTGTCTGGATACTCCTTCCCAACACCCCCACCGCAGGAGAGCTACATTTTCCCCTCTCCCCTCAGCCCACTGGTCCCTCCCATTGTCTATCTTCTTGCCTTCACTCCCAGTTCCTCAGTGCTGACCACCAGTTGGTGGTCTCCTTGGTGGCATGGCCGAATCACTTTTCCCCAGGGGGGAAGGTGGGGTATTCTCTCAGCAGGGTGCAGCTCCTCAGGGGAGGCCAGGCCCACCCAGGCTGGCCAGCCCACTGTGAGAGCAGCCTGCACTGACAATGCATCTGCCTGGCATGTGCATGAGAACCAAGGTGCTGCTGTGGCAATGACAGCCTCACAGGCCCCTAAGGTTGGAGCTGAACTAGGGAAATATATTTTACTTGACATCTGAATGCTATGGTTCCCAGGGGTCAGAGGGCGAGTTGGGAGAAGCTCCACCCCTCCCTCTCCCTGGCCAGCCCTTTCCCTACAGGGAAACCCCAACACCCTGGTGCATCCTATGAACTCCCTGTTTCTATCTCCCTCAGCACTGAGCAGTCTTCTTTCCCCTGGCCATCAGCTTCTTACTGCCCAGAAGCTCACTCTGGTCTACGCCAAGGGCAAATGTGTCTGCTAAAGTGAAGGGTGATTTCCAAGCTTCTTCGGCAGAGACCCCAGAATTCTAGTAATGAGGGAGACAGGTTATGCCAAGCCTGCTTCTCCCAGGATGCACTGGGAGCCTGGGAACCAGGAGGGAGGGAGGAGGCTCAGCTGAGGAGCTCAGGATTTAATTCTATGCATCATTAAGTAGTCCTCTGAAAGTAGTGTCCCCCTATACATCATCCATGCTTAGTAAACAGCACGCTGACATTACATTAGAGGCTGGAAATGAATTTTCTCTTTTATAGGGAAATTGAGAATCCACCAAGAAGAAAGAAAGAAAGAAGAAGAAAACCTCAAAACCAATTATCTAGGCATTTATGAGTTCCACCCTGGTCCCTCTCTCTCTCCTCTCTCACTCAGATGCAAAGAAGGATTTAATATTTAATACATTAAGAAAAGAAAGAAACTTTGATAGATTATGTGGAATCTGGCGTTAATTCTCTCTGCCCCTCCTTACTTCCTCATTCTCCCCTCCCAAAAACCCTTTGCCTGGGTCTAGCTGACATTTAAATGGATTAAGGTGTTCAGATTTCCTTAACAGTGTTGACATTTTGGAAATATTTCTGGCTTCTTTCCCCTCTCTCTCCTCTAAATAATAATAATAAATAAGTATTGGAATGGATCTTCCCCCTCCCACTGGAAGGCGGGCTCCAGCCCTGTCCTACTCTCTAGCGCTGAGGTGATTTACATTTTCCCTTCTTATTTACAAGATTAAGGACAAAGAGAAGTCAAAGTCCTCCTTGGGAGATAGTGGGCTGAGTGTGGGAGCGGGGGTGCAACTGGTCAGATGGAATTCTGCTGCTAGCTAACTTATTTCCCAGAACTGCAGCCCCTTCCCCTCATATTCAGGGTTTAGCATGGGGGAATCTGTCTGCCTGTCCCAGGTCCTGCACTGTGCCTCCACCCTGGCTCCGTGGATCCTCCTTCTTGTCACAGGCACTGTCCTTCCTCTTTGTAATGTGGTCGGGCTCCTTTGCAGACTTGCCCTCACTTACCAGACAGACACGCCTGGGAGTTCCCCTTCCCTTTAGAAATATAGCCCTGTAGTGTAATGAGGAACCCAGAGAAAAGGAGGTGCATTTGATTCTGTCTATTCACTCATCTCCCTGGAATTTGAGTAGCCTTTCTTGCACTGAGCAGTGGTGTGTTCCCATACCTAGATGCCAAGGCCCTTGAGTGGTCCATGTCTTTTTAATCTCCGTGTCCCAGCTCACAGCACAACACTTGGTACATAGTAGGTGCCTATGAATGTTTAAGGCAGGCAGGAAGGAAGGAAGGAAAAAGGAAAGGGAAAGAAGAGGAAAAGAAGACAGACCCCCTGCAGTTGGAAGTCTTCATTGGTTGGCTAACATTCTCAAATTCCTGATGCTCTATGTGGCCTCCAAACAAAATTAATCAGCAGATGTACAAAGTAGCATGATGCCCAGCTCTGTGCTGAGTCCTGCCCACGAGCTTCCCGGAGTTTAATGGTTGTCGTTATTGTTGTTTGCAGAAATAACGGACAATGTGTATAGAGAACCCAGTGTTCCCGAGAGCACATCCTTCTTCATGAATATCAGCTAGAAGGAGATGGAATCCGATGGCCTTGGAGAATAATCTCAGTGCTCTTATTTAGTATGGGCTACTTGATTGCTCAGGACTCAGTTTTCTGATATGGAAAGTGGGGTTGATAACAATCCTGACCTGAGGACACTACTGTGACTATTATGAGGATAACACACATTCACTGATTAAGACAGTGACCACACCTTGAGTGGTCAACAAGTTGTATCTGCTTTGTGTTGTAATGTTAGGCATTTAATCCAGTAGCTGAACAATAATGGTTTTCACTAACCAGGCTAAACTGGTCAACATTTGAGAATATTCCCAAAAAGAAGAAGAAAAGAGATCATCAGAACCTACTATGAGTTCTAACCTGATCTCTCCTCAAGTTCTGTTTTTATATTCAGGTGCAAGGAAGCATTTGATGTACGACAAAGTAAAGCAACTTTGAGAGATTTTTGGAAGAGGAGTTTCCAGAAGTATCTGTTAGAAGAATTTCCACTAGGTTTTGGCCACTTTGGCAGAATTAGTACAGGTTCAGTGCAGACAGTGAGTGGCCTGAGTGATAACAGGCGTGATTCATTCCGATGCTCACACTTCTCTGTGGGTAGGTCCCCACCCTCTGCCATTACCTCCTTGTGTTTCTGTACCTACCCCTGGCCTTGCCACCTTGCCACCTGCCTGCTCCTTTCAGTATGCAATGATGTGAGTGTTTTCTAGGGACAATGCCCCAATTTTTAAAAATCTGGATTGCCCCATTTCCACAAAGTTGACTTTTATTCTGTCTTCCAAAGATATCCCAGCCCAAACTTCATGGAACCACCTTCTCCCTTGGGCTGTGTGCGGCCTGCAAGGGTGTTATGTGCATCAGACTTGCTTGGCTTAGCAGGGGACTCAGCAAGACTTCAGGGCTTGGTTTAAATTGCTTTTTTATATCTTAGTCGTAATCAGCTTGGAGTCTACTTTGTATTTTTGCCCTTTCTTTTCATTTTGAGATCCCTACTCTGTTAATCTATTAATACTTGCATTTTGAGTCATTGACTTTAGATTCACTGCTTTTCATGGTCTGTGACTTAGCGTCTGTTAGATTCAAAAGAAGTGTCCAGCACATATGATTTGCCAAGCACTGTAAGAGGTGCAGGATTAACCGATGACTAAGACACATTTCCCTGCATCAAGCTTATGGCCTAGAAGGGCCTAGAAGGGCATCGAGCTTGCAAACTAGTAAACAGTGTCTACAATCAAAGAGCATTCAAAGGGCTAAATCGGCATAGATTGGGGAGCAGGGGTCAGGGAAAAGGCAGGAGGGAGTCAAGAAAGAAGAGGGCATTCTCTAGGCAGACTGGTGAGGGTGGGGTTAGTGGAGAGGTTGTGCAGAATGCAGAATTTACATACTCGCATTCTTCTTTTCATTTAATAAAGAAGGATTTACTCACTCTTGTCTCCCAGGCTGGAGTGCAATGACACGATCTCGGCTCACTTCAACCTCCACCTCCTGAGTTCAAGCGATTCTCCTGCCTCAGCCACCTGAGTAGCTAGGATTACAGGCGCCTGCCACCATGCCTGGCTAATTTTTGTATTTTTAGTAAAGACAGGGTTTCACCATGTTGGCCAGGCTGGTCTTGAACTCCTGACCTCAGGCAATCCACTTGCCTTGGCCTCCCAAAGTGCTGGGATTACAGGCATGAGCCACCATGCCCGGCCTAATTAGGCTTATATTGGATTAGATGACCCTAATTCTATCTGGTTGAGTGCATTCAGAAGATAAGAGAAAGAGAGTCCTGGTTGCAGACCTCAGGTCTTAGCTTCTGCTCTTCTGCTTTCTCCCCTCAGTTGCCCCAAGAGCTTCTATTAATTATGTTCATGTTGTATAGGCTTTGAGTTGGTCACCCCATTCATTCACCCATTTTTTTCTGATTACTGGTGAGGTTGAAAGGATTTTTGTATGTTTATTGGAAACTTGTGTTTCCTCTTCTGTAAAATGATTATTCATGATTTTTTTGACTTTTTTTTCTGTTGTTGTTGTTGTTAAGCTGTTTGCCTTTTCCTTACTGATTTGCAGAAATTCTGTCCTGAAAACCTGTGGTTGATTATATGTGTCACAAATATTTTCTCCCAGATTGTGCCTAGTCTTTTCGATTTTTATAGTGTATTTTGATGAACCCACATTCTTGATTTCAACATAGTCAAAGTTAACAATCTTTTCTTTATGAGTTTTATTTTTTATATTGTGTTTTAAAGCAAAAGTATTTCCTATCTTAAAGTCAAAGATATTCCCTCATATTGTCTTCTAAAGTTTTAAATTTTACCCTACATATTTAAGTTATTAAGCCACCTAGAATTGATTTTGTGTATGCTGTGAAGTAGAATTCCAATTTAGTTGGTTTGTATGGTTAAATAGTTGTTGCAGGGAGATTTGTTGAATAGTCTGTTCTTTCCTTGTTGACCTGCACTGTCAGTTGTGTTTATATGAAGTGGTGTTCATACATATATGGATCTATTTCTGGGTTCTGTGATCCTTTCCACTGGATAATTTCTCTATCTCAGCCCTGCTGACAGAGTAGCATATTCGATGAAGCTCTTGAGTCCAAATAGTGAGAGAAGGAGCTCAAAATAATTCCTTTGGTTCACAGAGACCCTTCTTTATAGGGGTGGTTTAATGGTGGTATATAGGGGTGGACTTGAAAAAAAGGATTAAAATCTCAGCTGTGGCACATATGTGTGTGAGTTTTGGCACATTTTTCAATTTTTCTGAGCCTCAGACTCTTCATCTGTTAACTGGGAATAGTAGTTTCAACCCAAGAAGCTGCTTTGAGGAGTAGATTAAATTTTGTATTGTAAAGGATGTGAAAGTGCCTGGCATTATAATGGGCCTGGGAGGTGGTGTTTTGCAGCTCTCCTAAACTAAGGCTACATGGACATTTTCTAACAGCTTCAGCCCAAAGTGAGTCAGGTCTTGGAATTACCCCACAAGAAAATGAGACATAAGCCCCCAAACGAATTATTTGTTTCAGATCACCGAACTGTCTTCCCAAACCTCCTGACTTAGTTCCAAACTCATTTTAGAGGACATGGGGCTGTGAAGTTTCTCTGCTAAAAATGATTGAGGATAACTGGGAAAAGTAAACTTGCTATGTATTACTGAATTAGGAATAGCAGATGAGGGAAAAAGTCATGCAGGGAAAGTCATTGTCAAATGCTTGAACTCTAGGTTCTGAAGTCCAACTTAAAGAAAGGCTCTTTTACTACTTATTGGCAATATAATAATTTAAAAAGCACTTTATAATTCATAAAGTCCTACTATGTAATTTGGTCCATTTTATTCTTTTTACACCATGAAATGGTCTGAGATTTGAAGTTGGCTCTGAGAGTGTGAGACATGCTCAAGTTTACAGAGCAAGGAGGTGAGGTTGGCAGGTCTCAAACTTAGGCTGGGCAACTCAAACTCTCTAGTTACACACAAATGGTGACTCTACCTTTATGTACTGAGATAATTTCAAACATGTTTTCCACCATTCTCGCACATACACTTGTAGGTCAGCTCACACTCTTCATAAAACATTAATTATCACTAGCTGGGCCAAGATTTCTAGTAGAACTGGGGTTGGGCATTCTTCCAGGCAACCGCCAAACTCAACTCCCAAAAATGCAAGCAGTTTTTAAAGTATTGTTTGTACACAAATGGAAATGCTTTCTAATGCAATTCCCCTCATGTATTTGTTATGGAGTTCCATCAGGGCTGAAATTGTCCAGCATATATTGGTCTTGAGACAATGGTGAGGCTAGTAGGTACCTGTTTACATGCCAACATGGCACCAGGAGTTCCAGGCCAGGTTTTACCAACCTCAAAAATGTGGCCAGCGTCTTTGGGCACTTGGTCCTACCCTGGCAACATCTTGAGAGCAGCATCCTGGGAGCTAAAGGAGTTTGACAGTTGCCTGAAAGAAATCCAAGTTTCTGGGTTTCCTTGCCTGTCCCAGGCCATCCTTCTCACACACACACACACACACACACACACACACACACACACACACAGTGCTTCCCCTTCCCCAGTCTCAGGTACTCAACCCAAGAGCACCAAGGATTTCCTTACCATCTCTAAGTTTTGATGCCTTCAGCTTCTTTTTCCAGTATCTCTCATTATTGAATTGAAATGCTTTTTAATTGAGATGTTTCTTCCCACTTTCCTGGCAGATAGAAAATTTCTCTGATGTCGCTCAAGACTCAGACCATGACCTTCTGCTTCTCTCCCTCGTTCACCACACTCAAGGAGTCATACGTCTCTCCTTGTAGATGACCTCTGAATCTCATCACTTAGACCTGATCACTGATGAGAATTTTAGACTGTGTCTCCAGGTATCTATGCATATCTCCCTGTGTTCTCTTAAGCTCTCCTCTCCTCATTAATTGTGACTCTTCTAATTTCGATTTATCCATCAATGTTGCTATGATTTCATTGATGATCAAGACTCATCCTTGACTTCTGTCTTCTCCTTCATTCTCTATATCTTATTCAGTAATCAAATCAATTTATTCTCTGTTTCATAACATCTCTTCCCGTCATTATTGCCAGAACCCTGGTTTAGGCCTTCACACCATGTTTCATTAGCCTCCTAACCTGATTTCTCATGGACAGTTTCAATGTCATGTTGACTCATCATGCCCCTTCTCCACAACAGATTTTACAAAGCCTTCCTTTGCCAACCCTTATGGGAGAGCTTTACAGCCCTTTTAGTAAAAGGACTTGTCTTCAGCCAAACACATTCACTAACATTGAGGTTTCTTAATTTTTGTAGCAACTCTCACCACTGTGCTTATACATGTGTGAAATTCTGGGCTCAGCACTCCCGAGAAACCTTCTTAGATCACCCCCTTCCACCAAGTCCCCTTTCTTTCCTATGGGTTTCTGTGCAGGCACGTCATTCTTTGGTAACATCCTGCCTGGCATGACCATCATCCTGATTCATGTACGTCTTATACCTTGTACCCTGTGTCTGGCTGCACAAAACTCCTGCTCCTGCTCTGAATCACCTACTGTTTCTCTGATGCACTGTGACATTCATTAAATTCAGTGGGATTAATGGATGGAGTATTGTTTCTCAGGACACAGGAGAAGGTTGGGGTTGGCCTCCTTTAAATTAGTGCAGACTTAGGCTATCTTCCTTGTTGCTCTTGATGTTGCCAGACCAACTCTCTATTTGTCATTGACCCCTTTTCTAAACAATGCGCTCAATTTTCCCAGCTCGCCTTAGTTCCTAATTTCTCTCAACAATCCACTTATCCTGGTTCCCTTTTGGGACATGGTCTTGATTCATATCTTACTGAGCTCTCTGGGACACAGTATAATAGGCTATAGTCATAGAGTCAGGAAAAGGGACAAGAAATCAGAAAATTGTATTCCTTTTATAGCACTGGAAAAGTCACTTACCTTCTTTGACTCTCCATTGTCTTCCATGATAAACTATAAATAGTAATATTTCCCCTCTCAGGATTGGTGTGTGATCCAATGAGATAATGAACATGGAAAACCTTTGCACACCATGAAGCACTATGTGAGGGGTATTATCAGCCCTCCTTCTCTTTACCTTCAGATATCGCTCTCTACCCACAAAGTGCTTCCTTTACCTTTCATCTCACCTGTGGCCTCCATCTGACTCTGGCTGCAGCAACTTCAGTCTTTCCCTCTTCGTGCATTCTTTCCTCTCTATTGACAATCCTTTCCCTGCCTTACTCACTATCCCCACTTTCCTAGCATATAAACAACCTCTTACTTGATCCTTCTGTGTGTTCCACCTCCCACCAGCCACTGTCTTCTTCCCTTTCCTTTTGTAAACAGAGAGGACAACAAGTAGTCCCTCCTGCTGGCTCATTGCCTACTCTTTCCATAGCTCCTGCATTTCTTCCCAATGACTCTCCCTAAGCCAGCAGATCTGTTTAAGTTCTCAGTTCTTATCCTCCTTAAACTCATTGTTTCGTCTTCTTTTCTGATTCAGTATCACCCCATCCTTTTACAGTGGGCTTGTCTCCAGGCCTAGTCTTCTTGCCATCTGCTCTGCCCCGACACAGGGAACCATCATGCACTGCATTCTCTTATTTTACTCCATTCAGATTGAGTCATACTGGGAGTACTGTGTTTACTTCTAGGTTTCACCTTCAGTGAGAATTATGACCAACTCAGGGATATTCAATAAGGAGGACCAAGATGGTAAGGGCACTAGAATTATCTTCTCTTATGGAACACTTGATAGAATGGATGTATTTAACCTACAGAAGAGAAAATTCAGAGGAAATGTACACTTTGCTGTCTTAACACATTTGAAAAGATGCAAAAAATTTTTTGTTTACTGATTTGAATTCCTACAGAAAATGGAATTAGACAGAAATTACAGACAGGTAGATATGGAATCACTAGCAAGCAATACATGCCAGGCTTGTGAAGGCTCTGCCATCAGATGACATGGGTTCAAATCCCAGATCGACCACTTCTGTATGACCTTGAGCAAGCTATATCATTTCTCTGTGCCTTCATTTTGTCATCTGCAAAACGAGGATAGATAATTATAGTGCCTACCTTATAGTGTTATTTTGAGGATTAAATAAGACAGTGCATGTACAGCCTAGAAGAATGCCCAGCGCAAGGAGACTGCTCAATACATGTTAGTTGTCCCCTTCTCCTGCTCCTCTTTGTATCATCATCATCATCATCATCATCATCATCATTATCATCATCGTCATCATCACCACCCGCATTTAGAGCTGTCCAGGAATGGAGCCAACTCTTCACAAAGCAGTAGACTTCATGTTTCTAGAAGAACACTCAACCCAAATGGTACTGGGGACATAGCAGAAGTGTCTGCTTTGGCGAGGTAGGTAGGACTGGATGCCATCAAAGGTCCCTTTCTGTGTTTGCTCTTCACCACCACTGTCCCTGAGCATCTCCCATTCTGGGTTCTCTGGGTCTATCAGTGGTGGTGCAATGCTGTCTGGCACTCAGGCCTAAATCATCCCTTTAGTTCCTTGGCTCCCTCTTACACATTTCACCTGGCAGACATAGAGGCTTCCTGAGGGCAGGCCCTTACAAAAGGAATCCATGTCCATAAGCCTCCATTCCCACACAGAGTCTCATGCCTCCTCACATCACTAATGCCAGTATCTTTGTCCCTGCCCTCCTAATATTTGGCTATCCTGTGGAATCAATTTGGCATCTAGCTTAAACCAATTTCTTTTTTTCTTTTTTTTTTTTTTTTTTTTTGAGATGGAGTTTCACTTTGTCGCCCAGGCTGGAGTGCAGTGGCGCGATCTGGGCTCACTGCAAGTTCCGCCTCCCGGGTTCACACCATTCTCCTGCCTCAGCCTTCCGAGTAGCTAGGACTACAGGCGCCCGCCACTACGCCCGGCTAATTTTTTTGTATTTTTAGTAGAGACGGGGTTTCACCGTGTTAGCCAGGATGGCCTCAATCTCCTGACCTCGTGATCCGCCTGCCTCGGCCTCCCAAAGTGCTGGGATTACAGGTGTGAGCAACCACGCCCTGCTGCTTAAACCAATTTCTAAATCTGTTTCCTTGATAGAATTCCGGACCTTGGATCCACCCACTTTCTCCCCAAGCTGGCTCCAGCTTTGTACAAGCATCTCTCACCAAGATCATCAAACTAAAGGCTCAAGCCAAAACACGCATCTTTTTAGTCCTCAATCACAGGGTCTGTGATTCTTTTATTGCTGAGTCTCCTGCATCCATCTGATCATTTCTATTTCCTTTGTTCCCACCTTTACCCAAGCCATAATCTTCCCTGCTCTATTTCATAATTCATAAAAAACTCTTGGCTGGGTGCGGTGGCTCACTCCTGTAATCCCAGCACTTTGGGAGGCCGAGGCGGGCAGATCACGAGGTCAGGAGATCAAGACCATCCTGACTAACATGGACAAACCCCGTTTCTACTAAAAATACAAAAAATTAGCTGGGCATGGTGGTGGGCGCCTGTAGTCCCAGCTACTCGGGAGGCTGAGGCAGGAGAATGGCCTGAACCCGGGAGGCAGAGCTTGCAGTGAGCCGAGATCGTGCCACTACACTCCAGCTTGGGTGACAGGGCAAGATTACTTCTCAAAAAAAAAAAAAAAAAAACCACTCTTATACTCAGCTTCTTCTCTCCAACACCATCCATTTCTCCCTTCTTCAAACATTTTAGTGCTTCTATAGCCAATGATAGAGTTCGAACACCTTAAGTTGAACCCAAAATCCTTCACATTCTGGCCAATTTTCTTCTATAGCTTTCTTGAAGTATAATTTTATGCAATAACTTTCATCCATTTTAAATATACTGTTTGGTGAGTGTGAGAATATGAACACAGCTGTGCAACTTTCACCACAATCAGGATTAGTTCATTTCTATTACTTCCCTGTGTCCTCAGGAACAAATAATGTTCCCATTGTTTCAATCCACTTCCTGCCATCTGTTGTCCCATACAGCCACTAGTCTGCTTTCTGTCACTACAGTTTTTCATTTTCTAGAATTTCATATAAATAGAATCTAACAGTATACAGTTTTTTATGTCTGGCTCTTTTACTTAGCATGATGCCTTTGAGATTAATCTATGTTGTTGCATATGCCAGTAGTTCATTCCTTTTTGTTGCTGAATAGTATTCCATTGTATTGATGTAGACATTTGAGTTGTTTCCAGTTTTTGGTGATTATGAATAAGGCTCACATGAACATTCATGTACAAGTCTTTGTATGAACATACAGACAATGACTCCATTTATCCCACAAGCAATACAGGACATGCCCACTTTACATTTCCTCCCATTCAAGCCATTTTAATAAAGATTTACTATTCCTTGTGCTAGACATTGTATAGGAATACAGACACAGTTAAGCCCCATGGAAATTACAATATAGTGGGAGAAATACATGCACACATGGGTCATTCACATGCAAAGCAGATCACTGAGATAGAGGAACCAACAACGAGGGGACAGGGAGAGAGCACACTGACTGAGGGGATGGGGGAAATCAGGAAGGATTGCTTATAGGAGGCAGAAGCAGTGTGAATAAAGACCTGGATGAAAGAAGGCAGGACTTGTTTGAGGGCTGATAAATACTCACGTTAAATTCTATCTCACTTGGGCAGCCATCCCTGTAAAGCCATCGTAAGTGCTTGTCCTCCTCAAAACTTCTGCAGTGTACTCTTCATACTGCCAATCAGCTTTCCTTGTCAAGAGAGGGAGTCTTTCAGCCTACTTTGCAAATAAAGCTATATCCCTACAGGGTCTGAGCCCAAGAGCCAAGCATTTGATCCAAGGGTTGGTTGGTGGTATCCTCAAATGTGGCCCAAAGAGAGGCTAGGATATGGGAGAACATGTCTACACTAATTGGAAAGCCAGCCAAAGGGAGGAGCAGGTCCAGAGCAGGCAGGAGCAGTCCTCAACCTGGGCAGCTGGTGCACATGTACACAGGTGTCTCTTCAAATTCATTGTCTATGGCAAAGCGATGTCAACTCCACATGGATGAATGAATGAACATATGTCACCAGTAGGCTCTCATATGTGTTCCAGTATATTGTACATTCAATCTGGATCAATCAGATGTGCAGACACTTGAACAACCTACAGTTCTCTCTTGCTGTTTTCTGGTTAAGTGCTCAGCAGTCCACATGAGGATTCGTCTAAGAAAATAATTTCTTTGCATTCTGATGCTGTAAAGTATTGCTTGGATTAAAAGGGCAGGAACAAATTGATGGATCTGAAATTTTTTTTCTTTTGGCTTGGAGATGACAGGGCAATCCATCAGACAACTTCCTTGGCTCCCTGTGACATTTCAAGCTCAAATGTTATAGCTTTCTTATTTTTTCTTTTCTCTCTTTTTTTTTCACCCCCAGCTCTCTATTGAACTGTGCCTCCAGGAAATGCATCCTGTTGATGTGAGTTCTATGACACTTGTCATACAGGAGGCACTCGGTAGAGGCTTGTGGAATAATGGTTGGGAGTACTCAGGTTAGCTTAGCAGGTTGTGCCAAAGAGGAGGTAACTGCTTAACCCACCTATGATGCTGCCTCCATCTGTGCCCTAGAGCATGCAGCAAAGAGTTCTTTCAAAATAGAGCAGGCTCCAGACAATGTTCAAGGATGCAGCTGCCCACAGAATGTGCTTTCAGCATCTGGATTATATGCAGAGAGAAAACACGAGAAGTCAGAATGCTTGGCCCCTCACCTGGATCTGCCACGATGCATAATGTGAATTTGGAAATGCTATTTAACTTCTCCAAGACATAGCTTATCAACCTTTGAGCCAGAGAAAATAAGTAAGTATAAGAATCAAATGAGGTAATGACTGTGGATATAGTGTAAAAATGCAGAAAGTAATTGGAAATGAAATACACCCTCTGTAGTAGTTATCTGTTGATGTATAACAAACAACCCCAAACCTGGGTGAATTAAAACAGCAATCATTTATTAATTATCTCATAGTATAATAGGTCAGAAATCTGGGAGTGGTGTAACTGGGAGTCTGCTCACAGGCTCTCAAGATGTTCGCTGGAACCACATCATCTGAAGGTTTGACTGGGGCTGGAGAATCATCTCCCAAGATGGGTCACTCATGTGGCTGTTGGCAGAAAGTCTTAGTTCCTTGCTGACTGTTGTCAGGAGGCTGCAGTTACTCTCCATGGAAGCTTCTTCCTAAGACTGTTTGAGTGTCCTCACCACAGGGAAGCTGGCTTCCCACAGAGTGAGTGATCCAAGGCAGATGTCATCATGCGCTTTATGACATAGGTGCAGAAGTCAAACACTGTGATCACCTCAATACCCTATTGGTTCTCCAGGTCACCCCTATTCAGTCTGGGAGGAGACTACACAAGGATATAATTTCCAGGAGGTGGGGATCACTGGGAGCCATGCTGGAGGCTAACCTCCACATCCTCTCTCAGTTTAAATGGTTCCACTGGGAAATAAGGGATATAGATGATTACCTCTGAGGTCCTCCCCTTTTAACCACATCCCTGCTTACTCCAATTAGCCCTCCCTCAAGCATGCTATGTGTTGTTCTCCTTTCCCTTCTTGCTGAAAATTCCTGCTGTCATTGTCAGTCCCTTGTTTCATACTAAAAATTCAGTTTTAGTCTCTAATAGGTCTCTGTGGAAATGGCTGTGCATAGCATCTGAAGGAAGTCTCTGGTGCTCTTGTCATATGGTGCCGGCCTTGTTGGTTTGTCATTCTCTTGCTGGTGCAGCCCATTGCAATTTGCATGGTGCCATCACATGCTCATGTGAGATGGGGTCCCTCCTTTGAGAGTCAATAACCAGGTGAACAATGTTGGCAGTGAGTGAGCATGCTCTGGTCTCCATCTTCCTCACAGTTGTTATTTTCCAATGTGTGTTTGTGTCTGGGTTCTCACCTGACTCTGGCAGCCCAGGTAGACAGAGCAGGCATTGCTCCCTCCATTTTGTGGGTTGAAAAACTAAGGCTCAGAAAGTCGTAACTGAGGCTTTTTCTGAAATTGGGAACACAGGAAGGAAACATATTGGGTGGTTAAAACATGGGGTTTGGCTTTAAACCTCTTGCACTTGAGGTGTCTGTGGCGTATTCATGAAGTTAATGTGCAGCCTTGAATACAGCTTCCAGATGATTAACTGGGAGTGGAATGAGATCTCATATCCTGATTATTTTGCTTTATCTGTACATTTCTCCATTCCTTCCAGCTGTTGTATTGTGTTCTGTCTTCTTGATCCCAGATGTCCTGGCTTGGTTTTTCTCAAGGCCGTCCTCCATAGCCTCACCGACCTCATTGGCCTGGTTGCACACAGCTTCGAGTGCCCACAGACCAACTGAAGGGGAGTTGCTGTCTGCTGGGGAGGGTTCTGGTGGAGGAGTCTGTAGGTCCCTGTGAAGAGAGGCTGGGAGAGGGTGCAACAGCATATGGGCTTTACCATCCATTAGCAAAAGCAGAGGCTTTTAAAACTCAGTCCATCCATCCAAATGGACCTTCATGTCTATTTCCATAAGGTCCTGGGGCCCAGGCCCACCTTTACCACTAGTTAGCTGAGAAGTACTAGGGCTGAAGGTACTGATCTGGTGCTTGCTGGAGCCTGCCACACTGTCCCCACCCTACTTGTGTCAGCTTAGTCCGCAACCCCAGTCAACTCTGCTTTCTTCCACCTTGAAAACTCTTTGAAAGTGCACAAGAAGTGGGGTGTCCCTGGGGGCTGGGCACCCCTCATATTCAGGCCCACAGGTCATTTAGGCAGCTGCTTCTCCAACCTTATCTTCCTTCTGCCTCCATGGAAACCTGAGAAAGACGGAAAGGGGGAAGCGGCTGTGGTTTCCCAACACAAATAACCCCACAGAGCTTTCTCAGCAGTGACCCTTAGCCTGTCGTGTCAGCCTCAGGCTGAGGGAGGAAGGAAATAGACCTTCTATTGAGTATTTTTCTTCCCCTGTCAAGAGGATTAGAGGAACTAAGAGGGAAAGAAAAGGAGTCAAAAGCACCTTGTGGCCTCCTCCTGCAGGATTTGTGTTGCTCTTCCCCTCCCCTCTTGAACTCTAAGTAAACAAACTCCCCAGCCAAGGAAGGCCCCAGGCCCAACTCCAAGCAGGCCATAAATAAAAGCCTTTCAGCCTTTCACTCTCGGGCAAGTCCGGAAGGCCCTTCTGAGTGGAACATTTGATAGCGGGGGAGGGCTGGGGGGAGAGTCCTCGTGTTAATTGAATCCCAATTTCCTTCTCCCAGGCCCACTCTTATCTTTTTAATTATACGAAGACTTTAATCTTCCCAGGACCTGTCTTTGTCATTAATGCGTGATCCTATTAGAGATAGGGGTTTGCCCAGGGGTAATGGGAGCCGCAAGCAGAGGCCTTTGGCAACTTTTTTGCTTTCTAAAGCACCCGGAGTTACCTGGGGCTGAGGCAGGGAGACATTTTGGGCTCCCCTCAGCTCTCAGATGGTGTTCCTTGGGCCATCTATGTTTAAACCGTGTCTGAGATTAGACTCTTATGGTCAGTATCTGTTGTGGCCCTGAAACTGCAGAGTAGCTCAGTCTAGCAGCCAAGGGGCAGATGAGTTCAGGCAACCTGCTTAGGAAAAAAATCAGACAAATAGTACTCTCAGGATTCTGGGTGCCCTGGTGGGATTCCAGAAGGAGTTGGGGCATTGTGCATTTCCTAAACTTTAGAGCATACCTTTGGTGCTTGTGAATAAAGCTTATGTTCTCACGGGCTTTCCCTAACACTGTGGAGATGCATTACCTCCAGGTGACAATGGCTTGGGACACTCCAGGGTTACCTTTCTCTTCAACCCCAGCTGCCTTGTCAAAGGGCTAATGAGCTGTAAACCAATACTTAGGAATGCAAAGGCCACACCCTACTTGAAGGGGTTTGGCTCATATTAAGTGTTCAATAAGTGTTTGCTAAATAACTTTTAAAACAAGAGTTCCAAGAGCTATTCACTTTAGAATATGAATTCACAGGTATTTATTGCAATTACAGCTTCTCATTTATGGCTCATTTCTACTGGACTTTTTTTTTCTGGGCTACAAGGTGGCCTGTAGGGTCACTTCAGCAAGGTAGTCTGATATTTCACACATCCCTAGGTATACAGAAAGATGGGTAAAGCTGAGTCCATGCAAGCGGCTTCATGCTCAGTTAGGAAGATAAATTTTGTTAGTTTTCAATACATAAATGTATGTATATATATGTATACATGTATATCAGTCAATATATAGATATAGGTAGTATACAACTGTATATGCAATTACATATGCATGTATATGTGTGTGTGTGTATTTGTGAATTGTCTTCAGAGGCTTCAGCTATGATTTCAACTATATATATATGTATATGTACACACATATATACTATACATATACACACATATATGTACATATATACATACATTTATATATTCACACACAAATATGTATAGTTGAAATCACAGCTGGCTTCTCTGAAGATGGGAGTCCACACACAGAACATCATCAGCAAACTGTATACCTAAATGAATAAATATTCAGGTTCTGCACTGAACATCGTGTCTTGTCATCTCCCTGACCCATTATGCACAACCGCTTTAGAGTCTGTAGCAGAGATGCTGTCACTGACAAAGGTCACATATCTAGAAGGTGTGAGAGTCCGGATTCTAACCCAGGTCTGATCATAAAGCCCAGCCCTCGAACCTAGAGCTCCATAGCCAAAGTGTTTCTCTTTGCTTGCAACCACAGTGTCTGCCCCTGAAAGTGTGTAGGTCTGGTCACAGGCTCTTGTGAAGACATAAAGATCCTGGACATGGTCCAGAGAAGAGCAATTAAAACACTCAAGGGGAAGAAAAGTCTTCTGTTTGAGGACAGATTTTTTAAAAACAGTAAAATCTGGAAAAAGGCAGAGTGAGCAGGACATGATGGAAATCTCTAGGATGTGGAGAGAACCAAGAGGGAGACAGCGTGCCTGCCAAGGGGGCACTCACTGAAGCTTACAACCAGCAGTTTTAGGACAATGACAAGAAAGTTCTATTTACCACGTTCCAAAAGTTTGCTGCCTGCTGTGTGATCCCAAGAGGTGACACAGGTTGAAAATATAAATAGAATCCCAACCTATGAACATATTGCTGTGAGCTCCCTACAGAATGCCTGGCTTCTCATTGTCAAATTCAAGCTCTCAGTTTCTAATGATTGAAACCAGGAGTGAGCAAACATTTTCTGTAAAAGATCAGTGTAAATATTTCTGGCTTTGTGGATCAACGCTGCCCCAAATGCTCAACTCTGCCATTTAGTGCAAAAGTAGCCATAGACAGTACTTATGAATGAGCATGACTGGGCTCTATTAACATGCTATTTACACAATTAGCAAGGCCCAGATTTGACCAGCAAGCTGTGGTTTGCCAACCCTTGGTCTACACCAATTCACAGTTGAGTTGAATCATACAATTTAAAACTGGGAGGCATCTTGATGATCACACTTTTATTTTACAGAGCAGGAGGGTGACATCCAGAGATGTCAGATGAATTCCCCAAGGTCATATAGCTGGAGACCCATAGTGGATATTAGGGTTGTCTGGGGAAAATATTTAGATGGTCTGAAGATAGTTTTATGAAGGATGGGAGCCAAGTGTCCCATGCTGGGCATTTCTGACTCTTAAATATTTATTGATGCTCACCGGGCGTGGTGGCTTATGCCTGTAATCCCAGCACTTTGGGATGCCGAGGTGGGTGGATCACGAGGTCAGGAGATCGAGACCATCCTGGCTAACATGGTGAAACCCCGTCTCTACTTAAAAATACAAAAAAATTAGCCAGACCTGGTGGTGGGCGCCTGTAGTCCCAGCTACTCGGGAGGCTGAGGCAGGAGAATGACGTGAACCCGGGAGGCGGAGCTTGCAGTGAGCCGAGATTGCACCACTGCACTCCAGCCTGGGTGACAGAATGAGACTCCGTCTCAAAAAAAAATATATATATATATATATACACATATATATATATACACACACATATATATATGTATATATATACACACATATATATGTATATATATACACACATATATATGTATATATACACACATATATATGTATATATATACACACATGTATATATATAGATGCTCAAAGACTACCTTTTCTTAGAAAATATATCAGTTTAGGAAGGATTTGGAAATATAGCTTATTTTTAAAAAAAACTGAGGGCTGTTTAAAAATCCCTAGAAATCAGAAAACAAGAAACATACTTCTCCCTCAAGTCCCTCACCCCTACCCCTAGTTCTGAGGTGGGAGAAAATTTTATTTCTTGACAAGCCATGCAAGGGGCATTTGCCCTCAGAGCTGACGGCCCTGTGTCTGTCAATGCAGGTTGTACATCTACCTCCCTTAGGTAGGAAGGTGCTCCTTAGGAGCTTGGTGTTGGGCCTGTCCACTGAAAACATTCATCTTCCACATTTGGGCAAGACTTTGCTGAAAACAATTGCTTTCAATATTCTGTTGGCTAAAGCCAGGAACAGTTCAAATTTTTTGGTGCTCAGAGTCTTTACCAGAAGGTGAGAGTGTGTGTGTGTGTGTGTGTGTGTGTGTGTGTGTGTGTTTGTGTATGTGTGTGTGTGTGTGCAGCTGGTGTGGAGAGGGAGGGAGAGGAGCAGCAGCTGACAGCTCAGGAATGCATCAGTACTCAGAAGTTTCTAAGAATGATTACGTCGATGGCTTGTTTTTTTCTGGGACCCACTGAAGATCTCTCATAAAAATAAAAACTCTCTTATTCAAGTAACCCTCTAGAAGTCTAAAATCTTAGTGGGAGAGAGATGTATCACTGTTGCAGGTTTGGTGTCTGGAGCCCTCGATGGTATCCCCAGTTCACGCTGTTCCTCTGAACTTCCTTGGTAGAGTCAGTATTGTGGTCTGGAACAGAGAGGTGAACCATGTGCTCTTTGGCACCTTAGCAAAATGGCTAAGGTGGGGAAGACAGTAAAGGTGTGGGGAGAGTATAGGCTATCTTAAACCCTGATGGCTTATTTTCCTCTGGAGGTAGGTTTGAGCTTCTGGAATAGAAGGGACTCCGTCCTACAGGCTTAAAAAGGAGTCTATCAGCTGGAGCTTTGGCCCACATAACAAGTAAGGCCACTTGGCCTTTAAAAAGTGTGGTGATGAGAGAACACTGGACTCTGAGAATCCACCTGTGGTCCAGGGTCTCCCGGAGAAATTCCTATCCAAGAGATGTCTCCACTTGAAGGCCACACAAATCTGTCAGTGGACAATTCTTTGTAACAAATTGCAAGATTTCCTACCTGTTTGTTGATTGCAAGAGGTGATCAGACTTGCTGGCCTTATAAACAGGTGACTGATGCAGGCCTGGCTCCTGCAGGTGAAGAAGGCTGCTTCAAATTTGTGCTCCAGAGCCAGGAAGTCCTGGATTCGGGTCTCAGCTCCAACTCTTACCAGCTTTAGTTCATTGCAGAACTTATTTTGATTTTTAATCTCAGCTTTGCAGCATAGAAACCAATCTGTAGCAGATGCTCAGTAAAAGTCATTTTCCTTTTCATCCCATCCTTTCTCACACTTAGCCTCTCTCTTGTTCAACCCCCCCACCCAGTGCAGACCTGGACACTCCCAGAGAGAAGGTCACACCTCATTGGGAAGCTGTTCTTGAGCAGTTCCAGCTTCAAGTCATCCCTGAATCTATCACTCATTCAGCATATAACTGCTCTTCAAATATGTTTAGTACTTTTCTCCGATTATAAAGATGACACATATGCATTGCAGAAAATTTGAAAAATATAGAAAAAATAATCTGGAAAACATCCCCAATAAATATAACCTGCAGTGATGAGCACTGTTAGCATTTTGGTATATTTCTTCCTATTTGTGCATGTGTGGGCTGGCATATGTTTTACAAAATTGGAATCACATTGACTGTAGATTTTGTATGCAGCTTGTTCTTTTCACTGACATTCTGACATTTCTCATATCATTAAAGTCTTTGAAAACATATTAAATATTTTTAATGGTCACCAAATTTTCTGTGGCATGGATATATTGCAATGTGTGTAAGGTATTCTTAGTTTTGGATACCTAGGCTGTTTCTAATTTTTCAATATTATAAACAACACTGCTGTAAATATCACTGTAGGAAAATCTTTGCCACATTCTAATTACTTCTTTGAGATAAATTCCATTAGAAGTCCTGGCCAAAGGATGTGGGAATTCTTAATGGCCTTAACATTGAGGGCCATGTGGTTCTCTAGAAAAGTTGTGTCAATTTCTATCTATGGGGTATGTGTCAATTTCTGTGGGGAGTGCTTCTCAGAATCCTGTGGTAGTACTTAGGTTGAAACAGGCACTCTCTCATATGATGCATCAGTTATTGGAAGGTAGCTCTCAAATCTCTCAGATTTATCTTCTTTCTGGGCTAAAAAGCCATTTCTTCAAAATGCCCCAAAGGCTACATTCCAACCTCCTTGCCATATTAATCTGTGGAATAGAGAATATATTGGTTTGTAACTGTGGTTTAAAAAAATGTATTAAATGTGGCCTGGGCCATTTCTAATTCCTTTATTTGGAACCCTATACTTCTATGAATGCAGTCTAAGTTTGCATTTGCTTTTTGTTTTTGTTTTAGCAGAGAATTGCCTCATACAAGCTTGTGGTTTGCTGACACACTGAGGTTTTAATGCTCTGGTTAATTAGGGTATCTTTTATTTGGTATTTGTTCAACTGATTTTGGGGGGTTAAATCTAAGACTTCTATTTGTCTTCTTGGTAATAGTTCAGTGTTCCAGTCTGTATCAATTCTGGTGATGCCCATGGAAAACAGATCTTTGGGCCTCAAATGTGTTTCCATGCCACATTACCTAGTGGCTGAACCTGAGGCTTTTGCCCAACCTGGCCCTATGCAGAGGTCAGGAGAAGGTCATGGGGTTGTTGAGGCTGGGCTGCCTGGCGCCACCCTGGCTGACTGTCCACTTACAGGTGTTCTCAAGAGTAGCTGGGATCTTGGCCTGAAACAACTGTAGTGAAGAGCGTGGCTGACCCCTCTGAGACGGGCACTTGTGTGACACTAGACAACTCCTCCAGCACAGTGGGGGCCTCTGGGCTCTGCAGGCCATGCAACCGTCTGCCTGGGCTTTTCCAGCCAGACCTGGCACAGGCCCGAAGACTGCCAGGACGCTGGCTTGCTCTGCGTCTCCTTAGCCTCTTTCCCTATACAAATAGAACGCAATTCCTCTGGAAAATTGGCAGTTAACTCAGTTTTATAGGCAGATCTGAGTGCTGGCAGGACCCATGCAAGAGTGAAAATGAATGCCTGAGCCCTCCCTTGACCCCATTCCCAGTTCTTGTCTGAACACTGAGGGGCTTGTAAACAGATGGGTGGACATCTTGACACTTCAAAGTGCTCCCCCAAAATATCCACCCTTTGACCACACCCTGACTACCCCCAGGTTAGCTGTGTGTACTGGAGCATGGGCTATGTGAGGAGGGGCTTCAGGTGGGCTTATCCCCTTGGTCCCCCAGGTGGTTCTCCTCATTGGAAGAGTTATGGCTCAGGAGGCCAGAGCAGAGCCCGTGGAGGCACAAGGCCTGGGGCAGGGATCCCAGAGGTCCCATGTAAGGTGATATTGTTCAAGAGCAAACTGCTTAGTTTGCTTTTTGGTCCCGCAGATCTATATGCTTCTGTGTGTTGGGATAAGAGGCAAGCGTAGGGGTCAGACCAAGTCTAAGGGGGCTCTGCTGCACTTGTAGGTGAGAAACCTCAAGACCATGAAAGACATTGAGACAGTGGAAATGACACTGACCAGGGGTCAGGGAGCTTGAACTCTCATTCTGGGCCCTGGGCACTGAATGAATGTTCTGACCACAGACCCCAAGGCATTTTGGCCCACAAGAGTTCAGGGCCCAAGATATGAAAGAAGTCGCCTGCAAGTGGCTCCCAGATCCTCTGAAAAGGAACACACCGTGTCCACGGCGCTCGCATGCCTGTGCCCTGTGGCACCTTGGCCTGTCTCCTCCCCAGTTCTAGAGGAGAGCATGTCTCCTTCATTTTTGGGGCCACCCAGGCTTCCCTCCACATCCATTCAGTATTTGGTTCCTATGCATGGGGATAATGAGACTCTTATTTAACTCAAATAAGTCCAATTCCATCCCATTCAACTCTCTCCCAGCAACTACAACTCTGTCTTTTATTGCAACCATCATTTGCTTTTTTGATGGAGGTAAAACAGAAAATATAAACAGACATTCAAAATAACCCCCCTGCCTTTTCTTTCATATTTTCAAAGTGCTTTCCAATAAAGTGTTTCATTACAGACTCCAGCAGCTGCTGTGAAATGTGGTCTCAGATGTAGAAGCTAATGAAAACCAAATGAAAAGAAATCCTAGAGAAGAAAAGAGGAGAGAGTAGTCCTGCTAGGCCCACAGCCCCATTTCTGCCAGGACTGGGCAATGCCCAGGTACCTGCTTGTTGCTTGAGGGGACTGTTCAGAAATTTCTCCTCTCCTCTTCGTTCTTCTCCTGCTCCTCCTGCTCCTCCTCCTTCTTCTTTTAGGGACAGGTTCTCACTGTGTTGCCCAGGCTGGAGTGCAGTGTTGTGATCATAGCTCCCTGTAACCTAGAACTCCTAGGCTCAAAGAGATTCTCCCACCTCAGCTTTGAGTAGCTAAGACTACAGGTGCATGCCACCACACCTGCCAATTTCTTAAAAAGTTTTATTGTAGAGATGAAATCTCGCCATGTTGCCCAGGCTGGTGTCAAACTCCTGGCATCAAACCATCCTCCCACCTGACCTCCCAAAGTGCTGGGATTACAGGTGTGAGCCACTGCACCAGGCCTCATGTGTCTTCTCAAATCCTCCTTTATTTCTTAATTTCTTCTTCCCATATTACACTGCTTCTTAGAAACAAAATTCTAAAATCTCACAGCTGGAAGTAGCTGTAGTCATTATTTAGGCCAGTGGTTCTCAAAGCGTTGTCCCTGGGTCAGCAGCATGAGCCCCATTTGGGAATTTGTTAGAATCAGTCTTAGGCCCCACCTCTGACCTGCTGAGTGTGAAATTATGGTGGTGGTGGAGTGGGGGCAGTTGTGTTTTACCAAAGCCCTCCAGATGGTCCTGATGCACATCCAAATTTGAGAACCACTGATCCGGGCCAAGATCCTAATTTCAAACAGAGGCCCTTGAGCAGAAAGGTGATGTTCTTTGTCACACACAGGGTGACACCGTCACCTGCAGGGCCCGAATGAGAAGCCAGTCTCCCGGCTCCTGTCATGATCCACTCCCTCTGCTGACCTGTCTACAGAGCAGTTTCACTGGCCTGCATCTCACTCCCATGCAGAGGCGCAGAGGACAAACCAGACGGGCAGCTCGTGTCCGCAAGATGGCAGGTGCCCGTGCTGCTGGCCGCCCGAATGTTACAGGCTTTGGAAAGTGCATCCTCTGAGGACACACGATTTCTGAAAAGCAGAATACACCCTCCCACCTGCCCCCCGCACTTCCTTTGGTCTTTTTTCTTCAGACATATCTGCGACTGAACATGTTCAACGTCTCCCCTGCACCAAGCAGATGAATGAGCCTCCTGACAGGCTGTGTGCTCTCTCTAGCATGTTATCTTGGGTTACGGAAATTGGGCAGATCTCCCCTTCTTTAGTTCCTCCCCACACTTGGAGTCCATAAAAGGCAGGGATATGGGCAACTTGATCCTGGACGTCAGCATTCTTGGGATGGTGTTGAATACAATAAAACATGCTTATTAAATGTCAACACTGGGCATGCATAAGTGGATATTTACTGAGTGGCTACCACATGCCAGATGTGCTATCAGGCCTTGCTTCCACCCTCAAGGTTTAGTGGTCAGTGAGTCCCCAGGGCCACACTCCAGCCCATTTCCGCTGCCAGAATGCCATGCCTCCATCTCATGTCACCCCTCCCATTTCTCTTCCCTTCTCTCGATGGCCCCATGTGCCTTGTGGTCCTGATGGGATGCAGAGAAGCACTCACCCCAGGGGGCCTGACTCCCCAGAACAAGAAGGCAAAGTCACTTGCTGAAAAGGGAGGCGAGGGTGCAACCAGGTGCTCCAGAGGCCTGGAGAAGGTTCTGGGCTCCAGGACAGGGAATGTGCTTAAAATGAATATGAGATGGTTAAGACTCTGCTCAGCTGGAGAGAGAGACAGCAAAGGCTGATGGGGACCTTCAGCCTGACCTGAGGTTTTGCCACAGACTTGGTGGAACTTTGAGAGGCAGGGGCTGCAGTAGGTTAGTGAGGATGGTGGAGGGGCCTGACTTCTGCACGCAGGCTGGATGAGACTCATGCCCAGTGGACTGGGTGAGGGGAAGCCCAGAGAGATTGGGGACCCTGGGGAGACCAGAGAGGCAGAGGTGTTTTTCAGGGATCTGGGGAGGTGAAAACCATAGTGGTGGGAGTGAGGCAGCTCCCAGTGTGAGGATGCTAGACAGACATCATCCCAGGGATTAAAGTTGGTCAGAAACAATAAGTGTAGTAGCAATGTTTACTGAGCCCAGGCCCCAGGATAACTGCTTAGCATGCATTTTCATATTTAACCCCCACAACAGTTTTCCCAGGACCTGTAATGTGTCAGGTACCATCAAGGTCATGTCACATTCCTGTGTCCTTTAGTTGGCCTCTCCACACCCCAGATCAGGAACCTGAGGAATAGAAATGCTTCATGAATTGCCAGGGATCCTCGGCTAGCAGGGAGCTGAGCTGGTCCTAGATCCTAGGTCTTCCCACTTGAAACTCACAACTCTTTTGCAAATGTCTCAGTTGGTTCTTTCTACTCAGAGAAGCTAGTGAGAGTGACATCCAGAACAACCTAAGGTAAGATGCCACCAGGGGCTCAAATATCTGGTGCCCCCTGAAGCCTGGGCTGGAGAAAGGGAAGAAAGAAGTGGGGAGCTGTGACAGGTCTCAGAATGTACCAGGCAGCACTCTGGCACCTCAACATGTGGCATCATGGAAAGCTCATAAGATTTGTGCTCAGAAACTCTGTGCTGCTCTTATTAATGAGAGGCCTCCCGAAGAGCTTAGTGTGTACTGGTGGATAAGAATGCATGCTGAGGTTAACTCTCAGAGCTGCCAGGAAAACCAAAGGAGAGAGTGGCTGCGAGAGTGTGTCACAAAGCTCACTTGGAGTGATGGGACTTCTATTCATTTATTTGACAGGTGTCTATGAGCACCTGTCATGTCATCATACAGATACTTGGGGCCTCAGCCATGACGAGTGTCTAGCTCCCAGCAACATTACAGTCATAACCAAAGAGTGGTGAGTGCCACATCTCATAACTCCCCCAGGTCATTTGTAACTTTTGAGGTCACTCTCTTCTTTTAGTCCTAATACAAGCTGCAGTCCCTGACCTTTGGCCCTTACGTAAGTTGGTCCATAAATGCTGTCTTAATGCTTTTATTGAGTAGATTTCACCTGGGGGTAGAACTATAGCCCAGAGGAAAGGTCCTAGACAGGTGGGCTTTTTCTGCAGCCCAGACCCTCTTGAAGTAGCTTGGGGTCAAGATTGGAGCCTCCTTGCCTTTGCCGCTTAAACCCATAGACTTAGGGCTCCTTCTAGGGGAAACTTCACCTCTGTTCCTGGTTGTAAGACTTCCCTTGAAGCACTACATCTGAGTACAGAAGTACTACATCTGAGGTAGATGAATACTGGGGAGGAGAATGGTGAAATCTTGCCCAAGTTGGCAATTTCAGGGAAGTAGAAGAGAGTGACTTTCTCAGTAGGCATGCTCTTAACTAGTTCTAAGTAATGATTTGGAATGTTTTCATGTTTTACCTAGCTCAGTTTGGTCTTTGGTTTGGATCTTTCTTGTCCTCTGATTTCCAGAAAAGAATGTCCATTCTGGTCTCAGCTCCTCCTCCTTAGGTCATTTGGATCACTCACTGAGCTCCCAGGCAGAAAGAGAGTGGAACTTGAGTTGGACCTGCCATGAACTGTGTGACCTTGAGCAAGACCCTTGACTGCTTGAACCTGAGTTTATTGAACCTGTGAAATGGGAATAAAATTATTCACCCAGTTTAGGTCAGGATCAAACTACCATCACCACCACCATCACCACCACCACCACCACCACCACCATCACCACCATCACCACCACTATTAACCCTTTTAACCGAGTGAGCATTTATTGTGTCCAATGTTGTGCTATGAAGTTTACGTGAATTATCCTATTTAATCCTTACAACGATTCTATGATATAGATGTTAGCAGCACTCTGAGTTTGCAGGTAAGGAAATAGAAAATGCCAATATAATTTGCCCAAAGCCATGCAGTTAGAAAGTGATGGGACAGAAATTTGAACACAGGCAGACTGACTCCAGGGTCTGAACTCTTCAGCCTCTGCTGCAACTTAGGAAGCAGGTCTTGCCTGGTTCCTCATCACTGTTGAAACTTCTCTTTCTCTTTTCTCGCTGTCTTCCTTCCACTTGGATAACTGGATTCACCTTTCATTAACCTGGATTCAAAGAAGCAAGAAGGCATCTCTTCCATGCACTGACTAACTTCTTTGCAAGCATGCTGCTTTCATCTTTTGTTTTCCTAAAGATGCCTGCAGAACTACATCCAACATGGCTGATACGTGGACCTTTGCATATCAAATAGCTTGGGAGGGTCATGACTGGAAGAAGAGGAGACGGTGGCTTGTGGAATGAACCCAGTTTGTGCACTTTCCCAGGGCATGGGGGAGGAAATGACAGTGACTTGTTGCTTGGGAAATGCTGATGGGTGGCCTGGTATCTTGGGAATGTGCTCAGGCAACCAGGGGATGTTGTTCCACCCTCTTCTTCTCCTCCTCATCCCTGGGATGGTACTTTGGACTCCTCTTCACTATTCCCAGGCACAAAAGAAAAATATGGCTCTGTTGTTTTTCAATACTCTTAGTGCTAATTTAATCACAACAAAACTCTACGTATTGGTATATGCCTGCTTCAATGCTAGTATTTGATGCTATCTAATTTACTCCTGGCAATCCTGTGAGAGTGCTATCATTACCCTCATTTTATAAACAAAGAAACTGAAATTCAGAGATGAAGAAACTTCCCCAGGATTGCACAGATAGAAATGATGAAACTGAGATTCAGATACAGAGCCTGGATTCTTAATCACTATGTTATATACTGTGACTCATGGAGTCACCCCAGGCACTTCCCCAGTGCAGTATCCCACTCTGAGTGGGTCCACCCTTGCTTCCTTTGTAGTGAGCTAGGCTGTATGCATGGATCCATCACCTGGGTGTCTGGCCCAGGCCAAGTTGCTTGGCTTCTGTTTGTTCATGTGCAGCACCATGGTCATCACAGTGATGTGCTCGCCCCACAGAATCATTGCAAGAACATGTCAAGGTAAAGCAATAAAACATACTTTCAACTCACCGGGCTTTTATTCAGCTCCAACTATTCACTAATGCTAAATATTGGAGGAGGAGGTGACACCCAGGGGTTGCAGGCTCAGGGAGCTAGAGATGTGAACTTAGTAGCCCAAATCTGAGGGTGGGTATCTTAAATGCAAATAACATACTTAGGAGAGGCTGAGGAGAAGATAATTCCAACATTGAGAAATATTTGAAACAGGTGGTCTGAGCCAAGGTTTGAAAGACTTCAAAAGGTAGATGGTAGGATGAGCAGGTACTTCCAGGCTATGAGAACAACTTGACTGACTACGAGAAATGAGGACATAAACCATGCGAATGGGTGATGTGTGTGCAGGAGCCAAGAATCTGTCTTTCTGCCTGTGGGCTCCATAGGATAAGGCAGTGGCCAGTTGTCTTAGCATGTTTAGGCTGCTACACAACGCTGCTATAACAAAACACCATAGATTGGGTGGCTTATAAACAACGGAAATATATTTCTTATAGTTCTGGAGGTTAGGAAGTCCAAGATCAAGGCAGATTGGATATCTGGTGAGGGCCTGTGTTCTGACTTATAGAAAGCACTTTATTGCAGGGTCCTCACATGGCAGGGGGGTGAGGGGCCTCTCTGCGGCCTCTTTTATGAGACACTAATTTCATTCCCATAGGCTCCACTCTCATGATCTTATCATCTCCCAAAGGCCCCACATCCTAACACCTTCACTTTGTGAATTTCTGAGGGACACAAACATGCAAATAATAGCACCAGTCTGAAGCCTTTCAAGCCATGCAGAAGACTTCCACATATATTCTCATATTTTCCGTGGGAAGCTTCGCCTGGTTTTGACAGAGGAGTGTCATGATGCCACCTATTTGAAAAAGATCCTTTGGGGCAACACTAGAGAGACTGGGTGAGCCCAGAGGCTGGGAGGTGGGCGAGGGGGGTCTTGCAATAGTACAGGCAAGAGGTGACGAGGGCCTGAGTTCAGGCAGTCAAAGAAGGGATGGAGAGGAAATGAGAGCTGCCAGAGACATTTGGGAAGGAGAACAGGCAAGTATTGGACAGGAAGGAGAAGTTTCCTTCTTCCTCCCATAGTACAGTTCCCCTGCACCCCTGCAATACACACCCAGCTTCCCCACACACTTGGAGGTGGCCTGGCAGAAGAGAGATTGACATTTCTGTTTATCTGCTGGCCTTTTAACTCTGTTCATAGCCATGAAGTCACCTTCTTTTTTTTTTTTTTTTTTTTTTTGCCTTACTACATTTGGGTGATTTTCCTTATAATAATTGTCATAGTCATAACTATAATAATTATAGTGGCAATAATAAGATTCTGAATGGCTCCAGAGCCTTTCTTCCTAGGATGTTAATGTGTGAGGTGGGGGTAGGAGGGGTCCTGGCAGGAATATTATTAGATCCAATTTGCTGAAAAAGTCACTCTCTGCCATTTGAAGAGAATCTGGCCGAGAGGGAAGCATTTCTGGCCTTTGGAGCATGGACTTGTTCCCAGATGAGAACCCGTGTTCTCCATGAAGATTGGCAAGGGGATTCCTGCTGCCTGCTGAAGTCTGCTAAATGCCGATTGGCTGCTCGTGATGGAGAAAAGTGGAGAGGTATGCTCCAGAGCTTTGCCCCTCTCCCGTCTCTAAGAAGCCTTCCCACAGGTCTCTGGTGGACAATGACCCCTCCATGCCTGCCTCAGGCTCTCCTATTGTTGGGCTGTATGATTAGCATTTAATCATAATATACAATATATTGTAGCATTTTATGAGTTACAAAACCTGTTTGGCTTCATTATCTCATTTAAACCTCCTAGCCACAGAAGCTAATATTATTATCATTCCCTCTCCACAAATGGATTCATTTGTTCAATGAACTGGCATGGAGCAGATAGTGTTAGATACTAGGAAAATGAAGCATATGTGGTTCTGGGGGCTTCGCCCCCAAATCAGGTGCTCAGAGGTAAAGTGACTAAGACCCGAAGCAGAAGACTCTGATTTTCTTTCTCCAAGCTGCTTGCTCTCTTCTTCATTCAGCATACTTCAACAGCATACTACTGTTACCTTAACTTTTAACTGTTCAAAATACCAAATTTGAGCACTTTACTGCTTCATGTTTCAAATGTTCATTTTGTCTTCCCAAACACGTGGGAAAAATCTATATAAAAAAAGGACTTTATGAATTTACTTTTATTTTTATTTTGAGATGGAGTCTCGCTCTGTCGCCCAGGCTGGAGTGCAGTGGCATGATCTCGGCTCACTGCAACTTCTGCCTCCTGGGTTCAGGCAGTTCTCTGCCTCAGCCTCCCGAGTAGCTGGGATTACAGGTGCCCACCACCATACCTGGCTAATTTTTTGTATTTTACAAAAAATACAAAAGACCTGTCCAGGCTGGTCTTGAACTCCTAACCTTGTGATCCACCCTCCTCGGCCTCCCAAAGTGCTGGGATTACAGGCGTGAGCCACTGTGCCCAACCAACTTCACTAGTTTATTATTATTAAAGCCTATTTGTGGTAAGGAGTGTCAAAGTTTGTTTACACTTAGTAGTTACTGATCAACTATTACACAACATGTTTGGGCATACAGTAGTTGATCAATAAATATCAGTAAGCCAGAGGGTTCCAGATCTCCAGCCTTAGCTGACTTCCTCTTAAAACACTGGGTTTTATCCTCATCATCAAAAGTATTTCAAGCACTTTATTTCTGGAACATGTGGAATCTTTCCTTTTAAAGTATTTTGTAGCCAGTTTCAAAATGATGCTGATATTTTGGAAGAATATTAATGTGTCCATCATAAACAGAGAACAGTTGAGGCTAGGTAGGGGAAATTTGAAGTCCCACTTCCTTGTCTGGCTTGATGGCTGGTCTTCCTAGCATGTGAGTTATTTAGACGGATATGGAAGGATGGAAAGCCAGAGGCGCCCTATGTTGACGATTTCTCTCCAAGTGCTCTTGTTGCGCAGCACAGAGGAACTCTCGATTGACTGGACGCATGCTCCCACCTTGTGGTGAGATTTGATATCCTCTGGTCTTTTTTCATCTGTACATCCTGCTGGGGAAAATGCAACCATTTAGTCAGTGAGTGTTTGCTGAGCTCCAGGTGTACTCCCAGGCAGTAGGTACTGGGATACAGACATGAAAGAACAGACAGAATTGTCCTCTTGAGGCTTACTTTACTGGATGTGTGTGTGTGTGTGTTGGAGGGGAGGGGGATGTAAGATGGGCAACAAATAAATTTATACAGATAAAAAACAAAGTAAATTCAGATAGTGTGAAATACTATGACGATGAAGCAAGATGATGCAATGGAGTGACTGGGGAGGAGACCTGTTTCAGCTGGGGTAGCCTGGGATGTTTAAGCCCAGGCTGACTGATGCACAGAAGTCAGGCTTGTGATGGAAGTCACCAGGATGAGGGAGCAGAATGAAGGCCGGGGGGGATGCCTCATGGTCTGCAATAGGAGAGTGCCTTCCAGATGAGGAAGGAGAGGCAGACAGGGGCCAAGTCACAGACACAGCCTTCCAGTCCACTCCATGTGCAATGGAAACCACTGGGAGGATTGAAGAAAAGGGACACTAGTTTGAAGTGCCTCGTGAGGCTCTGTGTGTTTGTGTGTGGACTTTTCCTTAAATGCAGCAAGCATGTGCAAAGGGCCATGCTTGGAGCTTCCCCAGAAATTGTGAGCAGGGACTCACACTGTATCACTGCACCTTAGAATCATCTGGGGAATTTTACAAAATCCTGTTGCCTGGGCCCTACTCGTGAGCAGTTAAATCAGAAGAGCTGCAAATGGGGCCCAGGCCTCAGTGGTTTTTTTGTTTGTTTGTTTGTTTGTTTTTGTTTTTGTTTTGGAGACGGAGCCTTGCTCTGTCACCCAGGCTGGGGTGCAGTGGCGTGATCTCGGCTCACTGCAAGCTCCGACTCCCAGGTTCACGCCATTCTCCTGCCTCAGCCTCCCGAGTAGCTGGGACTACAGGCGTCCGCCACCACGCCCAGCTAATTTTTTTTTCTATTTTTAGTAGAGACGGAGTTTCACCATGTTAGCCAAGGTGGTCTCGATCTCCTGACCTCATGATCCAACCACCTCGGCCTCCCAAAGTGCTGGGATTACAGGCGTGAGCCACCACGCCTGGCCAGGCCTCAGTGTTTTGTCCAATCTTTTCAAGTGATTCTAGGTCATCACCAGAGTGGAGAACTGCTATGTGTCAGGGAACCTCAGCCTCAGCTAAGGGTGGTCAGTGAGAAGCTGACTGTTAAGGCAAGGGCCCCAGAGGGTCTGGGGTGAGGTTCTGAGACAGTGGACTTTGGTGTGTGGGGCAGATCATCACAATTATGGGCTGCAAAGGGAGAAGGAGAAGACAGCACATTGCAGAGCCCTGGGTATGGATGAGAAAGAGCTGGCTGAGTCTGGACTCACTTGGCTGCATGATTGTATTTATGACAATGGAGGGAAGAGAGCTGCAGAAAGGTCACAGATTGGAAGGGAGTCAGAGAGAGGCCCGCAGAGGCAGACTGGTGGCTCTGGGGCACGTTTGGAGGCTCTTGATGGCACCTCACAGACCTACCCTGTCTTGACGCTTCCCACCCTAGCCTGTCTCCTAGAGGCCTCTTCTCTCCTCAGAAGTCTCCAGTCAACGCAGTTGCATACAAACTCAAGGCTGGATGCTAGGCTCGCGTCTTCTTGGCAGCTGGCCTTATACGGGCACACTCTCACAGGTACCAGGCTCTGTGGATAAATCTTCAGCGCTGTTACGGTTGCACGCGACAGCAAACCTAACCCAAAACTGCTTAAGCAAAGAGGACATGTACAAGCTCAAGTGACAGAAGAGTTTAGGGCGTGGATTTAGGTGTGGCTTGATCTGGAACCAATCACTATGGCCAGGGGAATGCAAGGCTCTGATTGGTCCAGCCTGAGTCACATTCGACCAATGGGAGGAGGGAATGGAGTCAGCACCACCGTCCAAAGAAAAGATCTGAGAGTCAGGACAGAAGAAGAAAATCATAGGTGCTCTTATGTCAAAATTGGGGCAAAGGCATGCTCGTGTGACCCGAACCAGGCAATGTTTCCTGTGGTAGTCCCATAATATGGAGGAAGAGTGTGGAGCTTATGATCTTCCTTGTCTGATTAATCAGTTTTGATAACTGGAGGCTGGGCTTGGTGATTTTGAGATGCAAAGGCTGTGGCCTCATGTTGGTTGAGGGATGGTTTATTAGTCCATTTGCTGCTGATAAAGACATGCCCAAGACTGGGCAATTTACAAAAGAAAGAGGTTTAGTTGGACTTACAGTTCCACGTGGCTGGGGAAGGTCTCAGAATCATGGTAGAGGGTGAAAGGCACTTCTTACAAGGCAGTCGCAAGAGAGAATGAGGAAGAAACAAAAGTACAAACCCCTGATAAACCCATCAGATCTCGTGAGACTTATTCACTATCACGAGAATATCATGAAAAAGACCAGCCCCATGATTCAATTACCTCCCACTGGGTCCATCCCACAACATGGGGAATTCTGGGAGATACAGTTCAAGTTGAGATTTGGGTGGAGACACAGCCAAATCATATCATTCTGCCCCAAGCCCCTCCCAAATTTCATGTCCTCGCATTTCAAAACCAATCATGCCTTCCCAACAGTTCCCCAAAGTCTTACCTCATTTCAGCATTAACCCAAAAGTCTACAGTCCAAAGTCTCATCTGAGACAATGCAAGTCCCTTCCGCCTATGAGCCTGTAAAGTCAAAAGCGAGTTAGTTACTTCCTAGATACAATGGGGGTACAGGCATCGGGTAAATACAGCCATTCCAAATGGGAGAAATTGACCAAAACAATGGGGCTACGGGACCCATGAAAATCTGAAATCTAGCAGGGCAGTCAAATCTTAAAGTTCCAAAATGATCTCCTTTGACTCCATGTATCATATCTGGGCCATACTGATGTAAGAGGTGGGTTCCCATGGTCTTGGGCAGCTCCACCACTGTGGCTTTGCAGGGTACAGCCTCCCTCCTGGCTACTTTCATGGGCTGGCATGGAGTGTCTGAAGCTTTTCCAGGCACATGGTGCAAGCTGTCTGTGGATCTACCATACTGGGGTCTGGAGGATGGTGGCTCTCTTCTCACAGCTCCACTAGGGAGGGCCCCAGTAGGGACTCTGTGTGGGGGCTCCAACCCCACTTTCCCCTTCTGCACTGCCCTAGCAGAGGTTCTCCATGAGGTCCCCACCCGTGCAGCAAACTTTTGCCTGGGCATCCAGGCATTTCCATACATCTTCTGAAATCTAGGAGGAGGTTCCCAAACCTCAGTTCTTGATTTCTGTGCACCTACAGGCTAAACACCACATGGAAGCTGCCAAGGCTTGAGGCTTGCACCCTCTAAAGCCATGGCCCCGAGTGCTACGTTGGCCCCTTTCAGTCATGGCTGGAGTGGCTGGGACACAGGGCACCAAGTTCCTAAGATGCACACAGCATGGGGACCCTGGGCCCGGCCCCAGGAAACCACTTTTTCCTTCTGGGCCTCTGGGCCTGTGATGGGAGGGGCTGTTGTGAAGGTCTCTGACATGGCCTGGAGACATTTTCCCCTTGGTTTTGGGGATTAACATTAAGTTCCTTGCTACTCATGCAAGTTTCTGCAGCCGGCTTGAATTTCTCCCCAGAAAACAGGTTTTTCTTTTTTATTGCATCGTCAGGCTGCAAATTTTCCAAACTTTTATGCTCTGCTTCCCTTATAAAACTGAATGCCTTTAACGGCACCCAAATCACCTCTTGAATGCTTTGCTGCTTAGAAATTTCTTCCGCCAAATATCCTAAATCATCTCTTTCAAGTTCAAAGTTCCACAGATCTCTAGGGCAGGGGCAAAATTCTGCCAGTCTCTTTGCTTAAGCATAGTAAGAGTCACCTTTGCTCCAGTTCCCAACAAGTTCCTCATCTCCATCTGAGACCACCTCTGCCTGGATTTTGTTGTCCATGTTGTTGTCAGCATTTTGGGCAAAGCCATTCAACAAGTCTCTAGGGAGTTCCAAACTTTCCCATATTTTCCTGTCTTCTGAGCTCTCCAAACTATTCCAACTTCTGCCTGTTATCCAGTTCCAAAGTTGCTCCACATTTTCAAGTATCTTCTCAGCAATGCCCCACTCTACTGGTACCAATTTATGTACTAGTCAGTTTTCACGCTGCTGATAAAGACATACCTGAGACTGGGCAATTTACAAAAGAAAGAGGTTTAATTGGACTTACGTTCCACGTGGCTGGGGAAGGTCTTACAATCATTGGGGAGGGCAAAAGGCACTTCTTACATGGTGGTGGAAAGACAGAATGAGGAAGAAGCGAAAGTGGAAACCCCTGATAAACCATCAGATCTCATGTGACTTATTCACTCTCATGAGAATAGCATGGGAAAGACTGGCCCCCATGATTCACTTACTTCCCACTGGGTCCCTCCCACAACACGTGGGAATTCTGGGAGATACAATTCAAGTTGAGATTTGGGTGGGGACACAGCCAAACCATATCAGATGGGAAGAATTACTTGCCGTAAGTAGCATACTGGAAAATGACAGGCTGTCTTGCTTGCTTTCCCCATACTGCCTCCACCCCCAAATAGAGTAATTCCCTGGGGGAAAGAGACGTCTGTCCACAGTGACAAAGAGTGCAAAGAGGAAAGATTACCCCCCACCTCCACCTCCATTTTATGGTTGGGGTGATATGTAGAGACTTTTTTCTTTTAAAACAGACTCTATTTTTTAGAGCAGTTTTAGATTCTCAGCACAATTGAGCAGAAGAGACAGAGATTTCCCTGCTTCCACCCCACAGCTTCCCCATTATCAACACTGCACACCAGAGTGGTACATTTGTAACAATCCATGCACCCGTACTGGCACATCATTATCACCCAAACTCTGTAGTTTCCATTAGCGTTCACTCTTAATGTACATCCTATGAGTTTGGATGTACATGTATTTACCTTACTGTTTCCATAGTTTTGCCTTTTCCAGAGTATGGTATACTTGAAATCATACACTATGTACTCTTTTAAGACTGGTTTATTTCATTTAATTATAGGCACTTAATTTTGCTCCACATCTTTTCATGGTTTGATAGCTCATTTCTTTTCAATGCTGAAAAATATTCTGTTTCCTGGATAGACTGGTTTATTTATCCCATCCACTCATTGGAGGACCTCGTGGTTGCTTCCAAGTTTTGGCAATTATGAACACAGCTGCTATAAACATTCACGTGCAGGTTTTGGTGTGGTCATAAGTTTCAATCCCTTTAGAGATTGTGCCAGGTAGTACAATTGCAGGATCATATGACAAGAGCATGTTTAGTTTTGTATGAAAATGCCAAACTGGCTTCCAAAGTGGCTGTATCATTTTGCATTCCCACCAGCAAGCAATAAGAAGAGCTCCTGTTGCTCTACATACTCACAAATATTTGGTATTGTTTGTGTTCTGGATTTTGGCCATTTTAATAAATGTGTAGTGGTATCTCAACTGTTGTTTTAATTTGAAATTCCCTAATGACATATGAGGTGAAGCATTTTTTCATATGCTTATTTGCCATCTATATATCTTTGGAGAGGTTAAGATCTTTAGCCCATTTTTAAAAAGGATTGTTTATTTTCTTAATATTGAGTATATTTTGGATAACAGTTCTTTATCAGAAATGTCTTTTGCAAATATTTTGTCCTGTCTGTGGCTTGTCTTCTCATTATCCTGATGTAGACAGCTTTTATGTAAGTGGAGCTAGTTCCTTTGTATCAGTCATAAACAGTGTATATCTGTTGGTAGGGTCAGAGTAATGGGGATATAATGCACACACAGACTGGATTGGGTGACAGTAAAGTGTTATGCAGAACTTATGAGAATAGGAAGCAAGTCTCAGGTCAGTATGTTAAAAGAAAACCTTTAAATGAATTAAATTTAACAGCGTTTCACTGAGCAAAGAATGAGAGAATCAGCAGTTCCCAAAAAAGAATAGGCTAAGAGTGACTGCAGGGCTGCCACATGGCCAGCTAATACTCGTGGATAGAACAAGGAAAGTGACGGATAGAAAATGGAAGTAAGATAACAGAAACTGCAGGATTGGTTTCAGCTCAGCATTTGCCTTATTTGAACATGATTTGAACAGCTGGCCACCTGTGATTGGCTGAAACTGTGTGATTGATACAAGAGTAAGTTACAATTTGCCCACACATCCAGTTAGGTTATACTTCACTGTATTTGAAGAAACCTTTAGGCTGAACTTAAATTACATAAGGAAGTAGCTTTAACTTAATTTAACAATTTCCCCCTTTAGGAAGTTGACCAAAACTTTAGGCATTGACGTCAACAGTTAGGGCCAAGGGGAGTTCCTTATTATGCTGGAATCTCCTATTTTTAACAGAACAGAAACTGGTCTGTTTGGAGATCTATCTGCTTTCTTAAAGTTTCAGTTTGATTACATGGCACTTAGCATGCATGACTCTATTTTAGTTCGATCTGGTCATTTGGGGCCTAGTGCAGTAGCTCAGTCCAGAACAATGCCTTCCATAATTTTGTTTAACAGGTACCAGCAACTAGAATCATCAGATTGGAAGGCGGCGAGCAGCAATAGCTGTTGGAGGTAGCTGCATGGTGGCTGTGGGCTGCGTAGAGTCTAAATGAATGCAAGGTCACATAAGGGTTATCACACAGTAAGGGCTCAAGCTGTCACTATTGATGAGTTCCTTTTTGTTGGAATCCCTATGAAATCTTTTGGGCTTGGCCAAATCAGAAATTAAATATCTAGATTTTTCCTGCTAATATCTATGAATCCACAACTGTGGTCAGAAGTCCAGAAACAAATGAACATTGACAGATTTCAAAAGAGTGACAGAAGGAAAGAAAGAGGGGAGAAAGAAAGGAAGGAAAGGAGAAATGAAAAATAAAGAAAAGAAAAGAAAGAAATGAGAGGAGAAAATCAAGCCAGCAGGGAAGCAAGAAATGAAAGGTTTTATAGCAGGTTTTTCAGATGTAGAAGTGTGTGGTTTAAAATCAAAGAAGGTGAGCACAGCAGACCCTTGTCCCCACACCTCCCCTTCTCCCCGACTCCCTTGGCTTAGCGTCAGCTCCCCACCCATTCTGTTGCCTGGGAAAGGAAAAAAGGCTGGAGGAGAGGGGACTTTGTCCAAGACCCCATAGCTAGCTCAGGGCACTTGTGCCCCTTCTACTTAAAAGCTCTAAAGAATTAATTTATTGGATGTAAGACAGTTAGAACCTCAGACACAAACTGGAAGTCATTAACAGTTGAGTAAAAGTAACAGGGAACAGATTTGCAGATTAAGGAAAGAGACCAAGCAGAAAGCAGATAACTTAATTTCCATAATTTAGACAGTCGTGCAGTTTAACAACCAGATTGACAACCTTGAAAGTTTGTCAAGGAGAAATAACTCCCAAGTCATAAGAACTCATAAAGCAAAGAAGAATGGAAAGTACAACAAACTAATTTTCTTTTTGGAAATAAACAATACCTTTTTCAAAATAATCAGATTCATAAAATTATTGTCCTTGCCAGTTTGTCACATGCAGGAAGAGAAGTCCAATAAAGCATAGGTACAGCAGCTGGACTGATGGACATTAGCACTTGGCTTCCTATTCTCCCTGCTGGTACTCTGCGGTGTCTTTTCTTTTCTTTTTTTTTTGAGAAAGGGTCTCGCTCTGTTGCCCAGGCTGGAGTGCAGTAGCACGATCTCGGCTTACTGCAACCTCCGCCTCCTGGGTTCAAGCAATTCTCCTGCCTCAGCCTCCTGAGTAGCTGGGATTACAGGTGCCAGCCACCATGCCTGGCTAATTTTTGTATTTTTAGTAGAGATGGAGTTTTGCCATGTTGGCCAGGCTGGTCTAGAACTCCTGACCTCAGGTGATCCACCCACCTTGGCCTCCCATTGTGCTAGGATTACAGGCGTGAGCCACCACACTCGGCCATCTTTTCCAGTTGTTTATTCTGCCCCTGGCCCATGGTCCCAAGGCTGGAAAGGATTTTCCCCACATTTATAGCTCTGAAGTTGAGCTTTTAATCCCTGGCTTCCTGGCTCCCAAGTCTTGCTGCTGGGTAGAATTACCTGGAAAGCTGGCTGCACTTCCCAGAGATTTGATTCTTGTGGTGGCATCCAGGTTCTGATCTTTTAAAAAGTCTACAAGGTGATTCCTATGTATATTGAGAACTTTTCCAGTCCCCAGTGGAGCCCTAGTCTTTATAATTCACAGTTGCCAAAGTTCAGGGACATCGGTGGAGCTTTCTGAGGGCTTCCTTAGAAAATGCATGAAGAGGCATTTTCTTGTATTCCCTCTAAAAGAAGTCCCACAGTCTCTCCCACCTCCTACCAAGAGATCCTACTGAGAATTCCTGTAGGCAGAAGCTGGGGCACCTGTTTTTGTTGGTTTGTTTCAAATAGGCTCATAGTGTAATATCAATTTCTAGAACAAAAAATGAACATATTAACAAGGAAAATGCATATTCAATAACTTCATCATCACAAATTTTAAAAACAAGGCACTAAACTATCTAGAGAGGATAAATATACCAGAGGTAAAAACCAATAACCATGTAGGATGTGGGGAAAAGCGGTGGCAAATATAAAATACGTGGTATTAATCCAGACTTTAAAAAGAAAAACAAAATTCTACATGGAACACTTAACCAAGGAATTAAAATAGTTAAAAAATCAAAAAATTAGTCAGCCCTTGCAAAAAACTAATTGTAACTGAAAAAAATCATAAAAATATTGCAACAAAGTAGTATTAACCGAAGAATGGAAACTAGGATTTGATTCTTTATTTTAAAGAATGACTAAAATAGTCTGGCTTGACCAGCCAACATGAAAAAGAAGGAGTATTGAGAGAATATTACTTGTTTTTAAAGGGCAATTATCATCATTTAAAAAGGCAATTATCATCACAGAAAAGCCTTATTTTCCCCAATGTTATATACCAGTTCATGTAACTGTAACTATTATGAAGTACTGTGCAAATTAAATTAAACCATAAACTGCCAGAAAGTCCAGCCTTTGATTAAGGAAGACACACACCATTCAAATGTGGAGGTTCTAGGAATAAGAGAGCCCGGTGCCTAGTGGAGCCAGGACTGCTGGTGCTGCCAACTCCTCTCTCCCTGACAGAAGGCAGTGTTGATCATTCTCCTTTCCTGTCTGGTGGTTGCTGGGGCAGGTCCCCACACTCAGCAGTGGGGTTCTATGGAGGAGGGTGTGTCACTTGTGACTCCATTCCCACAGTGCTCCTTTCTATCTGTGCTTCTCTCTGGGTTCTAAGGCCTGAGCTCATTACATTCAGTCCTCCCTGTCCTGCACTTAGCGTCTCCCAAATAGACCCCCACTGCTTCCCATATCCCAAATGCTGTGGCCAGATTGACCTTTTCGTCTAACCACTTAGGAGCCCCAGTCATTGTCCCCGTTCTCTCTCTCAAATACCCCAATGACTAGAAGCCGCTGTCCCTTTCCACACATACACCACTCCCAACCACAGCCTTCCTTCAAAATCCTTCTCTGAGTAGCTTCTTAGTCTTCACCCACCTGCAATTTAGTTCCTCTGACCCTTCCGTACAACATTTATTACAGCAAACCTTCAAGACTCAGGTGACTTGTGTACTAACCTTCTGCTTCCTGATCCTTTGGTGAATATTGATTACTCCTTCCAAGAGTAGACAGGATGACTCCATATTTTCTTGTTTGATCAGAGATAAGGACCAAAAATAACATTATATAAAGTCCATTGTCCTGTGCATTATGGGAACTGTGATTATAGAATATATTGTCCCTGATTTCTGGAAGTTCAGAGTCTTGAATAAGATGTAACACATGTATACAAAACAACTACTACAGAAATGCAACTCAAATGTGTTGGTAAGATCACAAGTTCTTTGAGAGTTCAGGAGAAGACAGTGGCTGGGGAATGAAAGAAGACCCTATAGAAAAGGTAGCAACTAAGCTGGATTGTTCTGTAATCCCAGCACTTTGAGAGGCCCAGGCGGGCAGGTCATGAGGTCGGGAGATCGAGATCATCCTGGCAAACACGGTGAAACCCCGTCTCTACTAAAAATACAAAAAAAAAAAAATTAGCCTGGCATGGTGGTGGGTGCCTGTGGTCCCCCAGCTACTCAGGAAGCTGATGCAGAAGAATGGCGTGAACCCGGGAGGCGGAGCTTGCAGTGAGCCAAGATCGCACCACTGCACTCCAGCCTGGGCGACAGAGCAAGACTCCGTCTCAAAAAAAATAATAATAATAATAATAATGTTTAGATTGCTTAGAAATTTTTGTAGTATTTAAATATGCCAGAGATAAAAACCAATAACTGTATAGGAAAGAAAAATATAACTAGTTGGGATCCCAGACAGATGTTAATATAGTTTGAGTATGTGTCCCCACCAAATGTCATGTTGAATTGTAATCCCTGGTGTTGGAGGTGGGGCCTGGGGCGAGGTGTTTGGGTCATGGGGGTGGATCCCTCATGGCTTGGTCCTGTTCTAAGGATAGTGAGTGAGTTCTAGTGAGATCAGGTTGATTAGGTTTGTGGCTCCTCCCCCACACTCCCTCTCTTGCACCTGCCTGCACCATGTGACACACAAGCTCCCACTTCACCTTCTGCCATGAGTAGAAATTTCCTGAAGCCTCCCCAGAAGCTGACGCTGGCTCTGTGCTTCCTGTACAGCCTGCAGAACTGTGAGCCAATTAAACAACTTTTCTTATAAATTATGCAATCTCAAGTATTTCTTTTTTTTTGAGACAGAGTCTTGCTCTGTTGCCCAGGCTGGAGTACAGTGGCATGATCTTGGCTTATTGCAACCTCTGCCTCCCGGGTTAAAGCGATTCTCCTGCCTCAGTCTCCTGAGTAGCTGGGATTACAGGGATGCACCATTACGCCTAGCTAACTTTTGTATTTTTAGTAGAGATGGGGTTTCACCATGTTGATCAGGCTGGTCTCGAACTCCCGACCTCATGATCCGCCCGCCTTGGCCTCCCAAAGTGCTGGGATTACAGGCATGAGCCACTGTGCCCAGCCAACCTCAGGTATTTCTTTATAGCAACACAAGAACAGCCTAATAAGGATGTATAGACAGGAAACAGTTGAGATAGCAAGGAGTGTAGAAACTCTGTAATTATACTCTCTAAAGGGGGTATTTTTCCAACATTTAGGAAAATAGTATGCTGAGATGAGAGTTTTACATTGTATAATGAAAGACATTAGAGGAGATAGTATAAAACAAATATTGTCTGACTTGTAGATAATTCAGCCCCAGGATAGTACATGTCTAGACTCTCATTCCATTACCAGTGAATAGTACAGACTGTACCTCCTGACATTGACTGTCCCACATCACTTTTCTCATATTAAATCTTAAAGCCAGATAAGGGAAAAATGTGAGCAAACACCTGGAAACTGAAGAAAAAAAAAGGGTGTATCTAGGGGACAGTGAATGAGTAAACCATTTTATCTTGAGCAAAGACCTCCATGAGGGAGTAGCGAAGAAGGCAAGGGTGTTTTGTGGCCATCATTTTGATTTCACTCTTTGATATCATTACCTTTTGGTTGGTGCATTTTTCTAGTCTGTTTTGACGCCAAGGCAATAAATTTTTCTTTTGGATTTTGTGTTTTTTAGCTGTAGAATTTTCATTTAATTTTTAATTTTAATTTTTATAATTACTATTTATCTTGATTTTTCTCCATGTGTTGTTCACTTATAGTCACTCTTTCCTTTAAATTTCTGAACATGCACACTTATGATGCTATTTTAAAATCCTTGTTTGCTAATTCCAATATCATGTCTGGGTCTGTTTCTACTGACTCTATTTACTCTTGGTTATGGGCTAGATTTGCCTGCTTCTTCAAGTATCTAATAATTTTATATTGTGTCCTGGCCACTGTGGAGGCTATGTTTCTGAGAGTCTGGACTTTATTGCTTTCTTTTAAGGAGTCATGGATTTTACTGATTTATTGGTGGATAAGCTTGATCTTACTGAGTGTTTGTTTTAGACTTTATTAAGCTCAGTCTAGAGTTTCCCTTATTCTACCGCTAGAGAAATCCTATTCTTAAGTCATGGCCTTTATTGGGATCTAAACTGAATGCTGAGGGTGTTCAGCAACATCTTTTCACTCTACATGGTCAGAACTCCAAATTCTTTCAGTACATGTGATCTCTGGAATCTGTTCAGCTCTATACCCCACCCTCCCCATGACTGTTCTCTGCTAGGCTTTAGTATTTCGTCAAAGATTTAAGATAACCCATGTCCAGCGGATTACAAGCCTGCATTGTCTGTTATCCAATATCTGAAAAACAGATACTTTATATATTTTGTTTAGTTTTTATAATAGACCACAGTAAGAGGGTACTCTTACTCTTACTCTTACACAGTAAAAGGGTACTTTTATTCTCTCATGCTTGGAACCAGAGGTGTCTCACTTCTAAAACTCTTTTGTGAAGCTGGTGCCATGGTGCTAGCCAAATTCCCAAGAATAACAGTGCCTCCTTCTTTGAGATTCCCAGCGGGATCTGTTTTCTTGCATTAATTTAGATAAACCAATTATTACCCTTGGTTTACACCAATAGGAACAGGTAATGTGAGAGTTCTGCCCTACTGTCTGTCAGTCTGACAATAACTAGGAGACTATTCCACTCTGGGCACCACACTTTTAGTGAGACATAGGCCACCCAGAGCTCAACCAGAGGAGAATGGCTAGAATGTTACAGGTAATCCATTTTGTTGTGGATCAGTAAATAGAACTGGGGATATTTAGACTAATTTCTTTAACCTTAGTCTTTGTTTTACGAATCATTGTGATTGCTACCAGACTTTATTCTGTCAGCAAAATATTTTTAGGGATGACTATTCTCTTCCTTGCTATTTCTAATGTATGTATTATTTAATGATATGTATTTAACTATGTAGCTTCTCAATTTTTGTCCAGAAAATTACAAATTCCTTTTCAGTTTTTTTCCATTTTATGTTATCCTCTTTGAGCTCTTTGTTTTGTGAGTTAAATTCTTATTAATTTACTCTATAGCATAAAATAATTGTGAATAATTTCTTCCAATTCTTTGTGGCATTATCACCAAGGCTGACTTGTCCATTGAACACAGTAGGCCCAGTGCCTAAGACCCACAGTACTTTCAGGGGCCCAGGAAAGTGTTTTAATTTTTATTTCTTTTAAAGGCAAAAAATAAAGATAACAATATTAATCTATAATATTAAGTTCATATTGGATTATATTAAATAACGAAAATGAGGTCACAAAATATTGTGTTTACGGAAGAAGAAGCTCACATAGACAAAAGTTCCTAGAAGCCACAAAAGTCATAGCATGACCCTGATTATCATCCATAACAAAATTAACATGAATTCCTTGGTATCATTTATTACCTTTCTCATAATTGAATTTTCCCAACTATATGAACATTATTGTTTTATAGTTGACTTGTGAGCCCAGGATCCAAATAAAGGGTAACACATGAAATCTGATTGTCATGACCCTTGAGTCTCTCATCTAAACTGGCCCCTCTGCCCTCTTAGCTTGACGCCACTAACCTGTTGCAGATATTAGGCTAATTGTCCTAACCAGATTGGTTGTCCTACCACTTAGGACTTTGTGTATTTGCTTCTTTGTGGTGTCACTTACTCTCTTTCTTTATTTCCTATATTTCTTGTAATGGAAGCTAGTTCTACAGGCTTAATGAATCCATGTGTAACTTCTGCGGCAAGGACGTTTTACAGAAAATGAGGTGTGCTTCATGCCTGTTCACAACGGAGGCTTCCAATGTCTGTTAACTCCAATTTTATTGGTGCTAAGGTTTATTGCATTCAGGTAGTCATAGATTATTTAATACATGAATATTGCTGCCTGAACATTTTTTATTAGGTTCTGAAATTGGTGACTTTTTAACTTCATTCTTGTCACAGCGGTTTTCCTCGTCACAACTATTTTGTTCTTTACAGTTCACACATAAAAGTTTGGATAAATGCTTATTTTCTCCCCTAAAATGCCAGTTTTTATATTAAGTAGCTCGTATACTTGTTGATTCTATTGGTATTCAATGGATTATTTCCTTTTCCTGCTGTAAACCTCACAGGTAACCACAATCTCATGGCAATGAGTTGCCCATAACTGGCATGTGGTCCTCTTAACCCTGGTCTCCAATGAAAGGAAACAGGGTTCCTTAAAGGATAAGGAATCAAGTTTCCTTGAAAGAATGGCTGATTCTGGGTCTAGGGCAGGAAACATACAGATGATCCTGGAATATTTTCCATGCCAGAAAGCTAGGAAGTTATCAAAGAGTAATAGCTTGAGTCAAAAGGACATAGGGGCTCTTACTAGTCAGAAATAGATCAACAAGAACATAAAAAATAAAAACGATTAAAATAAATTGACTCAGGCCAGGCACAGTGGCTCATGCCTGTAATCCCAGCAATTTGGGAGGCCGAGGCAGGCAAATCACCTGAGGTCAGGAGTTCGAGACCAGCCTGGACAATATGGGGAAACCCCATCTCCACTAAAAATACAAAAATTAGCTGGGTGTGGTGGCAGGAGACTGTAATCCCAGCTACTTGGGAGGCTGAGGCAGGAGAATCACTCAAACCCAGCAGACGGAGGTTGTAGTGAGCCACGATCATGCCATTACACTCTAGCCTGGGTGACAGAGCAAGACTCTGTCTCAAACAAACAAACAAACAAACAAAAACAACAAAAAACCCCATAACCCAACAAAAAAACAAAAAACAAAGAAACAAAAAGAAACAGAAAAACAAAAACAAATTAACTCTATGGGATCTCTGAGCTCACTGCTCACTGTAGAGAAGGAAGGAGGGAAGAAGAAAGACAGAGAGAGATAGAGACACACACAGAGACAGAAAAAGACAGAGACACACAAAGAGAGAGAGAGAGAAAAAAATATACGTGCATATGCAATTATGCATGTTTTTAGACAACACCAAATTTCCCTTCCATAAGAGTTGCACCATTTTGTATTCCTTCCGGGAATGTATAAGAATTCCCGTTATCAAACAGGCTCACCATCTGAATAAATTATTGAATTTAATAGCTGAGAAGTGGCATCTTGGTATAGTTATAGGGAAGAACTGACAGAACTACAAGGAGGAACAGATGAATCCATTACTAAAGTTGAAGACTTCAACACTCATTGATCAGAAATTGGCAGACCAAGCAGGCAGAATATCAATAAGAACATAGTCGAACTCAACAACACCATCAATCAACTGGATATGATGAACCTGTACAAACTACTTCATCCAATAACAGAAAATTACACATTCTTCTCAAGCTGGCATGGAACATTCACCAAGATACCACATTTTGGGACACGAAACACACCTTAACAAATTTAAAGAATATATGTCATATACTGTGTGCTCTCAGACCACAACAGAATTAAACTACAAATCAATAAAATAAAGACAGCTGGAAATCATCAAAATACCCGGAGACTGAACAATACTCTTTTAAGTAATATCTGGGCCAAAGAAGAAATCTAAGGAAATTAAACAAGATTTTGAACTAATGAAAATGAAAAGACAACTAATCAAAATGTGTGGGATGTAGCAAAAACAGTGATTAGAGGGAAATTTATAACATTGAATGAATTAAAGTGATTCTTAGATTCTATATTAGAAAAGAAGAAATGTCAAATATCAGTAATCTAAGCTTCCACTTAGGAAAGTAGAAAAAAGCACAAATTAAATCCAAAATAAACAGAAGAAAGTAAATAATAAAAATTAAAACATCTCAATGAAATTGGAAACAGGAAATCAGTAGAGAAAATCAGCAAAATCAAAACCTGTTTATTTGAAGGTAGGTGAAACTCATAAGCCTCCAGCCAGGCCAAGAAAAAAAGAAGACACAAATTACTAATATGAAAAATGAAAGGGGTGACATCACTAATGTCTTTTATGGATATTGAAAGGATCATAAAGGAATATTATGAAAAACTCGAAGCCCACAAATCTGATAACCTAGATGAAATGGAACAATTCCTTGAAATATACATTCTGTCAAAACTCATTCAAGAAGAAATAGACAATCTGTGCTGGGAGATGGTGGCTCATGCATGTAATCCCAGCACTTTGGGAGGCTGAGGTGGGAGGATCTCTTGAGGCCAGGAGTTTGAGACCAGCCTGGCCAACATAGTGAGACCCTGTCTCTACAAAATAAAAAATGTGATGGGTATAGTGGTGCGTGCCTGTTGTCCCAGCTACTTGGGAGGTGGAGGTGGGAGGATTGCTTGAGCATAGGATGTCAAGGCTGCAGTGAGGAGTGACTGCACCACTGCACTCCAGCTTGGGTGACAGAGTGAGAGACTGTCTCAAAAAAAAAAAAAGACAATCTGAACAGGTCTATCTGTGTTAAAGAAACCAAATCAATAATTAATAACCTTTCAAAATAGAAAGCACCAGGCCCAGATAGGTTCACCAGTGAATTCTACAAACATTCAAGGATGAAATTATATCAAAATTCTACAGTCTCTTCCAGAAAATGGAAGCAGAGAGAATACTTCCTAACTCATCCTAAGAGGCCAGCATTACCCTAATACCAAAATCATACAAAGCCATTATAAGAAAATAAAACTATGGGACCAATATTTCTCATGAACATAGATGCAAAATTCCTCAACAAAATAAAAGCAAGTAGAATCTAACAATGTAAACAAAGGATTATACACCAAGACAAAGAGGGATTTATCCCAGGTATGCAAAGCTGGTTTAATATTCAAAACTTATTTAGGTATATAAATTATCACACCAACAGGCTAAAGAAGAAAAATCACATGATTATATCAATAGATGCAGAAATCACATTTGACGAAGTACAACACCCATGGTAAAAAACTCTCAGTAAACTAGTACTAGAGGGGAACTTCCTCAACTTGATAAAGAACATCAGCAAAAAACCTATAGCTAACATTATACTTAATGGTGAGAAACAGCTTTCCTGCTAAGATCAGGAACAAAGCAAGGATGTCTCCTTTCACCACTCTTTTTTCAACATTGTGCCAGAGTCTTAGCTAATGTGATAACACAAGCAAGGGAAATGAAAGGTATACAGATTGGAAAGGAGAAAAAAATATATTCTCTGTTTGCAGATGACATGTTTGTCTATATAGAAAATCTGAAAAGAATAAGCAAAAAATTTCTAGGCTGGACATACTGGTTCACACCTGTAATCCTAGCACTTTGGGAGGCCAAGATGGGTGGATCACTTGAGCCCAGGAGTTCAGAGACGAGCCTGGGCAACATGACAAAACCCTGTCTCTACCAAAAATACAAAAATTAGCTGGGCATGGTGGTGCATGCCTGTAATCCCAGCTACTTGGGAGGCTGAGGTGGGAGAATCGCATGAATCTAGGAGGTGGAGTCTGCAGTGAGCCTAGATCACACAACTGCACTCTGGCCTAGTTACAGAGCAAGGCTCTGTCTCAAAAAAAAAAAAAAAAGAAAGAAATTTAAAAATTAGAAAATCAATAATTATACTAAGGTTGCAGGATACAAGGTTAATATACAAAAGCCAGTCACTTTCCTAGATACCTACAAAGAACAAGTGGAACTTGAAATTAACACACAATACCATTCAGCTAGTATCATACCGAATGTGAAGAAACTGAAAGCCTTCCCTCAAAGATCTGGAACACAACACAGACACCCACTATTACCACTGTTGATTCAGCATAGGACTGGAAGTCCTAGCTAGAGTAATCAGACAAGAGAAAGAAATACAGGGCATCCAAATTGGAAAGGAAGATGTCAAATTATGCTTGTCTGCAGATGATATGATCTTGCATTTGAAAAAAAACCTAGATTCCATAAAAAACTATTAGAAATGATAAACTCAGTAAAGTTGCAGGATACAAAATCAACATAGAAAAATCAGTAGTATTTCTATATGCCAACAGTGAACAATGTGAGAAAGAAATTAAAAGAGTAATCCCATTTACAATAGCAACACGTAAGATAAAATACCCAGGAATTACCCAAATAAGTGAAAGACCTCAATAACGAAAACTATAAAACACTGATGAAATAAATTGAAGAGGACATCCAATAATGGAATGACATTCCAGGATCATGGATTGAAAGAATCAGTATTGTTAAAATGTCCATAATATTCAAAGCAACCTATAGATTCAATGCAATCCCTATCAAAATACCAATGACATTGTTCACATAAATAGAAAAAAAATCCTAAAATTTATATGGAACCCCAAAAGACCCAGTATAGCCAAAGCTATCCTAAGCCAAAAGAACAAAACTGGAGGAATCACATTACTTGACTTCAAATTATACTACAGAGCTATAGTAACTAAAGCAGCATGGTACTGGCATAATGATGGACACATAGACCCAGTGGAACAGAATAGAGAACCTAGAAACAAATCCACACACCTACAGTGAACTCATTTTCAACAAAGGTGCCAAGAACACACACTGGGGAAAAGATAGTCTCTTCAGTATATGGTGCTGAGAAAACTAGATTTCCATATGCAGAAGAATGAAACTAAATCCTAGACTTCTGTATCTTGCCATATGTAAAATCAAATCAAAAGTGTTTAAAGGCTTATGAAATTACTATAAGGAATCATTGGGGAAAATCTCCAGGACATTGGGCAAAAATTCCTTCCTTCCTTCCTTCTTTCCTTCCTTCCTTCCTTCCTTCCTTCCTTCCTTCTTTCCTTCTTTCTTTCTGACAGAGTCTTGATCTATCACCCAGGCTGGAGTGCAGTGGCGTATGTCTGCCCACTGCAACCTCCACCTCCTGGGTTCAAGCCTTTCTTGCATCTCAGCCTCCCAGATAGCTGGTATAACAGGTGTGTGCCACCATGCCCCACTAATTTTTGTATTTTTAGTAGAGGCAAGGTTTCACCATGTTGGCCAGACTAGTCTTGAACTCCTGGCCTCAAGCAATCCACCCCCCTAAGTGTCACAAAGGACTGGGATTATAGGTGTGAGCCACTACGCTTGGCCCAAAAATTTATTTAGCAATACCCCACAAACAGAGGCAGCCAAAGCAAAATTGGACTAATGGTAGCACATCAAGTTAAAAAGTTTCTACATAGCAAAGGAAACAATCAACAAACTGAAGAGACAGCCCACCAAATGGTGGAAAATATTTGCAAACTACCCATCTGACAAGAAACTAATAACCAGAATATATGAGTAGCTAAACGACTCTATAAGGAAAAAAATATAATAATCCTATCAAAAACTGGGCAAAAGATTTGAATGGACATTTCTCTGAAGAAGACATACAAATGGCAAACAGGCATATAAAAAGGTGCTCAACGTCATTGATCATCAGAGAAATACGAATTAAAACTACAATGAGATATCCTCTCACTGCAGTTAAAGTGGCTCATATCCAAAAGACAGGCAATAACAAATGCTGGTGAGGGTGTGGAGAAAAGGGAAACTTTGTACACTGTTGGTGGGAATGCAAATTAGTACAGCCACTATGGAGAACAGTTTGAAGGTTCCTCAGAAAACTAAAAATACAGCTACCTCATAATCCAGCAATCTCATTCACAGGTGTATACCCAAAAGAGAGGAAATCAGTATATCAAAGAGATATATGCACTACCGTGTTTGTTGTGGCACTGTTCATAAGAGCTAAGATTTGGAAGCAACCTAAGTGTCCACCAACAGATGAATGGATAAAGAAAATGTGGTACATACACACAATGGAGTACTATTCAGCTGTAAAATAGAATGAGATTCTATCATTTGCAACAACATGGCTGGAACTGGAGATCATTATGTTAAGTGAAATAAGCCAGGCATAGAAAGACAAGCATAGCATGTTCTCACTTATATATGTGAGCTAAACAAATTAAAGCAATTGAACTCATGATGATAGAGAGTAGAGGAATGGTTACCAGAGGCTGGGAAGGATAGTGGGGGTGAGGTGGGGATGGTTAATGGGTACAAAAAATAGTTAGAAAGAGGGAATAGGACCTAGTATTTGATAACACAACAGGATGAATATAGTTAATAAAAACTTGCTTGTACATTTAAAAATAACTAAAAGAGTGTAATTGGATTGTTTGTAATACAAAGGGATATGCCTGAGGGGATGGATATCCCATTCTCCATGATGTGATTATTTCATTGCATGCCTGTATCAAAGCATCTCATGTACCTCATATATATATATAAAATATGAGATACATATATGATATATATATTATGTACCCAGAAAAACTTTTAATAAGAATATATCAGAAAAAAATCACAATGCCATTTACATTAACACCCCCTAAATTGAAATATTTAGGTATAAACCTAACAAAATATGTATAAGATCTATATAAGGAAAACTACAAAATTCTGGTGAAAGAAATCAAAGAGGAACTCAGTAATGGACAGATACTCCTTGTTCATGCACAGGAAGACTCATATTGTCAAGATGTCAGTTCTTCCAATTTCATCTATGCATCAAATATAATCCCAATCAAAATCTTAGCAAGGTATTTTCTGGATATTGAAAACTAACTTTAAAGTTTATTCAAAGAGGCAGAAGAGCCACAATAGTCAACACCATATTGAAGGAGAAGAACAAAGTTGGAGGGCTGATGCTACCTGGCTTCAAGACTTGCTATAAAACGATCATAATCATGACAGTGTGGATTGGTGAAAGAATAGACAAGTAGATAAATGGAACAGAGAGCCTAGAAATAGATCCCCATAAAATACAGTCAGCTCATCTTTGTGAAAGGATCAAAGGCAAAACTGTAGAGCAAAATCAATCTTTTCAACAAAAGGTGCTGGAACAAATAGACATAGACACACAAACGCAAAAAAAAAATAGAAGAAGAAGAATCTAGACAAACACCATATACCCCTCATAGAAATTTACTCAAAATGGATTAAAAACCTAAATGCAAAATGCAAAACTATAAAAGTTCTACAAGATAACATAGGAGAAAATCTAGATTATCATGGGACAGTGATGACTTTTAAAATACATCATCAACGGTGCAATTCATGAATGAAAATATTTGATAAGCTGGACTTCATTAAAGTTAAAGACTTCTGCTCTGTGGAACACACTTCCAAGAGAATAAGAAGACATTAAGTGTCAATAAACCTTTTTAAAAGGAAATAAATACATGCACTAAACAATACATTTTTTTAAAATTGAGATGGAGTCTCTCTCTGTAGCCCAGGATGGAGTGCAGTGGCACAATCTCAGCTCACTGCAACCTCTGCCTCCCAGGTTTAAGGGATTCTCCTGCCTCAGCCTCCCGAATAGTTGGGACTACAGGTATGTGCCACCACACCCGGCTCATTTTTTATTTTTTTTGTATTTTTAGTAGAGACAGGGTTTTGCCATGTTGGCCAGGCTGTTCTCGAACTCCTGACCTCAGGTGATCTGCCCGCCTCGGCCTCCCAAAGTGCTGAAATTACAGGGGTAAGCCACCATGTCCAGCCAACAATGAATTCTTTTAAGGACTGTTATCTAAAATGTATAAAGAACTCTTTAAACTCAACAATAAGCAAATGAATAACCCAATTAAAAATGGGCAAAAGACCAGAATAGACAACTCACCAATGAAGACATACAAATGGCAAAGAAGCATATGAAAAGATGCTCAACATCATATGCTATTAGGGAACTGCAAATTAAAACAATGAGATAGCACTACACACCTATCAAAATGGCCCAGATCCAAACCCTTACAACCCCAAATGCTGGTGATGATGTGGAGCAACAGGAACTCTCATTCACTATTGGTGGGAATGCAAAGTGGTGCAGACACTTTAGAAGAAACTGGAAAACTAAGTATGCTCTTACCATGTAATCCAGCAACTGCAAGTCCATTCTGTTTATCCAAATGGGTTGAAAATGTACATCCACACAAAGAACTGCACATGGATGTTTTTAGCAGCTTTATTCCAAATTTCCAAAACTTGTAAGCTATCAAGATGTCTTTGAGTAAGTGAGTGGACAAACTGTGGTACATCCAGACAATGGAATATTATTCAGCACTAAAAAGAAATGAGCTTTTAAGCCATGAAAAGACAAGAAGGAACCTTAAATGCATATTATTCAATTGGAGGCCACCCCCAATGCCTTCACCAGCTCCCAAATGCCTCTCGCCTCTGCACCTTCGAGCCTTTGCCCAGGCGTCCCCTCTGCCTGGATGTCCTTCCCTTCTTTGCCCAGCACACTCCCACCAAAACAGCCCCCCAAGGCAGGATGCAGCTCATGGTCCCAGTGGTGGACGGCTGTTCCGAGCTTACCTAAGGGTTTCCCTTGCTGCCTGCAGCCTCCTCTTGGGGAAGGAGCATGTCTTGTCTCTCCTGTCCACCCACTTCCCAATGCACGGTTCCTGGCATGCAGTGGGGTCGGGACACGCGTTCTGAGCACTTCAGAGGGCTGGCGAGGCACAGTGTCCCTGAATGTCCTCAGAGTCTGGGTCTGGCCCAGCCACATTCTTGAGGATGGGAAGCTGGAGAGGTAGAAATGTCTGGACTGAAAGCCCAGCTGGTCACATAGAAGCTGTTGTACTGGACACTTCACCTAATGCCTCCAAGCCTCACCTTAACATGGGAGCTCAGCTCCTCCTCTGCAGCCTGTGGTAGTGAGCAGGTGAGGTCGTGTATGTGAAGACTTAGAGCAGATGTACCTTGGACATAGGACATGCTCAACTTCTTCTTCCTGTTAATCCTTCCTTTACACCTGAGGGACACTGGCCAGGCCAACCAGTGTCCTCTGTTTTCTCATGATCAATGGGAATAAGAGCCCTACCACTGCCCAGCCCCTAAGGGGTGGTGAGGGTGCAGACGGTTCATGATGACAGTTGCTGGGAGCTACAGGAGAAGTGAGGAGGGCTGGTGGGCCTGTGGCAACTTCCCACAGCTCACAGGAGGGCTGGAGCTGACCTGGCCGCTCCGCTCTGCTGCAGAAACAACAGCTGCTGCTCCCTGGGCTCTGGGATGTGTCTGCAGTAGCCTGGGGACACCAGAGCCCCAACCCAGTGGAGCCCCTGCCCTGCCGTTCTGTGTTCTCCAGTGCAAGCCCCGAGCTGGTGTGCATCTCTCTTGCTTTAGGGATATAAAACTCTTTCATTTCCAAAATAAAGAGAACAAAGCCTCCTCATGGCAACAATTATGCAGTCATAAGAGGAGACTTAATGGGCCCTCATTAAGAGTTGCGCTCAGGGAATGACAGCTCTGACAGCTGCCAGTACTGACTGTCGTAGAGTCATGGCGCTGTTCCCTGAGGGAGCATCACCCCTTCCCCTGAGCTGCAGCTGCTCCTCCGGGAATGGGGCTCACAGGAAAAAAGACCCAAGAGCAGACCTCTGGAGCCGCCAGAGCCAGTCTGGTCTCTCAGAGCGGCCTCGGATGGTGTGTGGCCACATTTGTGGCACTTGCTGTCTGATCAGAGAAGCAATGAACATATGCCAGGCCTGGATCTCACAGGCATCTAGGCTGGTCTGACAAATCCTTGGCCACATCTGACCACATCTGTGCCTGTCATGCTGCATTTGTTCCTACTGAGCCAAGGCCGTATCAGAATTCTTCAAATAGCCCTCCAGACAGCCAGGCTAGGGTGGCCAGGGAGTGGTGACTGGCTCTACATTCCCCATAGAGTCCATTTCGCCTCATCCCTGGATGGATGTCACCCTGGGACCCAGAAAGGGGTGTGACCTGAGGAACAGCCACTGCCAGATCCCGGTGTCCTCGCACCCTGGCATGGTTGGGTCTGTTTCCACACCTCACTTGTCCATGGGGAGAAAGCAGTGATTCAGGCCTGGATGAGGGACATGGACAGACACTCAGGATCTTCCTCCTGAGCCCTGTTTCCTCTTGCTCAGGAGAGGAGTTTGAATTGCTCCCTTATTCCCCCAAAAGTCCATGTAAGCCCATGCCACTGCCAGCTGGAGCTCCAGGTTCATGATTCAGGAAAGCCAGAGCACCATACGCCCCTTTATTCCTGTCCCAGCTGTGTCTCTCCTGGTTGAACTGTGCCTCGAAAGCATAAGGATTCAACCATTTTAGTCCCATGGATGGAAGCCGGCCCCTCTGCATAGAGTGGCACGGGGCAAGAGTTTGAACACTCCTAGGAGTATGGCACAGGTCACCTGTGGGGTGAAGACATAAGTGTGTTTGCAAGTGGGTGGGTGGCTGGGAACTGGAGGATTTGGCTGAGCCAAAGATGGGCTGGGTTTGCCCATCTTAGGGTTGTTGGCCTGGAGCTCAATTGCTCTGTGATGGAGGAAGGTGACTCTGGAGCTCTCCCAGGCAAGGAGAGGGGCAGAGGGACAGAGAGAAGAAAGGGATGTGGGAAAGACAACACACAACCCCTTCCGTGAGGCTCTCTGGATCTTCAGTCATGCAGTCGGAACTCTGGGAGATGTCCCCTGAGCCCGGGAAGCAGGATAGGTCAGGAGAAGGCCCTAAGGAAAGGCTTTGGATACTACCTGTGGCCACACTCTCCTACAGGCCAAGGAGAGACAGACAGAGAGGGGCTCTGGGCAGCCAGTGGCACTGAGCTCTCAGGGTCGAGGTCTGGGGCAATATCCAGGCCACACTTTCATTCTGTAATGGCCACATAATAGAGTGCAGAGTGCTGGCTAAAGAGTGGGTAGCTTCCCTGGTTCAAGGCCAGCCTCTGGCAGCTGCCACTTTTTTTTTAATTGAGCAGTGGCCAACCTGCACAACAGGCCCCTTACCACATGCCAACACTGGGTACAGCCTGTGTTGTAGGGGTCTTGGGAACTTGAATGTTGAATGCACCCCTTTGCTCTATCTCTCACTGGGGACCCCTTATTGGGCTGTCGTGGTTTGTGCTCCGTTCACTGGGCCAGCTCCTCCCTGCCCCCAGCCCAGGCTTGGCACTGCATCCGGAACTCAGATGGGGGACGGTAGCAGCTTTCAGGAAACTGCCCAGTGACAGGACTGGGCATCGTGCAGGGGGTGACTCATGTTCTAGTCTGCAGTTTTGACAGAATGCTTCTAAAAGTTTCGTGAGAAAAGGTGCAATAGAAGAAAGGATGTCTGCAAATGTCTTTAATGCATCCCCACATTTAGCCAAATGAGTGGCTGCCGTATTCAACGAGGTCTGAGCTGCAGACAGCTGTCTCTAGCGGGGCTGGTGGGTTGACCCCTTTGGCTTCCAGTTGCTAGGCAGCTCTCCTGACTTCGTGGATACCCCCCTCTCCTGTACTCACCACCTCTGCTGCAACATCCTGTCACTCAGGAACTCCAACAATCCAACCCCATCTCTACTAAAAACAAAAAACTAGCTGGGTGTGGTGGCAGACGCCTGCAATCCCAGCTACTTGGGAGGCTGAGTCAGCAGAATTGCCTGAACCTTGGAGGTGGAGGTTGCTGTGAGGTGAGATCGCGCCACTGCACTCTGGCCTGGGCAACAGCCTAAAACTCCATCTCAAAAAAGAAACTCCAGCAATCCTCACAAACAAACAAGATAACAGGCAAAGAACATGCTAACAAACGGCAGCTTTGATGACCAGGAAAGCACATGGAGCTCCCATTCCAGGAATGTAATTTAACTGGATGTGCCTCCTTGGGAAAAAAAGAACAAAAAAGAAACTCCTAGTAAGAAAAAAAGCCCGGCCCTGCTTCTGCCAAACTCAGCTCTGGCAGCAGCTGCTCCTGTTTGGAAAGACCTACATCCCAGGAATATAAATTTTTTATTGTGATTTTATTTTATTTGTTGATGCAGAGGGTTTTTATTTTATCTTTTGAACCAGTAGCAGCAGCGGGAGAGGGAGAAATGGGGGAGCTGCAAAGCTGGCTGGGGGTGTTCTCCCTCCTCTGCTGGGGGTGGAGATGACACCTGAGCCCCCTTCGCTGGGCTTGCTGGCCACGCAGGCTCCTGTCTCTGCCATGGCGTGGGGACTTGTGGTATTGGGAGGGAAAGAAGAAGTAAAGAGTGGGTGGGGGCAGAGGAGCAGGGGTGTCCAGGGGTGTTTGGCCCAGAGCAAACCCCTGGTGCTCCCACATTCCGGGTCCGTGTCATCTGCTAGGACAGGCACAGTGGGAGGGGTGTGCCCCCTGCCCATCCTTGGGGAGGTTCGAATGGACTAGATCCAGTCCAACCCCCCAGCTGCAGTGGAGGAAGCAGAGGCCAAGTCCCTGCGGAAGCTGCCCAGGACCCGCTGAGTGGCGATCTCAGGGTCAGACACCCTACATGCACCCAGGACTGAGGGTATGTGTGCTTCTCCTGTGCTGCCTGGGAAAGAAACAGGAAAGACCACGGGCGTCCACCCCCAGGGAAAAGGGTGAAGAAAGTGCGGGGCCCTGGCTGGGTCTCTCTGGGTGTGCAAGGAGAAGCCAAGGCGTCACAGGAACCCAGGAGGTGGGGAGGATGCAGAGCAGGACCTATTATTCCTATCATTAAGTATCGATTCTTCTTTATGAGAAAACAACAAATATCTGGTGCCTGAATATGAATATGAGTTTTAAAAGATCCAGAGGAGTACCCAAGAAATTGTTCATGATTATTAGGGAAAGGGAAACATTTTATCTTAGACATTTGGTATGGCTTGAAGTGTATTTTTTTCGGAGGGTGGCATGTATTATTTTTATTAAACGGTAGTAGCTGAAGTGGTTACCTCTAGAAACAGAGATTTGTTTTGTGGGAGGGTTAGGTGGTTAAGAGACATATTAGCACTGCCTGTAATACTTCAAGTTTTTCTAACAAAATGATATATTCTTGGACAATTTAAAAAATCTTTAAACTCTAATAAATAAACAAAAACAAAGCAACTCCTGGCTGCAGCCTGTGGCCTTTTCTCCCCTGCACACCCTGCCTGGGAGCTCAGGTCTTAGGAAGGCAAGCCCCTGCCTGCAGCTTGCCTTCCTAAAAGGCCTCACTGACTTCTCAGCATCTGTGTGCTGTGGCCAGGGCAGATCAGCACCTGGATCCCAGCTCCATGGGGCTCCAGGAAGGCTCAGAGGGCACAGCGCTTACTCAAACCTGCTGTCCGCTCTCAGAGGAGCAGGGTGGGAGCCCAGGAGCCTGGCCCAGCTCCCCAGCAATGTATGACACTCCTGGCACTGGTCCCGGCCCCCCAGACAGACAAAGCACCATCCTAGTCTCCAAAGTCCTCTAATCCCCGGTGGTTGTTTGCTTCCCAAAGGAGCCCTAGTGGACCCTGAGCCAGCAGTCCACACCTTTGCCCAGGGTGAGCTCCGACTCAGCTCTCTTGCTCCTTTCCCCTCACCCATGGCCCCTCTGGTTCCTGAGGCTGAGGGACATGGGCTTGTGAGGGGAGGGTTCTTGGGGGAGGCATCCCAGGCCCATTCCCGGTGCCAAACTCCCCTCCCTCTCCCCCCATTTCCCCATCCCCTCTGCTCCTCAGTGGCTGGCAGGTGGCATTGTTCAGCACCTGACAGCTCCCCACACTCCCACAGCTCCTGCCTCCTGCACTGTTGTGTCAATTTGGACAGCTGTCGTGCCAGCTCTGAAACACACCCAGTGTTTCCTACCCAATTCTGGAGGCCCCACTCTGCTCCAAGCAGCCTGGTGACCTTGGATGTCCTTTTTCCTGTCTGGGCCAGGGATCCCACCTGGGTTGAAGAGAGCAGGGACAGTGTGGTGCAGCAGGAGCCTATTCCCATACTGTGCACTCGCTGAGAGCTTGTTTCCCCTGGGACATGAGAGATGCACCACCTTCCTGCCCAGCTGGGCAAGAACATCAGGAGAGCCAAGGGTTACAGGAGGCCTGGAGGAAGCAGTGTTTTCAGTAATGCAATATGCAGCATTGACCAGCACTGCAGCATACCAGGTGCAATGCTAGGGGATAACAGATCATGGAGAAAGGGCTGCGGCACACAAGAGCTCACAGTGCAGCAGAGTGGCCAGCAGACAAGTGGCTGGAGAATGATGTGAGAAATTCCACAGTGAAGACATTTGAAGGCAGCAAGACAGGGCTTTGAGTTCTGCCTAGGGGAGCTCAGAAGCCTTTGCAGAGGTGGGGGAATTTGAGTTGGGCTTTAAAGGATGACTAGGAGTTCACCAATTTGAGGAGACTAGAGGGGTCTGGCAGCAGCCAAAGCAAAGAGAAAGCAACACACTTTTCACCTAGAGAGGCATCAAAGGGCAGTGGTGGAAAATGAGGCTGGAAATACTCCCCAGATAGTGTTGAGCCTTTGTATTTGTGAGGGTGCTTTTGGCTGTCAGTAAACGAATTGTCCAATAAAGTGTATAAACATACATCATGTCTTACCGTGTGATATAGTTTGGATGGTCCCTCCAAATCTCATGTTGAGATGTAATCCTCTTGACTGCCAGAGCCTTGAATGTGAAGACACTTAGGCCACAGTGGGAGGGAGAACCATTAGGGCTCAGAGCCCAGGGTGTCTGGTTGAGAAGGAGGCACTGATGTCCTTGGTTGCTCCCAGCACCTCCCTTTGAGTCCTCACTCTGTTCCTAGGAAGCAGCAGCAAAGCTGTGTCTGAGCTGCAGCCCTTGAGGTTCAGGCTGAGGATGGATCAGCGATGCAGGCAGCAGGGCCAGAGCAACAGCCTCATGGATTCTGGCCTTTCCTGAGTCCCCAGGGAGAGGCCCCTGCACTGGCAGCACTTTGCAGCAGCCTGGAGGAGTAGAGCTGGCCTTGTGCTCTGTGGAGTGCCACGCGCAGGCCCTGAGCAGGTGTGCTGCACAGATGACCTCATCGAATCCTCAAAGTGACCACCTCCTAGAGTGGACACTATCACTACACCCACATCACAGACAAGGCAACTGAGGCCCAGCAAGGCTCCACACACAGCTGAAATTGCAAGCTGAGGGAAGAAAGGCAGGACTTCAGTATGCTCCTGCCCCCACCCTATGCTGCCTGGGAGGCTGGGGCTGTGGGGTGGGGGCTCCCTCCACCTCTGAGACCCCTTCCCTTGCCAGTAAGTGCTCTGGGCTTCCCACAGAGAGATAGGAGTGAGAAATCAACTTCCATGGTATTCAGGTGCTGTTACTCACAGCAGAAATGGATCCCAACAGACCTGAGCCCCTTACCCTTTGGAGTCCTGTAAGGTATGGCCAAGTGCTGTCACCACACCATCTCCCACAGGACCTGCCAACACCCACAGGATTCCCTGGGCTTCCTCATTGAGCAACTAAGAGGACCAAGGCCGGGCACTGTTCAGGTGGCCTGCCCAGAGCCAGATGCCATGGGGTGGTTCAGCCATGGGGCCCTCCACCCTCATTCAGCCTGTCTCCTTAAACGCTTAAATGGCAGCATTTGTAAACTGCTTATTTCTGAGTTCTCTGCAGACATGTTGAAGCAGAATCACTAGTGACGGGCCCAAGAACATGCATTTTTCCGCAGTCCTGAGTGAGGCTGAGGAGCAGGGCTTGCCTGAGGCAGAGAGGAGAAGTGAGCTTTCCAAGGCCACGCAGCCAGCTAGGGGCAGAGCTGAGGTCAGAGCCTAGATCAGACCAGATCCCAGGCCATGTTGGCTGGAGCTGAAGTGGGCATTGACTCCTGGGGCCCCCAGAGCTAGAGGTGGAGGGGCATGAAGGCCTAGGGGCGGTGGCTGGGCTTGGAGGGCTGCCCAGTTGGTGCATTCCAGGCCAGAGCCTGTTCATCCTGCCATGGGGCAGGGATTGCAAGGCCAACAGAGCACTTGCTGCTCCTCTGGGCAGCTGGGACAGCTTTGCCACACAGCACACACTCTTCCTCCTGCTGGGAATATCCAAACCCCACTCAGGAAGGTTCCTGCTCTTCAGAGGCTCCTAGTCTTGGCTTCTACTCTGGCCACTGGCTCCGCTCCTGGGCTCTAGGCTTCTGCTGCTGCTCCCAGGGACTGCCGGCACAGGAGGCTCTTAGTAGTTAGGGGGGAAAACACTAATTTGGGTGAAGAATACCCAGGCCGGACACCCGGCCCTGCTCTTTCCTTGCCAGGTGGCTTTGGACAAGTCATGCCCTTTCATGGACTTGGGGCTGTACCTCTGGATGGCCTGGGATTTGGACTGGATCATCCAGAGTTGAAGATGAGAGCTGGTGAGCTCTACTCCCCTTCTCCAGGTGAAGAATCTATTCATTCATTCAGTCATTTGACATTCAACAAATATGTATTCAACACTGACTTTCTGCCAACTTCTAGGCACTAGGTTACCACAGGGAACAAACCTAGAAGTAATCCTTCCCCCTTTAGAGCTGATGTTCCAGGAGACCCATGTGCACGGCGTGACATCATTAAGCATTCTGAGATTAGATGGATGGATGTGTGGATGGATGAACAGATGAATGGATGAATGGATGGATGGCTGAATGGATGGATAGATGGGTGGATGGATAGATGGATAGATGGGTGGATGGATGGATAGATGGGTGGATGGATGGATGGATAGATGGGTGGATGGATGGATAGATGGACAGATGAATGGATGGACGGATAGATGGACAGATGAATGGATGGATGGATGGATGGTTGGATGGATGAATGGATGGATGGATGGATAGATGGGTGGATGGATGGATAGATGGACAGACAGATGAATGAATGGATGGATGGAGGAATGGATAGATAGGTGGGTGGATGCATAGATGGATAGACAGATGAAAGATGGATGGATGAATGGATGGATGATAGATAGATGGATGGACCGATGAATAAATGGATGAAGGAATGGATAGATAGCTAGGTGGATGGATGCGTAGATGGATAGACATATAAATGAATGGATGGATGGCAGATGGATGGATGGATGGCAGATGGATGGGTGGATGGTAGATGGATGGATGGATGGATGGATAGATGGACAGAGAAATGAGTGAATGAATGGATCAATGGATGGATGGATAGACAGATAGATGGATAGACAGATGAATGAATGGATGGAGGAATGGATAGATGGTGGATGGATGCTTAGATGGATAGGCAGATGAATGGATTGATGGGTGGACAGATGGATGGATGGATAGATGGAAAGATATGAGTGAATGGATGAATGAGTAGATGGATGCTAGATGGATAGATGGATGGACAGAAGAATGGATGGATTGGTGGATAGATGGACGGGTGGCTAGATGGACAGACAGATGAGTGAATGGAAGAATGGATGGATGGTAGATGGATAGATGGATGGACAGATGAATGAATGGATGGATGGATGTGTAGATAGGTGGATAGATGGACAGACAGATGAACCAATGGATGGATGGCTGGATGACCAGAGGAAGAAGCCTGCGCCCCAGCTCCCCTCCCTGCAGCTGCATTTCCATCTCAGGACAGAGCTGACTGGTTGGGTCTCCCAGATAGAAAGTGATGGGTCTTCTGGATAGAAAGGCAGTGGCCTGGCTGAGGCAGGGCTGGGGATGATAGTAGTTGGGCTCTGGGGAGACTTTGGTGATAGATGGGCTCGATGTCAGGGAAGGTGGCCTGGGAGGAGGTGGTAGGGGATGGGCTGAGTGTTATGGGCACAGGGGACAGAGTTCAACCATGTGAGCCTGACTCTCTTCTGCCTCCATCCAGGTGGGAGACTCTCTTTGGGTTTGAAAAGTCCCAGTCTGAAATGTGCTGTTTCCCCTGTGCCCTGCCAGGGCCCAGTGTGTTGCGTTCTGGGGACACTGGGTATTGGTGAGAATGAATCAGGGAGCCATAGTCAGGGGGCTCAGTGCAGGGCAGGGGTGAAAGGAGAACTGCAAGCAAGGGGGCCTGGGAGTAGGGCATTTATTCGCTATTTGTGGGGGCCATCTCAGAGGGGGTTCCTGGGGGCTGGGGTGGCCTGCTATAGTGCTCAGTCCTCTCAGCAAGTCTGCAGCAAGAAGCTGCTGGAAGCTGTAATATTCACAGCTGCAGGATGGGCAATCAGCTCTGCTCCCATCTATAGGCCTAGATGTGAGGGCAGAGGAGCACTCAGCCTGCCGAAGGTCTGCTCAGCTGGGCAGCAGCGGGCAAGATTGGAATTCACTCATCATGCAGCTACTGGGTGCCTGGCTACTGCTGGGAAGCAAGCTGAGGGCAAAGACTGCCCCATGGGGGCAAGAGTGGGGCCCAGGCACCCAGGGTACATTGCTGGGTACAGATAACCGTGGTTCAAGGAATGAGCTCCCTTCCCACCCGCCCCTCCCCAGCTGTCCCTGAGTCACAGGCACCCTTCCCTTTCACTGTCAGGGAGGCTCTGGAGCTGCTTCCTATCCCCCACTGTCCTGTGAGTCACCTCCCCACCCTCCACGTCCCTCCCACATGGTGCAATCAGCATTCCCGCCTCTCTGCCCACGTAAGTGCTGTCAAAAGGCAGAGGCAATGGGTGGTGGGTGGTCAGGCGGGCAGTGCCTCTCACCTCCCAGTTCGTCTGTCTTCTGTCAAGTGGGGCTGCGGCAGGGCTGAGAAGACTGTGTTCAAAGCATCCGGAAGGCCTTGGGTTGTCAAGGGCCCCAGGCAGCACATGAAGCTTTGAAAGGTGCCCCTGCCTTGTGCCTGGGCAGGCTCCTTCCCTGCTCTGGGACCCCATCTTGAGCAGACTCTGGAACCCACATTTCCACCATTAAAGTGCATTCCTCCAGCCACTCTGGGTCTCTATTAGAGCCCCTTTGAGATGAAGAGACCTGGGTGGGGAGCATGCGGGGCAGGGGCCCATCTTCAGTGCTCTGGCATGGGTTCATTCCTCAGGCTGCTCCTGCAGCCACCCCTAGCTGAGGACAATGCCCAGATCCACAGTGGCCTGAGAAGTGCTCCCAGCAGAGTGAGCAGAGCTGGGCTTCGGTGCTGTCTGCCTTCTGTCCTGCTGCAAGGCTAATCACCTTCTGTTTCTGGGCCTTGAATCCCTTTTACAGCATGGGGGCTGGATGCTCTTTGAGCTTCCTCCTGGCTTCAATCCTGAATACCGACACCTACTTGTTTGCAGTTGTGTGACTTGGTCAAATCGTGTAACCTCTTGAGCCTCAATTTTATTCTGTGTGAATGAAACAGACAGTGAAAGCCCTGAAGATTAGATTTTTAGATTTTTGATAGAAGAATTGTAACAGCAGTGACCCCATAGCCCTTTACCATTTGCAAGGTGCTTCAGACAAAATATCTCGCTGGTCCCTCCCAACAATTCCGCCACAAAAGGTGGTATTACTTTCATCCCCAGCTTACAGTTTGAGGAACGAAGGCCCAGCTATGGGGGCAGGTGCAGAGGTGGGCCTCGCTTCCCGGTCTCAGTCTCTGGATGAAGGGCAAGATCCCTGCAGCTAAGGACGAGGGAGTGGTGGCACAGAAGGTCCGGCCTGCTGGTCTTTCTTTCCCAGCCTGGGGCATCTCTGTGAAGGCCGATGAGTGGCGGCCCCTCCCCAGGTGCTGGTGCCAGGCAGCGGGGAGCTGCTTCTGACAGCTGTGCAGACAATCATCACTTCTCCATCGCTGCTAATAGCAAGGTTAGCTTGCCGACTCCTCTGTTTGCCGGGTGCCTCCCACGGACCCAGAGCTTGGAGTTTCTTCATTGCCTGGGGTGGGGCAGGGTGGCAGAGGGGCATCTCTGCTCCCTGGCCCTGGCTGCAGCCAGCAGCTCCACCCAGGGCCCTGAACTTGGGAGGCGACTGCAGTTCCATGCCTTGGCTCCCAGCACCCCAGGGAAGTACATCTGGGCTCTGGAACAGCAGAAACGGCCTCCTGCAAATCTCCTACCCGACACAGGACCAAGTGTGGGAATGCTCTGGTCCAAGGGGCTTTCTCCAACTCTCTGGACCACAGGGAGCCGGCAGGATGGGGGACAGTCCACCTTCAGATTACACCTTTACCTCTGACTCAGACCCCTTTGCCTCCCAGGCCACCATACGACGTCTCCTGCTTGCAGATCTGGCCATGCTGGAGGCAAAATGGATCCCCAGCCCCTCAGTTGTGACCCTTCCTAGCTTGTTAAGTTAGTAGAAAACTCAGCTCACAATCTCGGGGACTGCTCCTCCCCTGGTTCATCCACAAACCCCAAAGGTTCATGGGATTCCTAAAAGCAGCCTGACAAATTTCCCTCCTGTGGGGAGAAGACCCTGTGGTCTGGCAGGACCCACTGCCCTTGGCTAGGTGCCCCTTGCTTTGATCCTGGGTCTGGCTCCTGCCTTAGGAGCCTGCAGACCTCTGTGGGGCCACTCCCTGGTGACCCACCCAGCCCAGGAAGGATGGACCCCGCAGTGGACAACACTCGGTTCTGTCCATCTCCCTGCCTTGGGGAAGTACTTGCTTGTAGTTTTAATTTACCTTTGACCCTATGGTGCACTTCTGGAATGTTCCCTCCATGAGGGTGGGGACTTGGTCTTGTTCACGGGGATCTCTCTGGCACCTGGAGCAGCTGCGTAGCCCAGGGTGCTCAGTCATCGTCTGCTGCCCGAACAGATATGTGCAAGTTTGTCTTCTCACTGCTGTTAACATTATTGTATGAGTAATTTTACAAGTTTACCATTTTTCTTGTAAGTATAATAAATATCCCACCTTATTGACCCACAGTTCCCCCTCCCAAAACTTGCAAAGTATTTTGGCTGACTTGACTTGTTTACTATGATAAATAATGTTGCTATAAACAGCTGTGCACATATAGCTATTTTTCCCTTTGCAATTATGTTTTTGGGAGGAATTCCAAACAGTGGGGTTAGCGGGTCAAAGGGCATGGCGTATTTATGGTCCTGGATGTGCTGGGACTGCCGAATTCTCAGCCCCCAGGCCACCCCTGTTTTCCCTGAGGTCTAGCTCTGGGTGAACACCCACAAAAGTGTCTGTCTGCCCGAGGCTACCCTGGCCTCTGTCTGGCTCCTGCGGTCATGGAGCAGACCTCATGGCGCGGGAGCTGAAGGTGGCCATGGGAGTTTGAGGAGGGGAAGAGGAGGCAGCTGTGGGAGTTGTGGAGATGGCTTCACGGAGCCAGGAGCCCTGTTCCGGGAGGGCAGTAGGACCCCTCTTCTCCCAGAGCCCTGGCCTTCTCTTGGATGGCTCTCCTGTCCTGGAGCCATCCCACCCCCTGCAGCTAAGCTTCCACCCCCAGTCTCTGAGAGGGGGCAGTGCCCCCTGTAGGCAGGTGTCTTTGGGAGAAGGGAGGGGACCCAGTGCCTCAGCCTACTCCGGACTTTCTCCTGTGGGCCCTGACGTGGTGTCATGTGGGGGAGAAGTGCCGTGGAAGCTAGCTGCTGAGCAAAAGGTCTTTATCACTGCAGAAAATGTGCCTGAGATTTGCCCGCCTTCTGCCTCCATCCACTGGCTCTGCCCCTCCTCTGCTGCTGGAGCCCCCTTTCCCCACCATTAGCCCCAGACCTGCAGGCCTGGATGGTTGAAGGGGAGGGGTCCACACTGGCCCCTCATGGGATCTTCCGGAACCTGGCTCCTACTGGAGGGCAGGGTATCCAGGGTGGCCCCTCCCTAAGTAAATCTTCCCATCCTGGGAAGACCTATTCTCTGTCTGGCGATGCCTGCATTTTATGGGGACCCCAAGGCTTTCCCCTGCCATGGGGTAGTGTCTTGGAGGTGGGGCCTGCTGTCTGTAAGGGCTGGTGAGCCCCGGCCCAAGCAGGGCTAGGCAGTGCCCTGTGGCTCAGGCCTCAGTGGCATGGGCGTAGCCCGTGCTGGGAGGGAGGAATGAGACTCCCTGTGTCCCAAGGCTCTCCCTTGGAGCAGGCTCTCTCTGCTCTCTCTGTACCTCTTGCCCTATCCTTTCTGGCTGCAGGTCCCTAGTGGCAGGAAATTCTGGGAAGCAGTGCAGAAAGAGCACTGGACTTGGGCGTTCTCATCCAGTCTCTGTTACCAATGGGCTGTGGGATCCAGCCCCTACCTCAGTCCTCAGCCGGACATTTGCCTGTGGCCTTGTGCAGCACCTGCGGCCTTGGCAGGGTGGCTGAGGGTGGCTGAAACCCAGGTTGTGGGAGGATCTGGAAGGAGCCTGGCTCCTGTCTCCCCATGTCCATGTCAGCTCTTGGCCTGACACCAGGAGACCCTCAGGGTTGGGGGTGTCACCCCCCCTTCCTGCAGCCTCCGCATCCTCCTCCCATGCCCCACTCTGCTTTTCTGCTGGCTGGTGCAGGAGACAATGGCTGTGGGGCATGTGGGTGCACGTAGGGGGGGCCTGCGTGGCTTGTGTGATTTCCCCAGACAGGCAGGCGTGAGAGGGAGAGGAAATTATTCTGTCTAAAATCTCAGAGATGAGTCCTTGAGAGCTGGCAGAGTGACTGCTTCCCGTCTGGGTGGGGAGGCAGGAGACAGGGTGGGCCGTTCCCAGGGGCAAGAGCAAGGCAGGGGAGGGCCAGTCCTCAGGGAGAATCCCAAGAAGGCCACAGCAGCACAAAGATAAGCCCTCATATTTCCCACGTGTCACCTGGACAAAGAGCCGTGATGCCCCCCATAACAGCCGGTCCTCACGAGAATCCAGAGAGCTCGCTAGGGAGGCAGACATTATGATAACCCAGTTTACAGATGAGGAAACGGAGGCTCTGGAGGGGTTCATTGACCTGCCTAGGTCACAGAGCCAGCCCGTTAGCGACAGAGCCAGAGCTCGAAACCCAGATCCCGAGGCACATCTTCCTCCAAAATGACCACAGAGAGGTGATGTCTCTGAAAGCAAAGCCAGGGACAGCCACCAAGGCAGACAGGGGCCGCAGTTTTGTTCAGGCAGAAAATGCCAAAGGTGCCACACTCCCACCTCACCCCCACCCGGCCTTCACCCTCAAAAGTGCATCTTTCCTGCTGGAGGAGGGGAAGGGTTGAGCTGGGAAGACATCTTCCCTCCTGTGACTCTGAGGCCCAGAGGCTGGGCTCGGCAACTCTCTGGGATTCACAGGGCGCCTCCTGCGGGACTTCTACATCTCTGCCATGACAATGTTTATCTATTTATTGCCACAGAAAAGGAGCCAGATAGCAACAGCTAGAAACTGAACCCTCCATGGACTCTCCCTCCTTCCCTGGCAGCATTCACCTGCACAGTGGGAAGTCCTGCAGTGATGGGCCAGGTGAAATGGAGTGGGCAGGGGCTCTTGGTGAGGTGTCATTATGGTAGTCATCCGGGCTGTTCACAGATGTTCAAGTCTCCTTTACGCCAGGCCCACGGTAGGAGTTGACTTCTCCATCCTTCAATTCAAGTATGGCCATGTGAGTTGCTCTTACCAACAAAATGTGGGTGGAAGTGGGTGGAATGTCACTTTCAGACAGAAGCCTTAGGAGCCCACATGTGGGCCAGCATGTTCTCTTTCCCTGTCTCTGAGATCCTGGACACACCTGTTGAGATGAAACTCTGTCAGACTGGGTCACCCAGTGACTGTGATGCCCAGAGCCCTCCTGCTGACTCAGTGGACATACTGCATGTCAGAAATAAACTTCGCTATTTTCATTCATTGAAATAGTGGGCTACTTGTTACCTACATAACCCAGCCTATCAGACTCGATGCAGTCACCAAGCTAGCCAGTAAGATCCCTGCCCAGGACTTTAGAAATAGGACCTGCAACTCTCTAGAGGGCTGGGCCCATAAGGTGTAAACCTGGCTGCTGTGTTTTGCACTGTGGGATTGTGGAAGCAGAGAGATCATTTTTCAAAGACAGAGAAGGAAGTGTTCTGCGCGTGTCTGATTGAAGAGACGCCCTGAACAGGCTAAGTGTGAGCAACAAGGCTGTTTATCCACTGAGATGCAAGTGGGCTGAGTCCGAAAAGAAAGTCAGTGGAGGGTTGTGGGAGTGGAGTTAGTTTTATAGGCTTGGAGTAGGTAGTGGAAAGTTACAGTTAGGGGCAGTTTTTTCGGGCAGGGGAAGAATTTCACAAGGTGCATAGTCACGAGGTGGGGGAGGTCACAAGGCACAATATCACAAGGTGGATGGATTAGTTGGGGCAGGAACATATCACAATGGTGCAATGCTGCAAGGTCAGTTCATCAGTTAAGGCAGGAACTAGCTGTTTCTTCTTCTTTAGTGGTTCTCCTAGTGCTCCAGGCTTTGTGACTCCAGGAGGCCTGTACGTGTGGGTCACAGGGGTCATAATGGCTTGACCATGGTGCAGCCCATTCAGAGGACCTTACAGGAAGCAGGCACACAGTAAGGAGACGTGCAGAGCCCTCCCCAGGATTCTCTCCGCTGCCTAAGGTCTGGATGCATAAAAATCCTTGTGTCCCGGGAAACTCTTCCCCTTTTCTTAGACAAGCTTGGGTTGGTTTAGGTTGCACTCAACCACGCGTCCTAATCCAGAGTAAAAGGGGACATGGGAGAAGCCTCCTTCTTACAGATGAGGCACTGAGGCTCAGAGTGGCCAGGCGCCTTGTTCAAGATCATAGGGCCTTTGAGGACTAATGCTCGCCTGCTCCCTTTCTAGTGAAATAATCCAAACAGTAAAGATCCATTGTGAGTCCTCCCTCTCCCTCTCCTCTCCTACTCTCCAGAAGTAGCCACTCTTAGTAAGAGTTTGATGGGGTTTGTATCAGACCTTTTAAAAAAGGTGTTTATCAACATATATGTATACAATATTCATACAGTTATATTGGAAAATGGGATATTGACCTCATTTTTCTGAAATTCACTTTTTTTCACTCTTCAGATTGTCAATATTGCCAAATTCTAACTGTGCCTGGTGAATCTGGTGATGTATCTGGGAGGGAAGTGGTGATTAAGGTCGGGGCCACCTTGAGACCTCGTGTGTCCAGCCTCAAAGGACTGAGGTCAGAAAATCCTCCGGGCAGGGCTGAGACTTAGAGTCAGGGTGGAGCCTTCCAGGAAGTGGTGCAGCCCCTCTGGGTGGCCGGCCCCTCTGGCTAGCTCTGACCTGGAGGAGTTCAGCCTTTGGTTTCAGTAAAATCTGCTACCCTGTGGAATCCTCCCACTGGCCTGTTATCTCCCCCTTAATTTCTGGGGCAAATTGCATTAAATGCTTTCCTTCCTCCCACAGTGGGCCAGGCAGGAGAGAGGCTGTTAGCTGCAGGCTAGGGAGTGTAGCCCCGGATTCTCACCTGGCAACCCCAGTAATGAGCACTGCAGAGACAGCCACAGACACCCTTATTGACCAGGAAGAAGTCAGGAGCCCAAAGGCAGAGAACCAAGGGCTGTGGGCCTGGAGAGAACCCAGGGAAGCCTAGACAGCCAGAGGCAGGCAGGCAATTAAAGGAGGGGATGGAGTTTTCAATTAACAGCTCTTCTGCTAGAAGCAGGTAATTAGCGGATTAGCAAGGCTGTTAGCAAGGCTGCTTGCTGCCAGTGAGGAACCTGGCAGGTGCTGCCTTGGAGAAGGAGGACCAGACTCCAGATTCCACAGGAAGGAAAGGACTCTTCGGAGGCAGGATCCTGAGGGCAGCTGAGAGTCATGGGACTCAGCAGGGACACAGTGAGCAGGCTGGAAGGGCGGGAGGCAGGCCAGAGGGGATGGGGCAGTATAATCCCACTGTCCCCTGGCCTCGCAGGGTCCCTGGTTTGCAGAGCCCTCCTTGCCTGGGATGGGCTAAGGAGGCAGTGTATGAGAATATCTGGGGGTCATGGTGTTGACACCCCTGGAATTGGCACATTACTACACAGCTCACACGTTTTCACAGTGGTTTAGGGGGGAAGCTGCATAAGGCGGGGCTGACAGCAAGGACTTTGACATTAGACACGCTTCAGTTAAGCCTCGCTCCCACTTCCCAATCTAGGGGACTAGGGGATCCTCAGACAGCCCAGATGTTCCTCAGACTACTCAGCACCTTTCTAGTTAGGCAGGATCATGCCAAATTCTAAAGAAGCCAGTACGCACCTCCATCTGTGTCTTCCCCTGCCAGGAAGTTGGCAGAGGCCACTGTTCCAGACAGCAGAGCCTCAATCAGCCTGAATCCCTGAGCGACCTGCATGGAGCAGATTCCCTCGCCAGCCCCCATGAGTGGGAGTGAGAGGTAAACTACTGCGTTAAGTTATGAGATGTTTAGAGCTGTGTGTTACAGCAGCATAACCAAGCCTACCCTGACTATTACACAGGGTCAACCTCACCTTTGTAAAATGGGTAAGAATGATACCACCTGGAATGATTATTGTGAGGTTGAGTGAGAGGATATATGACTTGGCTGAAGGGTACACTTAGCTCCTGGACCCCACACCCTCTCCAAAAGCAAGGAATGTTGCCATGGACCAAGAGCCAAGCCCAGGGACATTTGATTGGCCACTTCTAGCAGAAGAACTCCTGTAATGCTTAGCAAAGTGTTAAAGGTTGAACACACAGGGGAGGGGCCTGACCTGTAATGCTTAGCAAAGTGTTTAAGGGTTGAGCACACATGGGGAGAGGATGGTGGAGGCCTGGGCTGTGCCCTCTGGAAAGGCTTGGCCAGCTCCCTCTCTCTGGCTTCTCCAGTTCTCTTTTGTCCCCAGTATGGGGAGAGAGGCTGGGGGCTGCTACCCCAAGTCTTGCTGGCTGGAGCCATGAGCATTGCTTGTGGTGGTGCTGGGCTCTGGGAGGGCTTCCCTTGGTTCTTGAAGGCCCCATGCCATAAGTGACTCTTGTGACCCCATTAGCAGCACAACTTTCCCTCTGCCCCCTCTGTCCCATAGCAGCCTCCAGCTTTGCCTCCTGTCCTGCCACACCTGGATCCTACCATCTTTCCGTCATAAGCCTCCAGCCTGTCCCCTGAGCTGGCCCCACTTCCCTCCATTTGGGAGAAGCCGTGGAAGCTGCTGACTGTTCTCCCCTCATTTTTCAGCCTGTTCCCCACTGTTCATGTTTGGTCTACAACATCAAACCCATTTCTTTTTCAGCTGATCTCATTTCTCCTGGAGTTTCTGATGCTCCGAGTCCAAAGCCTGAACAACCGTATTCTTTTCACTCTCCAAATACGAAGCCCTCTCACCCTGGCTCGGTGGTTGGCTCCCTGCTCTGAGCCAGCTCACCTGATCCTTTAGAGGAAGAATGTCCCAAGCACAGGCTTTAAAAATGTCCTTCCTAGCTTGTGCATATTCTATTTGCACTTCCCCACTCACTCAAGAAGATGCCATTTCCCCCACAAAGCTGGGAGCCTTAATGCCCTTCTCCAGCACCCATCCTGCCCACCATGGCTGAGGTCACAGCTCTGGGCTTTGAAATGCACAAACACAATCAGAGGTCAACTCCTGTCATTTGAGGATCCCTGATTAGAAAAGAGCTTGATATACAAGCAGGGTATGTATGGAAATAAAAAAATTAGAAAAAAGAGAAATAAAACTGGACACACAGATCGGCAGGGGTTAGCGGTCTCCTTGTCACTGTCACAAACAAACCCCTGTTCTGGTTCATGCCAGCCACTGCCACCCTTACAACCAAAAGTACAGTCACTAGGCCTGTGCTGTCCAGGGCAGCAGCCACTAACCATGTGTGCCTGATGAGCACTGAAAAGGAGCTCAGAAATGTTGAGATGTGCTGTGTGTAAAATATACACTGAATTCTAAAACTGGGGATTAAAAAGAATGGGAAACACCTTCTCAATATTTTGTATATTGATGACACATTGCAATGATAGTATTTTGAATATATTGGGTTGAAATATATTATTGAAATTAATTTTACCTGTTTTTTTTCTTTCTTTTTTTTTTTTTTTTTTTTTTACATGGAGTCTCGCTCTGTTGCCTAGGCTGGCGTGCAGTGGTGCGATCTTGGCTCACTGCAAACTCTGCCTCCCAGATTCAAGTGTTCTCCTGCCTCGCCTCCTGAGCAGCTGGGATTACAGGCACCCACCATAACTCCTGGCTAATTTTTGTATTTTTAGTGGAGACAGGGTTTCACTGTGTTGGCCACGCTGGTCTCGAACTCCCAACCTCAAGCCATCCACCCACCTCGGCCTCTCAAACTGCTGGTATTACAGGCATGAGCCACCACACCCGGCCTCTTTTTCTTTCTTAATGTGGCCACTAGAAAACTTAAGATCCCCATTGCAGTGCATGTTGTATTTCTGTCACACACCGTTGCACTGGGCACCACTCTGTCACTCCTGTCATGCGGAGTCCTGCCCTTGGAATGCCGTGTTTTTGTTTCTCACTGCTGCTGTAACAAATTACCACCAGCTCAGTGGCTCAGAACAACACACATCTATTATTTTGCAGTTCTGGAGGTCAGACTCTGACCTGGGTGTCACTGGGCTACAGCCAAGGCGTCATCGGGGCTGCGTTCCTTTCTGGAGACTGTGGAGAAGAATCTCTTTCTGTGCTTCTCTGAGCTGCCCACATGCCCTGGCTCACAGCCCCCTTCCATTTCCAAAGCCAGCAATTGTTGTGAGGCTTTCTCACACTGCGCACCCTCACACGGACTCGCCTACCTCCCCCTTGCACATCCCACCTGAATAATTCAGGATAATCTCCTGACATCGAGGTCAGCTGACTAGTGACCGTAATCCCATTTGGGCCCTTAACTTCTCCTTGCCATGTAACCTAACATATTCATGGGCTCCAGAAATTAGGACTTGTACATCTTCAGGGCCCTTCTTCAGCTGCCCACACGCCAGTGCCCCGTGCGTGTGTTTTCTTGTTCTGTGCTAACTGGCCAGCTCTTGGAAATGACTGGTGTGGGAACACTTGCTTCATTTTCTCCCTGTTCTTGATTATAGTCCAGAGATCTGCTGGGGGATGGTGTGAGCCCAAAGAAGCCGATTTCCTTCTTGAAGGGGGTGAGAAGAAGGGAGACTGTGACTTGACCAAGCCAATCGGCAAACTACCTTCCCTCCCAACAGAAGTTGATTTGTTCAGGAGGAGGCATGTGACAAAAGCTGGGCCACTCAGAGCCCATCTAAGGACTTCACTGAAATGCTGACATAAAGCAGCCACTTGTGCCACAGGGGGAAAGCCAGCCTCAAGTGAAACTGTCTCGCAAAGAAATAGAGATGAATGACTTGTAGAGAACTGGAAACAAACAAAATGAAACTTGCAGAGAAAATATTGCAAGTAAATGTTGAACCTCTGGATCGAACCATGGCTGAGTCCCTCCTGGCTCTGACTTTTCAGTTAGGTGGGTCCACACATTCTCTTTTTCGGCCAAGCCATTTGAATGGGATTTTCTGCTCTTTGCAAAATAAAGATTTGCGATGACTTAGAGAGGGGTTAAAGCCATATTTGATCTGGACACATGAGAGTACCTGAAGCCTGTCCTCACCCAGCTGTCTCTTCCCACTGGTCTTTGAGGCACAGGTCCTAAAGGAATGCCCTGTCTCTCTTTCCCCCAGATCTCCAAGAGGACCCTCCTGCCTCTGCTTCTCTTCCTCCCCTGAAGTCAATTTTGCAGTGTGCTGGTCAGCCTCATCCAGCCCCTCTTTTCTGGGAACTGCTCTAACTCTATGGCTGGATTGACTGGCCAAGAGACAGACACCAGGGTGAGCTGGATCATCAGACAGTCTCTCCTAGGAATGTGAAATACGAATTCAGAGAGGCTGGCAGCCCATTGTTCATGGGAATGCAGAAGCTATGGGGCTGAGAAACCCCTTTCCATCCAGACGGAAAGAAGGTATAGTGGGTGAGGGGAGAACAGCAGAGGCAGGCAACCCTGGGGCCGGGGAGCAAGGAGGAGCAGCTGCCTCTGTCTCCAAGGGCTTGCTAGCTTGAGGTCAGGTCCTTCCTGAGGTCTGACTGCTCCTCTTGCCCATTGGGTCTGAAATAAATTAATTATCACCCGCCCTTTTCCTCTATAGATGAGTTGAATCAATTTCTATCACTTGACATCAGAAGAGCCTTGAATAAGCCACACTTCCCATTCCCATGCTTGCCCTAGGACCCATTGCCCCAGATGGGGAGAAGGCCAAGTGAACACCCAGCCTTCAGGAACCCTCATGGAGGCAGTTCTCTTCCCCCACTTTCTGCCAGGCAGGAGAGGCTGCTGAGGCTGCAGCAATGACCTGGGCTGCCTGGGGTTACTGAAGGCAGCAGGAAGCAGTGTTGGGTTGAGTCCCAGGTTTCCGGACTCCACACCTGGTGGCCGACGCAGCTAGCTACCTAGTCCACAGCCATTCTCCCCTTCCTCTCCCTCAAAGCCAAAGGTGGTTACACAACACAGTACAGCCCATGACAGGCATCTTCAGAGTGGGGCTTCCAGGACAGCTACTGCTTTCCTGTTGGGCCTGGTGGCTCTTCACTGTACCTTTCCCCTTCCCTATATTCCTCCCTGGGGCACAAAGTTCTGCCTGAAGGTGTAGCAGCAGGTATTTGTGACCCTGAGGATGAAGGCACCTGGTGAGGATGTCAACATAGGGAGCTGGAAGGACCCTGGTCCCCTATAGCCTCACCACAGCCCCAGCAGTGGGACCATCATGGATCCTGACCTTTGGGCTTCTCATTACTCAAGGAATAGAAAAACCCCAAACCGTGTTTGCTTAAGACCCTCTTGTCAGGTTTCTAAGTCTTTATTATTTGCAATTATAACTGATAATTTCCTATGTCCTCTGGGAATTTGGGTCATGGGTGGAGTTTTCTGGCGAGAAGAAGGGCTCAGGGACTCTCTAATTTCATCATTTTGCCCAGGGTCCAGTTTCCTCTGAAGTTTGCAAGGACACATGGAAGGTCAGCAGAAACTTGGCCATCTCAGTGTCCTGGTGGGTGATTTTTACGAGGATTTCTCATCACAGAGGATGGGAACCCAAAGGAGAATGGCCGCCATTGGAGCCTTTCCTGTCCCTCCACTGCTCAAAACAACTGAACTCTGTGTCAGTTGGGCTGCAAGTAAAGAAAACTCAACTAATGGAGGCCTCATTGAACAGGAGTTCATTTTACTCACGTAACAAACCTATGTGGTCCCAGGATTGTCTCACGGCCCAGTAAAGGCAAAGCATGGCGTTAGCAAGTCTGAGATGTTCTTGAATTTCCCCCCATTGCTGCAAGATGGCCCCTACAGCTCCAAACATCACATCCTCAATGGTGAATAAAGCTGATCTCCAACTGGGAAGAACCTCTGTCTCCTGGTGTGGTGAAGGCTGTTGGAGCATCTGCAGGAGCATCCAAACCCTGTGCTATTGGGGTAGTCCATGCCCTTCAAGCCAGTCATGGCTTTCCTGTTTCCTCTGTCAAATACTGGCTAAGGATAGGTCTGTGATGCAATTCTGGCCAGTGAGACATGATGGAAGAGCTGCTGGGTGAAATTCTGGGAAAAGTTCCCTTACTCTTTAGAAGATGGATCCAGGAGAAGAGAGTCTCTTTTGCTGAGTGTTGTCATATCTGGAGGTGATGCCTGGAACTGTGGCAGCTGACTTGTGATTATGAGGGAAGCTGGCCTGAAAACAGACTGGCCCACTGAAGAGGAGGGCAGCATGGAATGTGGAATAAACCTGGGTCCCTGTTGGCTTCCTGCGGCCCTGATCTAACCAGCCCTGAGCTGTCCTACCTCTGCACTGCTTGGCACAGGAGACACATCTTGATTGTTTAAGCCCCTTTGAGTTGGGTTTTCTGTTCCTTGCAGCTGACAGCACTCTAACCAATCCACACATTTCCCTCTGCTCGATTTCCTGCTCCAGAGAGACAGGCACAGACCAGTACCGGGCAGCCCCACTCTGGGGAAAAACAACAGTGCTTATTGTTTGCCGGCACAGTGGGAGCTCTGCCTCCTGGCACAGTGGGAGCTCTGCCTCCTGTGGCAGGCTGGCCATTCCAAAACCACACTGCCTGCCACTGCCATAAAGAGGCCAGGACTGTGTTCAAAACCCCAGGCAGCAGGAGGAGTGGTTTGTGGGAGGTGTTGTGGTAGTGCATAAAGGAAGGTCATTTCCTGACCCTCAGAACCCACACTGCCCTCAGCCCCACACAGCCCTACCCAGCCCAGCATCGCCCCCAGTGCCCCTGGAGACAATAATGGCAGCCACCCACTGGCTGCTCCTGTGCGGGCAGGGCAGGAAAGCTGGTGGTTAAGTGCTGGAGAACCCCCAGGCCCTGGGCTTGGCCGGAAAGGATTTCTGTAGAGACAGCGTGGACATTCTGTCCTCTGCAGGCCGCCTGGTACAGGATGAAAACAGGCCGGCTCAGTACTTTTTTGGCAACCGATTATATAGATTTGCATCCACATGAGCTCCCTCTTGCAATGAACCAGGCCCCCACAAGGGCTCTCCCCACAGTCATTTGTGTTGAGAACGCTCTGAGCCCTTGAGCCTCCTTCCTCTCTGGGAAAGGGACTTGTTGGCAGTGAGAAGAACCTAGAGGGAGGCACTTCTGGAGGCATTTCCTTTCTGGGAGGAAATGCTCCAGGGCTCTCCTCCATCCACCAACAGCCTCCAAGTTGAGTAAGTGGCAGCGAAGGTCACGCCTGAGCTGGCAGCCATGGAACCTCACCTCCTGCTTTTCCAGCTTCGTTCCCAAAGACGTCCCTCCACGAGCTTGTGCTCATGCCATGCCTATGCTGGAAGCCCTTGCTGTCTGCAGGTGGCGATGTGACCCGGGCCTGGCCCTGGGGATTTGTTCAGGCGTGTCACTCTTTCTGACCAAAGGGGACCAGCCTTGGGGCTTTTGTGGAAACCTCTGAGAAAGGGAGGTCCACAATTCTGGTTTCCTAGCTGGAGAGAATACGCCTGGCCCTGCTGGCAACCATCTTTCCCACCCAAGGGAGTCAGCCTGGACATTTTAGTCACTTGAGTCAATAAATTCTGTTTGCAAAGAAAAAAAAAAATCGCTTTGAGCCGGGCTTTCTGTGGCTTACAGTGGAAACTCATTAGTAATATAAATGCAGATATCCCTCTTAGGCCAAAGTAATCTCTCCTTTCTTGCTTGCTCTATACCACACACACCTGCTTCATTGGCATTTACTGTTTCCCCACCTGCACGGGTGACCTTAGCCCCCCTGCACAAAGGCCTGGACGTCGCTGCCTCTGCAGCTGCCCCAGATCCAGGTGCCGTTAATTTTACCCTCAAGTTGCGCTAAACTACTCAGTGAATTATTGTTGGTCCAATAAAACCACTTTTGTTTTATTTATTCTTTTGTCTCCACACTCACTCCCATTCCCTTCCCCTGCATGGGCAACATGCTCCCCATAGATTCCCCCACCTCCTGTGCTGCTTTAAAAATGCTCTTTCAAAAGAGATACAGTCTTTATGTGTTTTTTAATGTCTGCAAATGGTAATGTTTGGGTTCCCATGTTGCTTCTTCCTTTTTAAACTCAGCCCTGTGTTCAGGCCCATCCATGTGGCTATGTGTGCCTTTCATCTCTCCTTGTGGCTGCATAATTCTCCATGGTGTGGACCATTCCCATTTTGTCTCTCCATTCTCCCCAGGATAGAAACCCTAGGGTGCCTCCCGCAGCCCCCATCCCCACACTACCACAAAGAACTCTGCAGTGAACATCTTGGTGTGCATGTTTGATGAATCTGTGTCAATTTCTTTTACATCTCTACCTGGAAATGGAATAGCAGGGGTGTAAGGGATGCATACTATTGATCAAAATCCCTCCACAATGGTGGCTCTGGTCTACACTCCACAAGCAGTGCCCTCATCAACTTCCCCACTTCCCCACCCAACATGAAGACTTCTTTTTTTTTTCTTTTTGAGGCAGGGTCCCACTTGTTGCCCTGGCTACTTACAGGTGCGATCATAGCTCACTGCAGCCCCAAACTCCTGGGCTCATGGGATCCTCTCACCTCAGCCTCCTGAGTAGCTGGGATGACAGGCATCTGCCACTGTGCCCAGCTCCAATACTTGTCTCTTCCTAGATTAGTTTTGCCTAAAAGATTGCATTAGTTTTCTACAGCTGCAGAACAAGTTAACACAAATTGTGTGGCTTAAAACACCATTTATTTTTCATCTCCCATTTTCTGTGGGCCAGGATTCTGGGCTCGGCTTAGCTGGGTGCTCTGCTCAGACTGTAACCCGGTGTTGGCCAGGCTGCATTCTCATCAGAGGCTCCACTGGAGAAAGATCTGATTCCAGGCTGCCTCAGGTGGCTGGCAGTATTCATCTCCGAGTGGTTGTAGAACTCAAGGAGACTTGCTTCTTCAATGTCAGCAGGAGAGATAGTCTCATACCTTTACATCCTTTTTTAAAGGGCTCACCTGATTAGATGCACCCTGGATGATGTCCTTTTTCATTAACATAAAGTCAACTGATCAGGGACTTTAATTACATTGGCAAATTCTTTTCCCCTTTTCCATATGGCACATCATCACCTTTGTTAGAATCTATTAATTAGAAGCACATTTACCAGGAGAGGATTACAGAAGTGCTTGCCTATTGGAGTTCAGCTGAGAATTTTGCCTACCATGTATGTATAAGGTTGTATCTGGTTCAAATTGTAGTAAAGCACACAGAACATAAAATTTCCCATCTTAACCACTGTTAATTGTACACTTTAGTGGTATCAAATACTTTCACATTGTTGTGCAACCATTACCACCATCCATCTCAAGAACTCTACTTTTGTGAAACTGAAACACTGTGTCCAATTAGATACTAACTTCCCATTCCGTTTTTGCCCCAGCCCTTGGCAATCATTCTATTTTCTGTTTCTATGAATTTGATTATTCTAGGTATCACATGTAAGTGGAATACTGTCTTTTTGTGACTGGCTATTCCACTTAGCATAATGCCCTCAAGGTTCATCCACGATGTAGCCTATCACAGGATTCTCTCCCTTTCTAAGGCTGAATCATATTTTATTGCATGTATAGACCACATTTTGTTCATGCATTCGTCTATCAATGGACACTTGCTTCCACTTTTTGGTTCCTATGAATGCTGCTGCTATGAACTTGGATATACAATATCTCTTTAACATCCTGCTTTCAATCCTTTTGGGAATACGTCCAGAAGTGGAAATTCTTGGTCATACGGTAATTCTATTTGAATTTTTTTTTAGGAATGGCCATGTTGTTGTCCACAGTGGCGGCACCATTTTACATACCCACCGGTAGTGCACAAGGGTCTAATGTCTCACTCCTCACCAACACTCGGTATTTTCGGGTTTTCTTGACAGTAGCTATTCTAGTGGGTATGAAGTGCTATCTCACTGTAGTTTTCATCTGCATTTCCCTTATTCTGGGTGATTCTCAGCACCTTTTCTTGTGCTCATTGACCATCTGTGTATCTTTTTTGGAGAACTATTTCCTCATATATCTTATTGTTAGAATGTGTATTTCTGTACTAATGATCTTAGCCACTTCCTCATATGCTTCCTGGCTTTTGGGGTTTCCTCTCCCAAAAACTGCCTGCTCGTGTCCTTTGTCTATTTATTTTTCTTGTTAATTTTCAGGAGCTCCTCGTATATTGAGGCCACTAATCTCTTGTCAGTTTTAGACTGCACATAACTTCTCTCATTTTGCCATGTGTCACTTGCAACAGATCTATTTGATTGTAACATCATGAAATCCCCTCCACTTTTTCTGCCTTATGGTTTCTGCTTTGAAATTTTGTCTAAGAAATCTTCTACTCCTTTTGGTAAGTTCCCCTGTGTGTTTTGTTTTCTAACATGTTATAATCTGGCTATTCATGGTGGTCATCGTGAAAAGCAATCCCATATAAGGTGGATGCTCAGATTACGGATTAAAGAATCAATTAGTCACTTCCAAGATGGCCAAGTAGGAACAGCTCCGTTCTGCAGCTTCCAGTGAGATTGACACAGAAGATGGGTGATTTCTGCATTTCCAACTGAGGTTCCTGGTTCATCTCACTGGGACTGGTTGGACAGTGGATGCAGCCCATGGAGGGTGAGCCGAAGCAGGGCGGGGCATTGCCTCACCTGGGAAGTGCAAGAGGTCAGGGGATTTCCCTTTCCTAGCCAAGGGAAGCCGTGACAGACTGTACCTGGAAAAACGGTACACTTCTGCCCAAATACTGCACTTTTCCCATGGTCTTAGCAACCAGCAGACCAGAAAATTCCCTCCCGTGCCTGGCTCAGTGAGTCCCATGCCCATGGTCCTTTGCTCTCTGCTAGCGCGGCAGTCTGAGATCGACCTGCGAGGTGGCAGCCTTGTGGGAGGTGGTGGAGGGGCGTCTGCCATTGCTGAGGCTTGAGTAGGTAAACAAAGCTGCCAGGAAGCTTGAACTGGGTGGAGCCCACTGCAGCTCAGCAAGGCCTACTACCTTTATAGACTCAACCTCTGTGGGCAGGGCATAGCTGAACAAAAGGCATCAGACAACTTCTGCAGACTTAAAACGTCCCTGTCTGACAGCTCGGAAGAGAGCAGTGGTTCTCCCAGCATGGCGTTCGAGCTCTGAGAACAGACAGACTACCTCCTCAAGTGGGTCCCTGACCGCTGTGTAGCCTGACTGGGAGACACCTCCCAGTAGGAGCCAACAGACACCTCACACAGGCAGGTGCCGCTCTGGGATGATGCTTCCAGAGGAAGGATCAGGCAGCAATATTTGCTGTTCTACAGCCTCCCCTTGTGATACCCAGGCAAACAGGTCTGGAGTGGACCTCCAGCAAACTCCAAAAGACCTGCAGCTGAGGGTCCTGACTGTTAGAAGGAAAACTAACAAGCAGAAAATAATAGCATCAACATCAACAAAAAGGACATCCACACCAAAACCCCATCTGTAGGTCACCAACATCAAAGACCAAAGGTAGATAAAACAACAAACATGGAGAGAAACCAGAGCAGGAAAGCTGAAAATTCCAAAAATCAGAGCGCCTCTTCTCCAAAGGATCGCAGCTGCTCACCAGCAACGGAACAAAACTGGACAGAGAATGACTTTAATGAGTTGACAGAAGTAGGCTTCAGAAAGTCAGTAGTAACAAACTTCTCTGAGCTAAAGAATATTCTAACCCATTGCAAGGAAGCTAAAAACCTTGAAAAAAGATTAGACAAATGGCTAACTAGAATAAACAGTGTAGAGAAGATCTTAAATGACTTGATGGAGCTGAAAAGCAGGGCACGAGAACTTCATGACGCATGCACAAGCTTCAGTAGCCGATTCGATCAAGTGGAAGAAAGGGTATCAGTGATTGAAGATGAGTTGAATGAAATGAAGTGAGAAGAGTTTAGAGAAAAAAGACTAAAAAGAAATGAACAAAGCCTCCAAGAAATATGGGACTATGTGAAAAGACCAAATCTACATTTGATTGGTGTACCTGAAAGTGACAGGGAGAATGGAACCAAGTTGGAAAACACTCTTCAGGATATTATCCAGGAGAACTTCCCCAACCTAGCAAGGCAGGCCAACATTCAAATTCAGGAAACACAAAGAACACCACAAAGACACTCCTTGGGAAGAACAACCCCAAGACTCATAATTGTCAGATTCACCAAGGTTGAAATGAAGGAAAAAATATTAAGGGCAGCCAGAGAGAAAGGTCGGGTTACCCACAAAGGGAAGCCCATCAGACTAACAGCGGATCTCTCAGCAGAAACTCTACAAGCCAGAAGAGAATAGGGGCCAATATTCAACATTCTTAAAAGAATTTTCAAGCCAGAATTTCATATCCAGCCAAACTAAGCTTCTTAAGTGAAGGAGAAATAAAATCCTTTACAGACAAGCAAATGCTGAGAGATTTTGTCACCACCAAGCCTGCCTTACAAGAGCTCCTGAAGGAAGCATTAAACATGGAAGGGAACAACCAGTACCAGCCACTGCAAAAACATGCCAAATTATAAAGACCATTGATGCTATGAAGAAACTGCATCAATTAATGGGCAAAATAGCCAGCTTACATCATAATGTCAGGATCAAATTCACACATAACAATATTAACCTTAAATGTAAATGGGCTAAATGCTCCAATTAAAAGACACAGACTGGCAAATTGGATAAAGAGTCAAGACCCATCATTGTGCTGTATTCAGGAGACCCATCGCACGTGCAGAGACACACATAGGCTCAAAATAAAGGGATGGAGGAAGATCTACCAAGCAAATGGAAAGGGAAAAAAAGCAGGGGTTGCAATCCTAATCTCTGATAAAACAGACTTTAAACCAACAAAAATCAAAAGAGACAAAGAAGGCCATTACATAATGTGTAAAGGGATCAATTCAACAAGAAGAGCTAACTATCCGAAATACACAGGCACCCAATACAGGAGCACCCAGATTCATAAAGCAAGTCCTTAGAGACTTACAAAGAGACTTAGACTCCCACACAATAATAACTGGAGACTTTAACACCCCACTATCAACATTAGGCAGATCAATGAGACAGAAGGTTAACAAGGATATCCAGGACTTGAACTCAGCTCTGCACCAAGTGGAACTAATAGCCATCTACAGAACTCTCCACCCCAAATCAACAGAATATACATTCTTCTCAGCACCACATCACACTTATTCTAAAATTGACCACATAATTGGAAGTAAAACACACCTCAGCAAATGTAAAAGAACAGAAAGCACAACAAACTGTCTCTCAGACCACAGTGCAATCAAATTAGAACTCAGGATTAAGAAACTCACTCAAAGCCATACAACTACATGGAAACTGAACAACCTGCTCCTGAATGACTACTGGGCAAATAATAAAATGAAGGCAGAAATAAAGATGTTCTTTGAAACCAATAAGAACAAAGACACGATTACCAGAATCTCTGGGACACATTTAAAGGACTGTGTAGAGGGAAATTTATAGCACTAAATGCCCACAAAAGAAAGCAGGAAAGATCTAAAATTGACACCCTAGCATCACAATTAAAATAACTAGAGAAGCAAGAGCAAACACATTCAAAAGCTAGCAGAAGACAACAAATAACTAAGATCAGAGCAGAACTGAAGGAGATAGAGACACAAAAACCCCTTCCAGAAATCAATGAAACTAGGAGCTGGTTTTTTGAGAAGATCGACAAAATAGACCACTAGCAAGACTAATAAAGAAGAAAAGAGAGAAGAATCAAATAGACACAATAAAAAATGATAGAGGGGATATCACCACCAATCCCACAGAAATACAAACTACCATCAGAGAATATTATAAACACCTCTATGCAAATAAACTAGAAAATCTAGAAGAAATGGATAAATTCCTGGACACATACACCTTCCCAAGACTAAACCAGGAAGAAGTTGAATCTCTGAATAGACCAATAACAGGTTGTGAAATTGAGGCAATAATTAATAGCCTACAAACCAAAAAAAGTCCAGGAGCAGATGAATTCACAGCTGAATTCTACCAGAGGTACAAAGAGGAGCTGGTACCATTCCTTCTGAAACTATTCCAAGCAATAGAAAAAGAGAGAATCCTCCCTAACTCATTTTATGAGGCCAGCATCATCCTGATACCGAAGCCTGGCAGAGACACGACAAAAAAAATTGAATTTTAGACCAATATCCCTGATGAACATCGATGCAAAAATCCTCAATAAAATACTGGCAAACGGAATCCAGGCAAACTGAATCAAAAAGTTTATCCAGCACGATCAAGTTGGCTTCATCCCTGGGATGCCAGGCTGGTTCAACATACACAAATCAATAAACGTAATCCATCACATAAACAGAACCAACAACAAAAACCACATGATTATCTCAATAGATGCAGAAGAGGGCTTTTGACAAAATTCAACAGCCCTGCATGCTAAAAACTCTCAATAAACTAGGTATTGATGGAATGTATCTCAAAATAATAAGAGCTATTTATGACAAACCCACAGCCAATACCATACTAAATGGGCAAAAACTGGAAGCATTCCCTTTGAAAACCGGCACAAGAGAAGGATGCCCTCTCTCACCACTCCTATTCAACATAGTGTTGGAAGTTCTGGCCAAGGCAATCAGGCAACAGAAAGAAATAAAGAGTATTCAATAAGGAAAAGAGGAAGTCAAATTGTCCCTGTTTGCAGATGACATGATTGCATATCTAGAAAACCCCATCGTCTCAGCCCAAAATCTCCTTAAGCTGATAAGCAACTTCAGCAAAATCTCAGGATACAAAATCAATGTGCAAAAATCACAAGCATTCCTATACACCAATAACAGACAAACAGAGTGCCAAATCATGAGTGAACTCCCATTCACAATTGCTACAAACGGAATAAAATACCTGGGAATCCAACTTACAAGGGATGTGAAGGACCTCTTCAAGGAGAACTACAAACCTCTGCTCAACGAAATAAAAGAGGACACAAACACATGGAAGAACATTCCATGCTCATGGATAGGAAGAATCAATATCGTGAAAATGGCCATAATGCCCAAGGTAATTTATAGATTCAATGCCCTCCCCATCAAGCTACCAATGACTTTCTTCACAGGATTGGAAAAAACTACTTTAAAGTTCATATGGAACCAAAAAAGAGCCCACACAGCCAAGACAATCCTAAGCAAAAAGAACAAAGCTGGAGGCATCACACTACCTGACTTCAAACTATACTACAAGGCTACAGTAACCAAAACAGCATGGTAGTGGTACCAAAACAGACACATAGACCAATGGAACAGAATGGAGGCCTCAGAAATAACCACACATCTAAAACCATCTGATCTTTGACAAACTTGACAAATACAAGAAATGAGGAAAGGATTCCCTATTTAATAAATGGTGCTGGGAAAACTGGCTAGCCATATGTAGAAAGCTGAAACTGGATCCCTTCCTTACACCTTATACAAAAATTAACTCAAGATGGAGTGAAGACTTAAATGTAAGACCTAAAACCATTAAAACCCTAGAAGAATACCTAGGCAATATCATTCAGGACATAGGCATGGGCAAGGACTTCATGACTAAAACACCAAAAGCAATGGCAACAAAAGCCAAAATTGACAAATGGGATCTAATTAAACTAAAGAGCTTCTGCACAGCAAAATAAACTATCATCAGAGTGAACAGGCAACCTACAAAATGAGAAAAAATTTTTACAATCTACCCATCTGACAAAGGGCTGATATCCAGAATCTACAAAGAACTTAAACAAATTTACAAGAAAGAAACGAACAACCCCACCAAAAAGTGGGTGAAGGATATGAACAGACACTTCTCAAAAGAAGACATTTATGCAGCCAACAGACACATGAAAAAATGCTCATCATCACTGGTCATCAGAGAAATGCAAATCAAATCCTCAATGAGATACCATATCACGCCAGTTAGAATGGCGATCATTCAAAAGTCAGGAAACAACAGATGCTGGAGAGGATGTGGAGAAATAGGAACACTTTTACACTGTTGGTAGGAGTGTAAATTAGTTCACCCATTGTGGAAGACAGTGTGGCAATTTCTCAGGATCTAGAACTAGAAATACCATTTGACACAGCCATCCCGTTACTGGGTATATAACTAAAGGATTATAATAAATCATGCTACTATAAAGACACGTGCACACGTATGTTTACTGCGGCACTGTTCACAATAGCAAAGACTTGGAACCAACCCGAACGTCCATCAGTGATAGACTAGATTAAGAAAATGTGGCACATATACACCATGGAATACTATGCAGCCATTATAAAGAATGAGTTCATGTCCTTTTCAGGGACGTGGATGAAGCTGGAAACCATGATTCTCAGCAAACTATCACAAACACAGAAAACCAAACACCCCATGTTCTCACCCATAGGTGGGAATTGAACAATGAGAACACATGGACCCAGGGCAGGGAACATCACACACCAGGGCCTGTCGGTGGGTGGAGGGCTGGGGGAGGGATAGCATTAGGAGAAATATCTAATATAAATGATGAGTTGATGGGTGCACCAAACCAACATGGCACATGTATACGTATGTAACAAGCCTGCACGTTGTGCACACGTACCCTAGAACTTAAAGTATAAGAATGAAAAAAGAATCAATGTATGATTCTTTAATCCATCATCTGAGCATCCATCTTATAAGGGATCACATTGTTTTTCTCCATATAGTAAGAGTTTTTCCAACAAGAACAGCAACTCTTTCCCACTGACTTGTGATGCACCTTTTATCATAGATGAAATTTCCCTCTAACCAGGGATCTCCCCTCTCCATGCTGAGTTGTCTGTTGGTTCACTGTCACCATACTGCTTAAGACAACAACAGCACCTTTAGAGTGTACCTGAGTATCTGGAAGAGCTTCCTGCCTACCCTCCTTTGGCTTAGGCATCTGTGGACCTTTATCCCTCCTCGCATGATTCAGAGTGAGTTTCTAAAACTGGAATCTTTACTGGGACTACAGTGAAGTGATGGATGAATTGAGGGAGAACTGACATCTCCATATATCAGGCCACCCCTCCCAGGAGCAGGAGATGACTTTACCTGGGGAGTATCTACACCCCCATTCTACTCCCACCTACCAATTAGTCGGCAATTGATGGAGTTGCTCAATCAATGCTAGGGAGCAGATCTCCAGGGAGGAAGACAGAGTGGGCCTGGAATATTCTTCAGCATCACTGCTTCCATTCCCAGCCACGCCTGGCAAGAGGGAGGAAACATCCTGTCACAGAACCTATGTTTTCTGGGTGGACGAAACCAGGTGTCCTGGAGGAAGCAGGTATGGTGGGAAGTTGGGGCAAGGGGCAAGGGGACACAGAGCAACAGAACTTCTGGCTTTCCCTAGCATGGGCCAACCCTCCCGGCCAGCATCATGAGGCGGCACTGGCTGCTTCCCCCTTGTCCCGGGGATTGGGAGGATTGTTGTGCTTCATTCAGCCTGTCTACCTCATGACTTGACTGAGCTACACCTCAACATTGTCAAGTAAGTAGACAGATTATCATCCCCATTCAAGAGAAGAGGAGAAGTCATCTCCTGCTAAGGTCCACAGAGAAGGAAGTTCACTCATTACCTGAAAAACATTTATCCAGACCTCACAGTGCAGCAGCTTCTTGGCCCTGGGATGTGGCAGAGACCAGACAAATGGTCAAATGGATCCAGTCAGCATTAGACACCATGGTGGACATGTTGTTCATGTCAGCCAGCACCATTCCCTGAGAAAACCAACCCCGTGCACTCCGTTTCTCCTAGGCTGGTCAATCATGGTGCCCCCTCACCAAAGACAGGAAAGGGGGCAATGGTGTGGGTCCAGTCACTACATCAGGACATGCCACACCCCCTAGCCACAGGGATTGGTCAAGAGGGTATGAGGACGATCCTTGCAGTACCGGAGTCTTCCCTGGGGTTTCATGTGTATGTTGAGGGACAGAAGTTTCTTCCTACTAAGGTTGATGAGGAGGGTGGATATAAGTCTTGGGCGGTTGGCAGTCAGGTTTTTATAGAAAAGAGCCTTCAGGAAGAACAAAACCAAGCAGAGACAAGCAGTATGGACACATGAGAGAGAACCGGAGGCCTGACAATGTTGCTTTAGCACTTAGGTCCAGCCATGCCTAGAGTTAACACATTCATACTTTCTCGTTATGTGAGCCAACCCATGAGCTTTTGGCTTATGCATACTTGAGTTGGAATAAGTGGAAACAAAGAGTACCACTGGACAGAGCCCCTACCAACAAATCCAACTCTCTGCCCACTCTACGGAACTTTCCCCTCAGGTTCCACCACACTCTTTCAGGTTGGGGCTTATTTTGATCATAATTCCCCTGTTCTCAAATTGTCTTTGAATCCAGATTCTGTCAGTAAGTACCCTTTATTCCTTATTGGTTTATGACATCTGCTAGAAGGCCAAGCCTGCCTTCTGTGTCATCCCCCAAGTTGGTGTTGAAGATACCGATGTGGAGGACAGAACACTGTAGCATGCAGCACCCTCCTCCCTCAGGTTGTCAGCCCTTGAATCTCTCACGCTGTCCCTGGTCTTCACAGAATCCCAGATCCCCAGTATTAGAAAGGATCTCGGGTTCCCCACTCACTCTATCCCAGCCTCTTGGCTCAAGTTTTCATCTATAGAAGTGGTGCCAGCCTTGGCCAGAGGAAAGTGGCATGTGTGGTCAGTGTCTGTTGGCAGCTTCCCAGCATCAATGTTCCCATTCTCCTGCCACTAGCACCCATATTTGACTTCTCCATTCTAGGCTGCCATTTGCTGCAGTGCTTAGCAAGACATTATGGAAGGTTCTGGTATAACGGAAGGGATCTACAACATAGAGTACCACCAATGGTTACCTCTGGAGGTGGCTGTGCTCAGAGCACCTGGGCCTGGGAGGGAAAGGGTGTCTCAGAAAGAGGCATGTCTCCTCCTTTAATCAGGGTTCCTCAGAGATTGGCATTTGAAATCTCCAGACTGAGTAAGGAATATTCACCTTCACCCCACGGGGGCAGACACCATCCAATCAGTCGAGGGCCTGGATAGAACAAAAGGCAATGGAAAAGTGAATTTCCTCATAACCCTAACTAACGGAGGAGACATGCCTCCCTCTGAGACATCCCTTTCCCTCCCAGGCCCAGGTGTTCTGAGCACAGCCACCTTCAGAGGTAACCATTGGTGGTGTCTATGTTGTAGATCCCTATTACTCCGGAATCTTCCATAAAGTCTTGTTCAACATTGCAGCAAACCACAGCATAGAATGGAGAAACAGAACCAAGAATATAGGTAGGGGGATGGACAGATGAGCTTTATTATGGGAATTGGCTCCCGTGATTATGGAAGTTGAAAAGCCCCACCATATGCCTTCTGCAAGCTAGAGAACCAGGGAAGCTGGTGGTGTAGCTCAGTCCAAGTTTGAAGGCCTGAGAACCTGTGGGTGGGGGTGCTGCTGGTCCAAGTTATAGAACCCAAAGCCTGGATCTAATGTCCAAGGGTAGGAGAAGATGGCTGTCCCAGCTGCAGGAGAGAGAGAGAGAGAGAGAGAGAGAGAGAGAGAGAAGGGAAGAGAGAGAGAGAGAGAGAAGGGAAGAAAGAGAGAGCCTGCATGCAAATTCTCTTTTCCTCTGCCTTTTTTCTATCAAGGCCCTCAACCGATTGGATGGTGTCTGCCCCCATTGGGTGAAGGTGAATATTCCTTACTCTGTCCAGTGATTCAAATGCCAGTCTCTTCCAGAAACACCCTCACAGATATACCCAGAAATAATGCCTTGCCAGCTCTCTGGGTATCTGGGTATCCCAGTCAAGCTGACACCTAAAATTAAACATCACATCTCCTTTTCTCTGCCCCGCTGGTGGTCCCCAGACAGACTGGCAAGAGCCCCTCTGCCCATTCTAATGCCAGCTCAAGTCCTTTTCTCCAGGTGATATACAGGAGAAAGGCCTGTCAGTGCCTTCAGGGAACACCTGCCCCCAGCCACAGGGAGGGCCTTTGTCCCTCTGGGCGCAGGCAGTCAGTTAGGTGCATCAGGATATTCTGGGTAATGCATTCTGGCATGAGTCCAGGATGGGGCTCACCAAGTCCAGTCCAGGTTGGGCAGGGCCCAGCTCAAATCAGTTTATGTTTCTCTCAGGGTCGGGTCAGTCACAATCAGTGTGTATGGCAGCTGGCCTACAGGTCTTGCTGCACTGCAGCTCTGCCTCTCCTGCAAACTGCTTGAGGGAGAAAGAGCACACTGAGTCCTCGGTCCCAGACCCAATCTGGGTCTGAGAGGGATGCTTCTTTTCAAATGTCCAAATTGCAGCAAACAACCACCACCACCATAACAAAATACGTTTCTTCCAAAGAAGCAGCACATCTGACAGCTGAACTCTGAGATGCTGCGCCTCGTCTCTACAGTCAATCCATGCAACCTTCTAGTCTAAAGTCTCTGCTTTGGGGCTACTTCTCAGCATGAGAACTCCTTAAGAGGTGGGGACGTGTTCACAACGGCAAAACTCGGCTGCCTGTACAGATGGTGTTCCCAGAACTAAGAGGCGTCAGCCTTCGGTAAATTCAAGTCTGCACTCTTAGGAGGCAACTTACAACTTCGAAGTGAAAGTCTATATTTTTCGTTTTTCAGCGTCAGAGTCTCAGGATCTCGATGTGGACAGGCACCCTGATACAAAAGAACGGTAAGATGGGGTACAAAATGGATTCTGCAGGTACCGGGAGGACGTTGCAAATCCCAATGAAGGTGAGTGGATGCACACACAGCCTGGATAGACACGAAATGGCACAAAGGGAGAGAAAGGCTACATCCCGGAGGGGCAGGGTGTGGGAGTCACATCAGGGCTGGTGAGTCAGAGACGAGGGAGGATGTGAACACGTTCTGTGCTGTCTTGGGCCCCGCCAGGCTCATGTGTGGCTTTGCTCCGGCACACGTGTGTCACATGCTCTGGAACTGTGGAATCCTCTGGCATGTCAGGCGGGCTCATTCCATGGGGGCAGGAACAGAGAGCCCAGTCATTCGCACGTTCATCTGTTCTATACTGCTTGCCTCCCACTGGCTGGTCTCCTGCTGGGTGCTGGGAACACAGTTACAACATGAATGAACCCATAAGGTCTTTGTTTACGCGGAGCTTAGGGCCGAGACAGGAGTCAGGTCTTAATCAAATAACCACACGAATGAACACACCGGCCACAGGCCCAGCTGAAACCTTAGCACCGCGCGGCTGCTGGAGGTCCCTGACGGTGGTCTAGGCTTCACATTAACAAAGGAAATGACACTGGGAGGCCTGACTTGTTTTTCATGACTGCAACTGTCTCTTGATGATCTTCTCTCCTTTCTAATCGTCCCCAGCTCAGAATTTTGCTAGAGCCGAACCCCAGCTTGGAGGAGCGTAAGCCCTGGGATAACTTCTTTAATCAGAATCTGGCCTGAGTCCCTGCTCGAAGCTCAAGCACCCGGGGCCTCGCGGCCGCCTGCAGTACTCCCCTCCCACCGCGGGCCAGGGCCGACTGGAAAACGGAGCAGGCCATCCCCAGAGCACGGGTCCCGTGGCCACGTTGAGTGTCGCAGAGTACGGGACGCAGGGCGGGGCTTCTGGACCAGCGCGCATCCCAATTGGCTCTCGGGGCTGCCTTTTAGCCGGACGCGCGGAGGTGGGCAATCCGCTCCTTCCCTTGAGCAGTCCACGCCTTGTGGCGGCTTTGCGGAGCTGCTGCTTTGGCGGGAGTTGGAAGCTGGTGTGAGGTGAGAGGCGCGGTGGTCGCTCCCCGGCGAGGCCAGGTCAGAAGGGGACCGGGATCATCCAGGGGCTTTCCTGCTTCAAGAGCCTGGTCTGAGCGGCCTGTTGGGGACTGGGCGGAAGTCGAAAGGGAGGGAGTGCCGGCCATGCGGGTCTTGTGGCGGGAATGAGTCCTTGTGGGGCGTGGTGTTGTGGAGAGCCCCGCTTTGCCTCTTCCTCGGCATCCCGTTCCCCTACATCCAGAGAGGGCATCCAGGACCTGATGTCGGGCAGGTGCCCTTCGCACATCTTGGGGTAGCTCGGGGAGCGCCTGTCACGGGTCTGACGAGGAAGCTGAGGCCTGAGGGGCCCTGGGCGGGGGCTGTGGGGCGCCGAGGCCATGTTTGAGCAGAGCCGGGAAGGTGAAGTTCTCTTGCGGCTCTCTGTAGGGCACAAGCATTCCAAACGTGGGGGCAGGTTTAGAGTTTTACCCTTGATCAAGGGCTGAACGCTCAGATGTGCACAGGCTCAGGCGTCAGTGATAATCAAGGTGGAGGCAAACGGGAGGGCTCCTGCTGTCGGGCTAAAGGGACAGTGGCGGCCAGCTGAGCCCTGTGGGGTGTGTGCTCAGAGATGCCAGAGCTCAGCTTTTTCCATTACAGCCGCGACTGGAAACCTTGATTTTCAAAAAATGTATATGTAACAAGCCCTCTGCTGTTCAACGTTGGTTTTACATCATAAGGTTTTAGCACGTTGTGTAGTCAAAGAAGTGTGTGTGTGTGTATATATATGTATATATGTATTATATGTATATATGTGTGTGTATATATGTATATATGTATTATATATGTATATATGTGTGTGTATATATGTATATATGTATTATATATGTATATATGTGTGTGTATATATATGTGTCTATGAGTTGAATTTGCCCTCGGGGTGCCAGTTTGCATCCTCTGCTGTAGGAGTCCTGAGCTGTGTTGTTAACTGGCAGATGGGAATAACCCCTTGCCATGGCTTTGACTCTGCTTCCGTAGAGCTAGCACAGACCTAATGGGGTTAGATTTGGGGGTTGGGGGTGGTCTGCAGCTAGGGGACAGACACCCTCCTTGCAAAGCGGGCGTGGGTTTGTAGCCTTCCTGTACCATGTGTCTGTGAACAGGGCTATGCAACATTTTCAAGATAACAGAGTGCCTTTGGGATGAGCCTCCCGTGGCCCCCGAGACCCTGGGCACTGCAGGGATCCTGATCCCATTACTGCTTGGCTTCCTGGCTGGAAACCGAGCTGACTGGGGAAAGGAGGAACGCGCCTGGAGAATTCTTGGGAGGAAGTTATTGTGGGTCAGCTGGCTCTTCCTGGTTCCCTCTTGCACACCGGGCAGACTGCTGGACATACAGAGATGAGTCCCTGCCCTCAGGACACTCTGACCACGTAGGGAGATGAAACCATAGCCCTGGAGGAGGGCTTCGAATGGCTCTTTGCCGGGCAGGCTTGGGCTGGGGAACCCAAGGAGGAGAGGGAGGGCTTAGAGGGTGTTCCAGAAGCATCGTGGACTTAGAACCCTGGGCAGAATTGGGTGGGTGGCTGGGAAGGGAGAGGCTCCTAGATGGGCCTGATCGAAGTGTGGTAGGGATGGGGAAACATGATTAGACCAGCCCACTCATCAGGGTCGTGCTGACAAATAGGGAAGAGGGGCTTTTAGGCCCAAATTTTTGAGCCAGGAGTCGTTCAGTGCTGTTTGAAGGAACATAGGTATTTATTAGTTCAGGGAAATATTGTGGTGGGAAGGAGGGGCTGAGGAGATACAAGTGGCGTCTTCTGTGGAGAACGTTAATGTGAGAGGGGAGTGATTGTGGAAAAGTCTGTCTTTGTCCCCAACTAGATGCTCATTCCTGGTGAGTAGGCCTCTGTGTTCTGACCCTGAGTTGTCCCTCTTCTATTAGCCAGCCCACATTCCCGTAATGTTTGGGTGGTTACAGGGCTGTCTCCTGGTGAGGAGGGGAGGGCAGCTGAGTAGGACCTGGTGGCCTCATGGCGATAGTCTTCTTCCTCCTTGGCAGTCTTGTGCCTCCTTCCTTCCAATCCAGCCCTCATTCTTTCCCTCTGCACAGAAAGGATCAGCATCTCCGGTACAGCCCCCATCTGTGCTAGGAGATGGCCGGGTGGGTGTGGATGCTAAGACAACCGATCCCCCTCATGTTGGCCCGAGGAGGGCCCTGACCTGGATACTGTGAGACCTTTTGAGGACAGCTGGCTCCTTTGTGGGATCAGTTGGGTGTGGGGCAGGGCCTTGACCTGAGCCAGCCCCTAGTTTCCAGCCTAGGTTCTCCTCACCACTAATGGCCTAAGTGATGTCTGTCTGTCCTGTGATGGGGGGTTGCAGTTACCGCAGGAGGCCCTGGATTATGGCTCAGATTCTTATGGCTCCATCCTTGCACCTTTCCCCGGCTCAGGTTTCTGTGGGGAGAAGGAGAGTGCCAGAGGTGACTGGTTCGTGGTTCTTCTAGGCTCTCATGGCCACCATGTTGGAAGGCAGATGCCAAACTCAGCCAAGGAGCAGCCCCAGTGGCCGAGAGGTAATGTGTCTCCTCCCATTCCTCAAATCCTCTCTGCCCTGCCACCCCTTCTGCTGTGCCCCTCACTCCTAGAGCCTCCATTGCTCCATCTTTCCCTCTCTCCTGCCAAGGACTTTGAGTCCTCTCATCTCTCCTCATCGCCCTTTCCAGGCTAGCCTGTGGTCGTCAGGCTTTGGGATGAAGCTGGAGGCTGTCACTCCATTCCTGGGCAAGTATCGCCCCTTTGTGGGTCGCTGTTGCCAGACCTGCACCCCCAAGAGCTGGGTGAGTGATGGTAGGGCCAGGCCCCAAGCAGGAAGCTTGGTTCTGGGAGCCGAAGCTCTGGGAAGCTGCTTCCTTTATGTCCCTGAAAGCTTGGCTCTTCCCTGCCCCATGCCTCTGCTTCTGTCTTTCAGGGGAATGGATGCACTGGTATTGGTTGTATGGTTGGGCGGTGGCTTGTTCCCAGGCCTGGGAGAGTTGGGTGGGAGAAGTACAGAGGGGCCTAAGTGGTGGTAGGGTGTGCCCAGAGGGCTGGGTTCTTATCATGCCTGTGTCAGTTTTGTTGTTCAGTTTTGTGGACATCACCCACTCAGACTTCCCCAGCACTCAGCACATGCTTGAAGACCTCTTTTTTGGTTTGTGTCATGTGATGGTGGTGAGGGAGCCCAGATTTCTCATGGAGACCCAGGCTGCGTTTTCTCTGCTGTTGAGAAGATAACTTCTGGAGACTTTCATATACCACTCTGAAAGAGGGTGATTCTGTACAGGATACAGCACTTCAGTTTTGAGCATGGGCCCCTTTTTCCTGAGCCAGCCTAGAATCTGGGGTCAAACACCTTTTGTGAAATACTGTGCTGTAATCTTTTCTCCTGGAAGACTTAGCAGGCCACCAGGCAGAGCCAGAGGGGCAGTACAGGGGCGTTTCTTTACCAGTTTGCAAAGGCCCCCCAGGACATGCTGTCTCTCCCCCTGTCTTGCAGGAGTCCCTCTTCCACAGAAGCATAACGGACCTAGGCTTCTGCAATGTGATCCTGGTGAAGGAGGAGAACACAAGGTAGTCAGAGCTATGGACTGGAGCAGGCTTGGGGACAGGGACCCTTGGGTGCAGGGCTGCTGGGGCCCTGCTTTTTGGTGCCATTTTCTTCCTCTGATAGAGAAAGAAGGGCCCCGTCCTCTGTTCCATACACAAGCCTGCAGGGAGGGGCAGACTTGGAGCTCTCTTGCAGTTCCTTCTGTGAGCATGTATGGATTGCCCACCGTGTTTCAGGCTGTGAACCTGTACCCGACTCAACAGGGTGAGGGGTGGGAATGGGGCACAGATGGACAGGCAGCTCTTCCTGCTCAGGTGTTCCTAGTACATGGGTCTGGGGTGTGGTCCCTTTCTGATTGAATAGCCTTCTGTGAGTCCTAGTGGAGGTGGGCCCTCTCTGAAGGATCTTCCCTCCTGCTCTGGGAGCTGTGCCCAGGTTTCGGGGCTGGCTGGTTCGGAGGCTCTGCTATTTCCTGTGGTCCCTGGAGCAGCACATCCCCCCCTGCCAGGATGTCCCACAGAAGATCATGGAAAGCACCGGGTGAGGAGGCAGGGAGTGAGGTCTGGCTGGCATTTCTGGGATCCTGAATGGGATGACAATGACACTAGGTAGGGGTGTTTGAGAGGGGTGGCTGGGGCAAGGCTTCTAGAGCATGAGCTTTGCCTGGGACCCTTCCTTAAGGAGGAGAGTGAAGACTGGAGGCTGTGCCCTGCTGCAGCCTCATAGCACTCCTTCTAACCCCCTCACAGGGTGCAGAACCTCCTCTCAGGGAGGGTCCCAGGAGGCACTGGGGAAGGCCAGGTGCCTGACCTTGTGAAGAAGGAGGTACAGCGCATCCTGGGTCACATCCAGGCCCCACCCCGTCCCTTCCTGGTCAGGTAACTGGGCTGAAGGGCACTCACCCTTGGGCTGGGGACTCTGTCCTTCTGGAGAGCGGGTGTTGGCCGGGCTTGGGGAAGTGCTGGACTCTCCTCCTGGGTTGCTGGATAGTGTTTACCAGAGTGGGCTGCAGCCTGCCTTCACCACCGCCTCCCATCCCCACATTTTGCCAGCACAGGTTGGAGCCTCTGTTAGATGCAGCACACTGTTCCAGGGAAACGGAGGGTAAACGAGATATGCGCGGCTGCAAGGAGGAAGGAACAGGGCTGAGACAGAATACCAGGAAGGGGACAAAGAGCCTGTAAGCCAGAGCCAAGAGGAAGAAAAGGCGAACAAGAATGAGGCGAACAGTCTTGCTAGAGGGAATAGCCTGAGCTTTGGCCCTGGGCAGGAAAGGACTAGGTTTGCTCCAGAAGCTGACGTGGTTGGAAGCCAGCAAGTGAGGGGTCGAGAGCTGTGGGAGGTGAAATCGAGAGGCAGAAGGGATCAAATCATGTAAGGCCGTGCAAGTTTGGACTGGATCTCCAAGTGCAGTGAAAACCAGTTGCAAGGTTTTAAGTGGGAAGTGACATCATGAATTGGGGTCAAGAGTGGAGACCAGAAGGGCATCTGGAAGGCTGTTTTGTTAATCCAGGTGAGAGATCATGGTGGACAGTAGAGGTTGAAAAGTGGATTGAGAGGTCGAGGTGATATTAACAGGACTCACTGAGGGATTGGACAGTGGGAACAGGGGCAGTGAGAGAAGTAGGAGAAGTTACAGGACAGCCCCGTTTCTAGCCTACTTTCTGGTGGTATGGACAGAGAACAGGCTTTGGGAGAAGTGAGTTGGCCCAAAAAGGTAGTTTGGAGAGAGAGAGTTTTGGTACCTGACATGCTTGTGGAGACACTGAGGAGGCAGCTGCATATAGGAGCCTGGAGCTCAGAAGAGAGGTTGGGGCCAGAGACACTGCGAGGCTTTAGCATACAGATGGTGTTTAAAGCCAAGGAGATGAATGAGTCCCTGAGTACAGGTGGGCTTGGGGGCAGCATGTGTCAAGCTCAGCTGTCTTGAATGTGCTGAGTGGCCAACTGAGCAAGGACAGAAAGTAGAGGTTGTTGGTGACCTTGACCAGCCCTCTGCTGTTCTAGTCTCTTGATCTGCCTACCTTGACATCAGCCATCAGCCTCCCTTTCTGTGTTTCCTTCCCTCCAAGCCTAGCTCAGATTGCAGGCTCGGGGTGCTAATAATGCTCTTTCGAGGGAGTCATGGGCATGACCCCCCGCTGTCTACCTTCTCTTTGCACCTGAGCAGCCCAGCGTTGCCAGAGAAACACACACCAGTGGACTGGTTTCCTTGCTAAGTGCAAATGTCACAGGGACACATGGCACTCTCCAGGGCTCCCACCCAGCCTGCTCCTTCTTAGACTTATCCACTGTCAACTGATTCCCCATCTCATGCTTCACAGAAAGATAAAAGCCATCACATGGGGACTTGCTGCTTATCCAGCACATTTCCCTGCTACTACAGCTATGTGTCTGTCCTAAATTAAAGCTGGTCCTATGCCGGTGCAGTGGCTCACACCTGTAATATCAGCACTTTGGGAGGCTGAGCGGGGTGGATCACCCAAGAGCTGAAGACCAGCCTGGGCGACATAGACCAGCCAGGGCAAACTTGTCTCTCCAAAAATTAGCCGGGTGCACTGTTGCGTGCCTGTGGTCCTAGATGCTTGAGAGGCTGAGGTGGGAGGATCGCTTGAGCCCAGGAGGCAGAGGTTGTAGTGAGCCAAGTTTGTGCCACTGCACTTCAGCCTGGGCAACAGAGCAAGACCCTGTCCTAAAAAATAAATAGAGCTGGTCCTCCTGTTGTGCTGCAGGGACAACCCCACCCACCTGCCCACCAGGGATTTTGCCCCTGCAGTTATCCCCTTTCCTTCTTCTATTACTAATCCTTCCTTTTTATTTCACCTTTTCTGGTAGATTGTGAAGACCAGGCTGGGTTCTGCCTGGAGAGAGGCTTGGTCCTCTAGTCTCCTTTAGGGTAAATTGAGGCAGATGCTCTGATTCTGATGTGAGGCAGCTCCACCATGAGGTCGTGGGAGAGTAGCAGCGTCTGGTGGGCATGAACTCTGGTGTCAGAACTTCCAGTCCCAGCACTGCTACTTCTTAGCGTTCACTACCAGGAAGCAGTTCTGTAGCTTCCCTGAGTCTCACTTTCCTTCTTCTGTAAAATGAGGATAGTGGCGGGGCCTGCCCTAAGGAGCACTGGGCAGCCCTCCAAGTGCCACGGGCCGAGCGTCACTCCTTGCCGCACCTCAGGCCTGGTGTCCCTCCCCAGGCTGTTCAGCTGGGCGCTGCTGAGGTTCCTGAACTGCCTGTTCCTGAATGTGCAGCTCCACAAGGGTCAGATGAAGATGGTCCAGAAGGCCGCCCAGGCAGTAAGGCCCGCCCTCCATTGGGTTGGGGATGGTGGGAGCAGAAGAGCAGAGGCTGGGCCAAGCCCTTAAGTCAGGAGCAGTCCCCATCTGGTCCTGCTTCCTGGCCTCTCTGTTCCCAGCCATACAGCAGTCCAGTCCCCATCAGCTGGTGGGAAAAATCCCCTGCTCTTTGCCGACCTTCCCTTATGTCTCACGGCCCTGCTCCCATGGGGCTTCCTCTAACGTCTTTCCATCATGGTCTTAACAACCATGACGTCAGTGCGTCGGTGCAGTTACCTTAAGAGTTGTCTAAAGGCTCCTTTGCTTTTGGGAAATGTGCTCAGAGGAAGAACTCTGCAGCTGAACTGTCCCTCCCTCTGGGGCTGCCCTGGGTCTTTGGCTGCCTGTGTCCTCAGGGTGGGGCAGGTTGGCACTTCCCTCTGGCTCTCCCCGGAGCAGGGCTTGCCGCTTGTCCTCCTCTCTACTCACAAAACCCTCCTGGATGGGATCCTGCTGCCCTTTATGCTGCTCTCCCAGGGCCTGGGTGTGCTTCGTGTGGCCTGGGACTCCCGCGCCTGCTCCCCTGCCCTCAGGTAAAAACCTTTTGCCTCTAGACATACATGGGAGAAGTCGCAGGCTGGGGCGGGGTGTGTATCGGGGTGTGTTGGCAGCAGCTCCCTACTAAAGGCCCTCTTCGTGGCCTCTCTGCTCCGAGCCATACAGCAGTCTAGCCTGTGGGGCTTAGATGGAGGTGTCAGCCACAGGGCCTAGGGCCATGGCTTTGCCTCAGGGTATTCAAGTAGGACACAGGCTGGCCATGGGGGAGCTGAGACTCTCACTAGCCCCTTACTCATTCACATCTTCAGAGCCCCTTTCCTTATCAGGCTCTGCCCTATGTCCCACAGAGCTCTGCTGAGGAAGCTTGGGGGGCTTTTCCTGCCCCCAGAGGCCAGCCTCTCCCTGGACAGCTCTGAGGGGCTCCTTGCCAGGGCTGTGGTCCAGGCGGTGAGTGCCCCCAGTGGTTACATATGGGCCAGGCTAAGGGGACAGGGGTCTGTTTCTGCTCTGGCCTTAACACCCCCTCTGACCCCTCCTATTCCAGGTCATAGAGCAGCTGCTGGTTAGTGGGCAGCCCCTGCTCATCTTCCTGGAGGAACCTCCTGGGGCTCTGGGGCCACGGCTGTCAGCCCTGGGCCAGGCTTGGGTGGGGTTTGTGGTGCAGGCAGTCCAGGTGGGCATCGTCCCAGATGCTCTGCTGGTACCAGTGGCCGTCACCTATGACCTGGTTCCGGATGCACCGTGTGACATAGACCATGTGAGAATGTGAGACCTTCCAGCCCCTTGGGCCCCTAGGTGGACACCAGCTCCCGATAGGAGGCACAATATTGTGTCCTGTGGCTGAGCCCCACTTAGGGCTGTGGGGGGCACAAAGGAATCGTCCTTACAATCATCTGGCAGCACCTGTCAAGGCCATTACCATCATCTCATTTCATCCTCTGAAGACCTTGATAGGGAGGGATTTTTCCTGTGTCATGGATAAGGAAAGAGGAGCTTGGGACAAGGTCACGCACCAGTTTGGGCCTGAGATAAAACTGAGCAGGGTGGGACCAGAGGATACCTCTGGAGACCAGGATGGGTGGGCAGCCCTGATGTCCGCCCGAGAGCAGTGTCCTCGGCGAGTATAGTTATCCTTTCCCTCCTTGCAGGCCTCGGCCCCCCTGGGGCTGTGGACAGGAGCTCTGGCTGTCCTACGTAGCTTGTGGAGCCGCTGGGGCTGCAGCCACCGGATCTGCTCCTGGGTGCGCCTAGCTCAGCCCTTTTCCCTGCAGGTATGGAGCCAGCTGGGGAAGGCTGGGAGTACCTGGGGTGTCTGTCCTAGGCATCCTGGCAGCCTGGCCCTCAAAGCCACTGCAGGGATAGCTTTGCCTACTTCCAGTGGGCTGTGTGCAAGTTTCCTGGTGGGCCCGAGCAGGCCACCTAAGAGCCTTCTCCTGGGCAGGAATACATCGTCAGTGCCAGAAGCTGCTGGGGCGGCAGACAGACCCTGGAGCAGCTACTGCAGCCCATCATGCTGGGCCAATGGTAGGGGCACGGGAGTGTGGGGTCTCAGGGGGCAAGGCAAGCAGCCCTTCAGCACCAGCTTATGTATCCCCCATATACACACACTAGCAGCCCTCCCTCACCAAATATCCTGGGGTCATCTAGAATAGTTCCAGGTACTCGCCTTGCCAACAGTCTGAGTGTGGGGTATGGCACAGAGGCCTGGATGGGACTGGGGATTATAGAAGCCATCCTCTGTCCTGGGGCTGGGAGGGGGAAACACCCTCACCTTTTAGAAAGCTCTAGGCATTCCCACAGCTGTTTTTGTGTTTGGACCCTTCATCCTGTAATCTGTGTCTCTATCTCAGTACTGCTGTCCCAGACACTGAGAAGGAGCAGGAGTGGACCCCCATAACTGGGCCTCTCCTGGCCCTCAAGGAAGAGGACCAGCTCCTGGTCAGGAGACTGAGCTGTCATGTCCTGAGTGGTGAGGGTGAACCAGATCTGGGCCTTTGAGGGTGGGTCACTGAACCGTCCCCTCTGTCGGGGTCAGCCAGTCACCAGGGTTCTCCATTCCAAGTGAGTGTCTGCACCTGAGGCCCTCTGTGGTACCTCGGGGACATCTGAAGAAGAATGGAACCCTCCTCCTACAGGAGGAGCAGGCAGCCAGGGCCATCATGAGGGAGCAGCTAAGTGCATGCACAGAGATGGTGGCCTGAGGCCAGGAGGCTGCAGCTGCTTCCCCAAGGCCACACCCAGCCCTGCCTTCTGAGCGGAGTCTCCTTAGCTTTGGGTGGGGATGGTGTTAACTGAATGGAATGATACGTGTAAGGGGCTTAGCATAGTGCCTCTGCAGAGGGCCCTTATAGGGAGATCCATCTGTATCTTCTTCAGTGCCCCTCTAGTAGAGGCTGTGGGTTGATGTGTGGGCCCTACGATGAGATCTAGGGAAAGGCCCCCAGCTCCTGGCCTGCTCTCAGCCTGTGTGTGATGATAAACACCACTGCTCCGGGCATACGTTCCTCATCCCTGGGGTGGAGTTGGGATGTGTGGCTAGGAAGACTTGCCAGATCATGGAGGGACCAGGCTGCTGGGCCTCAACCTGACCAGCATCTCCACCCTCCGCCCCACTCCAGCCAGTGTGGGGAGCTCTGCGGTGATGAGCACGGCCATCATGGCGACGCTGCTGCTCTTCAAGCATCAGAAGGTAGGGGGTGCAATGTGGTGGGGACCTGGGCGGTTGGGGTGGGGGGGTGGATGTGTGGCCCTGCTGCTCAGCCCTGCTTTGCCCACCCAGGGTGTGTTCCTGTAGCAGCTCCTAGGGGAGTTCTCCTGGCTGACGGAGGAGATACTGTTGCGTGACTTTGATGTAGGCTTCTCTGGGCAGCTGTGGAGCCTGCTGCAGCACTCACTGAGCCTGCTGCGGGCACACGTGGCCCTGCTGCGCATCCGCCAGGGCGACTTGCTGGTGGTGCCACGGCCTGGCCCAGGCCTCACACACCTCACCTGGCATGGCTGAGTGCTGAGCTGCTGCCCATCTTCCTGAGCGAGGCTGTGGGCGGTGAGTCTTGAGGTGCACGGGGGGTAGGTGCACGGGGGGTAGGTTCACGAGGCGGGTGGATCATGAGGTCAGGAGACCAAGACCATCCTGGCTAACATAGTGAAACCCTGTCTCTACTAAAAATAGAAAAAATTAGCCAGACGTCGTGGCACACACCTGTAGTAGCAGCTATTCAGGAGGCTGAGGCGGGAGAATCGCTTGAACCCGGGAGGCGGAGGTTGCAGTGAGCCAAGATTGTGCCACTGCACTCCAGCCTGAGTGACACAGCAAGACTCCATCCCAAAATAAATAAATAAATAAATAAATAAATAAATAGCTTTTGGGCAGAGATGATGGGGTCAAACAGGGATAGTTTGACTTCCTCTCTTCCTACTCGAATACACTTTATTTCTTTCTCTTGCCTAATTGCCCTGGCCAGAACTTCCAATACTATGTTGAATAGGAGTGGTGACAGAGGGCATCATTGTCTTGTGTCAGTTTTCAAGGGGAATGCTTCCAGCTTTTGCCCATTCAGTATGATATTGGCTGTGGGTTTGTCATATATGGCTCTGATTCCTTCAATACATAGTTGATTGAGAGTTTTTAACATGAAGGTTGTTAAATTTTATCAAAGCCTTTTCTGGATCTATTGACATAATCAGGTGGCTTTTGTCTTTAGTTCTGTTTATGTGATGAATCACATTTATTGATTTGTATATGTTGAACCAACCTTGCATCCCAGGGACGAAGCCTGCTTGATCACGGTGGATAAGCTTTTTGATGTGCTGCTGGATTCGGTTTGCCAATATTTTATTGAGGATTTTTGCATCAATGTTCATCAAGCATATTGGCCTGAAGTTTTCTTTTTTTGTTGTATCTGTGCCTGGTTTTGGTATCAGGATGATGTTGGCCTCATACAATGTTAGGAAGGAGTCCCTCCTTTTCAATTGTTTTGGAATACTTTCAGCAGGAATGGTACCAGCTCTTCTTTGTACATTTGGTAGAATTGAGCTGTGAATCCATGTGGTACTGGGCTTTTTTTTTTTTTTTTTGGTAGGTAGGCTATTTATTACTGCCTCAATTTCAGAACTCATTATTGGTCTATTCAGGGATTCAATGATTCAATCTTGGGAGGGTGTATGTGTCCAGGAATTTATCCATTTCTTCTAGATTTTCTAGTTTATGTGCATAGAGTTGTTTATAATATTCTCAGATGGTTGTATTTCTGTGGGGTCAGTGGTAATATCACCCTTATTATTTCTGATTGTGTTTATTTGAATCTTCTCTCTTTTCTTCCTTATTAGTCTAGCTAGTGGTCAATCTATTTTATTACTTTTTTTCAAGAAACAAGCTCCTCGATTCATTGATCTTTTGAATTTGTGTGTGTGTGTGTGTGTGTGTGTGTGTGTGTGTGTGTGTGTATCTTCTTCAGTTCAACTCTTATTTTGGTTGATTCTTGTCTTCTAGATTTGAGGTTTGTTTGCTCTTGGTTCTCCAGTTCTTTTAGTTGTGATGTTAGGTTGTTAACTTGAGATTTTTCTAGCTTTTGAATAAGGTCATTTAGAGGTATAATTTCCCTCTTAACATTGCCTCAACTGTGTCCCAGAGATTCTGGTACATTGTCTCTTTGTTCTCATTGGTTTCAAAGAACTTCCTGATTTCTGCCTTAATTTCATTATTTAGCCAGGAGTCATTCAGGAGCAGGCTGTTCAATTTCCATGTAGTTGTGGGACACTTCTGAGCTTCATGAGCTCTTGTAAAGTTGGTCTGGTGGTAACAAATTTTCTCAGCATTTGCTTGTCTGAAAAGGAGCTTATTTCTCCTTTGCTTATGAAGCTTAGTTTGGCTGGATATGAAATTCTGGTTTGGAGTTTATTTTCACACATTCACTCATCACTTCCCTGCACAGGCGAAGGGGTTCCCCTTGGCTCTTTGTCACTTCTGGGTGGGCTGTCACCCTGCCCTGCTTTTTTCCATTCTCCATGGGTGGAGCTGTTTTCCTGATCAGTTCCAGTGTGAGTACTTGGATATTTCAGTTGAAGGTGCTGTGTTTACTCATCCCTTTCATTCTTCTCTGTGAGAGCCATGCACCATAGCTGCTTCTAGTTGGCCATCTTGGCCCCCTTCTGGCTGAGCCTAATTCTGTGTAATAGAGGTTGTACATAGATATGCCCTATAAACACAGATTATAGAGAAGGATCATACAATATGATCATACAATATGATCCTTACATATGCACATACATGTGCAATATGGCTCTGCATGTGTCATGCATCAGTCAAAATTACTCTGTTTTTTACTTCAGGGTATCTTGACTATAGTGTTTCATATGTGTTTCTGTTTTTCTCTGTATCACAATTTTAGATCATTGAATGGACTGCTGGGCTAGACCTGGCAAATTCTTCTGCCAAGTGTACTATATGTCTAGGTTCATGTCACTGTGTGATATCGGTGTCCTTGTGACAACTGTAGGGGGATATAAGAGCAACAGTGAAATAAAGTCATCTCTCACAGCTGGCATGTATATTCCTATAAATTTATGTGAACAGGAAAATAGACACAAATTGGAACCATGGAATTCAAAAAACGGTCTCTTAAATGAAGTCACAGAAACTACGTGGAAATTTAAAACGTTGAACCCTGTCCTCAGTTGTATGCACCTCTGCACAACAGGTCTATCTTCTGGAAGGGTAAGGTATTTCTTCTCACATTTTTTTCCTTCTGTCTTCTAAAAAGCTTCATGTGAAAGCAGAAGACTCATGAGAAGACATCTAGAGACTGGCCCTAAAGTGCTTTTCTCCACAGGAATGTCACCCAGGCACTACATCCAGGAGTCTCAGGTGCCACTGGGTTCCCATCCTCAGTGAGGCAGAGCTGGGAGAAGGCACACAGCATTCAAATTTCCTTCAAGTCACTTGCTTAAGGTATACATTGAAGGTTCAAACTAAATTCGAAATCTTTTTTTTGTTGTTTTTTACAATTAGCACTTTTTTGTTATTTTTTTAATATATATATTTTTTATTACACTTTAAGTTCTGGGGTACATGTGCACAACGTGCACGTTTGTTACATGTGTATACATGTGCCATGTTGGTGTGCTGCACCCATTAACTCGTCATTTACATTAGGTATATCTCCTAATGCTATCCCTCCCCCATACCTCCACCCCACAAAAGGACCCAGTGTGTGATGTTCCCCACCCTGTGTCCAAGTGTTCTCATTGTTCAATTCCCACCTATGAGTGAGAACATGTGGTGTTTGGTTTTTTTTCCTTGTGATAGTTTGCTGAGAATGATGGTTTCCAACTTCATCCATGTCCCTAAAAAGGACATGAACTCATCATTTTTTATGGCTGCATAGTATTCCATGCTGTATATGTGCCACATTTTCTTAATCCAGTCTATCATTGATGGACATTTGGGTTGGTTCCAAGTCTTTGCTATGGTGAATAGTGCCACAATAAACATATGTGTGCATGTGTCTTTATAGCAGCATGATTTCTAATCCTTTGGGTATATACCCAGTAATGGGATGGCTGGGTCAAATGGTATTTCTAGTTCTAGATCCTTGAGGAATCACCACACTGTCTTCCACAATGGTTGAACTAGTTTACAGTCCCACCAACAGTGTAAAAGTGTTCCTATTTCTCCACATCCTCTCCAACACCTGTTGTTTCCTGACTTTTTAATGATCGTCATTGTAACTGGTGTGAGATGGTATCTCATTGTGGTTTTGATTTGCATTTCTCTGATGGCCAGTGATGATGAGCATTTTTTCATGTGTCTGTTGGCTGCATAAATGTCTTCTTTTGAGAAGTGTCTGTTCATATCCTTTGCCCACTTTTTGATGGGGTTGTTTGTTTTTTTCTTGTAAATTTGTTTGAGTTCTTTGTAGATTCTGGATATTAGCCCTTTGTCAGATGAGTAGATTGCAAAAATTTTCTCCCATTTTGTAGGTTGCCTGTTCACTCTGATGGTAGTTTCTTTTGCTGTGCAGAAGCTCTTTAGTTTACTTAGATCCCATTTGTCAATTTTGGCTTTTGCTGCCATTGCTTTTGGTGTTTTAGACATGAAGTCCTTGCCCATGCCTATATACTGAATGGTATTGCCTAAATTTTCTTCTAGGGTTTTTATGG